>NC_000012.12:105035885-105338915 GCF_000001405.40 Homo sapiens | reverse complement strand
AGTAGTGCTAGAGTTTGGTTTGTTTGTCCCCTCCAAATCTCATGGGGGTGGGGTCTAATGGGAGGTGTTTGGGCCATAGGGGCAGATCCTTCATGAATGGCTGGTGGTAACAAGTGGGCTCTAACTGTATTAGTTTCCATGAGAGCTGGCTGGTCATTAGCAAGAGCCTGGCACCTCCCTCCCTTCTCTCTACTGCTTCCACTCTTGCCATGTGATCTCTGCACACTATGGCTCCCTTTTACCTTCTACCATGAATGATAGCAGCCTGAAGCCCTCAGCAGAAGCAGATGCTGGTGCCATGCTTCTTGTACAGGCTGCAGAACCACGAGCCAAATACACCTCTATTCTTTATCAATTACCCCGTCTCAGGTATTCCTTTATAGCAACACAAAAATGAACTAAGACAAGCAGCTATACTTTAGGCAAGTAAAAACCAAAAAATGGCCAGGCGCAGTGGCTCACACCTGTAATCCCAGCACTCTGGGAGGCCAAGACGGGTGGATCACCTGAGGTCTGGAATTTGTGACCAGCTTGGCCAACACAGTGAAACCCCATCTCCACTAAAAATACAAAATTAGCTGGGTGCGGTGGTGCATGCCTGTAATCCCAGCTACTCGGGAGGCCGAGGAAGGAAAATCTCTTGAACCTGGGAGGTGGAGGTTGCACTGAGCCGAGATCATGCCACTGCATTCCATCCTGGGTGACAGAGCAAGACTCCATCTCAAAATAAATAAATAAATAAATGAAAGATAAATGCAGCCATATAAGAAGTACAGGCATAAGTTAGTGCACTGACATTTAGCTGATATAATAAAATTTAAGCCATGTCTATATGGAGCTATAAGTGGCTCATGGTAAAACTGCCTTTGCTGAATTATAAATAATGAGAGAAATTTAATATAACTGACTCTATTTTGCTTTGCTTTTAATTTCATAGGTTTTTTTTCTCTTACTCTAACATGGAAGCCAAGATAACTATGAGAGGAATTTAGTTTATAGTTACACTTTGAAGCAAGGAAAACTGACCCCACCCCCCACCATACCCCATCCTTGTTCAAAGATCAAAGCTGCATTCATATGGCAAGGTTAAAATTCTGGTAGGGGCTTAAACTTTACTAAAAAATAGGCATAAACAATGACCCGCTATTGTTTAGCATGCTTTCCTATAAGTTGCTTACTGCACTAGAGTCACGTAACCAGGGGTTACAAGATTTCCAACTTCCCCAAATACTCCTATAGATAACATCAGTATTGTGAAACCTAAAGACCTGGCCTTTGACATAGTTTTCAGATTTCACATTTTGGTAGATCAAGAGATGCCACCTGGTTCTGAGAACCAACCCTTTCCTGGGAACTGACTTTACTGCCCAAAGATGTTTTAGATGCCCCTATGACCTCATCCCCAGCCAATCAATTGTTCCAATTCCCCAGTAACCCCCTGCCTACCAGAGTCCCCTTAAGAAACCCTAGCCTCCGAATTCTCAGAGAGACAGGTTTGAGAAATTTCTCTCTGCTCTCCTCACTTGGCCAGCCCTGAAATGATTAAACTCTTTATTTGCCACAAAAACTGCTGTTCTCATTGGTTTTTGTTTGTTTGTTTGTTTTTTAAGACAGGATCTTGCTCTGTCACCCAGGCTGCTCACTGCAGCCTCACTTGCAACCCTCCTGGGTTCAAGCAATTCTCCCACTTCAGCCTCCCAAGCAGCTGGGATTACAGGTGTGCGCCACCACGCCTGGTTAATTTTTGTATTTTTAGTAGAGATGGGGTTTCGCCATGTCAGCCAGGCTGGTCTCAAACTCCTGACGTCAGGTGATCCACCTGCCTCAGCCTCCCAAAGTGCTGGGATTACAGGTGTGAGCCACCGTGCCCGGCCCGTGCTGGTTTTGTTTGGGGCAGTGGGCAAAAAGAACCTACCAGGCTGTGACAATGGCAGAAATCAATCACTCGCTTTGGATGCCATCAATTCTGGGGAGACACAGCAAGCGAATGATGCACAGAGCTTCTTGGTTCTGTCTCACCAATGATTACTACCTGAGCAGAGGGGTCTCCACACCTCTCTTTATTCATCATCACTTCAAACATGGTACAGTCGAGTATGTTGATCACCTGCCCCTTACTACCTTACTTTTAGAGTGAGTAGCAACCTCCTTCCAGTTACCCAGGCTCTAACAGTTTAATTTTTACCTCTCCCTCTTCCTTCATCCCACATCTGCAGCCTCTCTTTAGCTCAACTGTCTTCCACGTATCTGTGACCTCAACGCTTCTACCCCTCAGGGCCCACAGCCATGATCCAGGCCCTCAGCACTTCTCTGAGCGCAGACAGCAGCTGTGAATGATGCCACTTCTATACGTACACGCCTTCAGTGGCTCACGCCTTCCTTCTACACCAGCTGTGTCTTTCCCTATACTGATAACAAGTAGTATATTGGGTACTTACAATATACGAGTCACTGTTCTAAACACTTTACACACATTAACTCACTGAATCTACAATAGGCTCTCTTATTACACCCCCATTTTATGGTCAAGGAACCTAAGGAACAGACAGCCTCAGCAAATTGCCCAAGGTCATACAAATGATGAATGGCAAATGTAGGATTTGTACTTGGCCTTTTTAGCTGCAGAGCCCACTCTCAACTCTGTGGCCTCAGTGCCTTTCTGTCCTCCTCGTCCCGTATCCTAACCATTCTTTCTTCCCAATACCCTGCAACCAATGTGAACGACTACATCCAATCAGGCTAGACTTCTTACTAACCTGAAATGCGCCAAGCCCATTTCTGTCTCTAGGACTTCCTACAGCACTAAAAATGACCTGCCTTCCATTTTCTGCTATCCAAATCTTACCTATTCTTCAAAGCCAAATAAAGTTCCACTTCCTCCACGCTATTCTTCAAACCCAAATCAAGTTCCACTTCCTCCATGCAGGCTTCCCTGACTTCCTGAGGTTCTATTTTCTTCACTCAATTGCTACATCAGTACAGTGTGCCCACACCAACTTAGGACTTCATTTTGAATCTTTTTTGTTTCCCAAATATACTCATTCATTCAACAAATATATTTCAAGAACCAAAAAATCCATTTAAAATGTGGAAACTGGTCTAGAGGCTGAGGATATGGCTGTAAACAAAATGTATAGGCTTTCATGAGGCCTCCATTTGTGGGAGGGGAAAGGAGACAAGAAATAAACATAGTATCAGCTCTCCAGCAAAAAAGTGTTTCACACAGAGAGAAAACAAGAGTGAGTTCCATTAAAAATGTGGAAACTAGTCTAGAGGCTGAGGATACAGCCGTAAACAAAATGTATAGGCTTTCATGAGGCCTCCATTTGGGGGAGGGGAAAGGAGACAAGAAATAAACATAGTATCAGCTCTCCAGCAAAAAAGTGTTTCCCACAGAGAGAAAACAAGAATGAGTTCAGCATGTTTAAAGAATAGAAAGAAGGATGGTACATACTTGTGGGGAAAGGGGAGTAGTGCAAGATAAAAATGATATCAACAAAATTTTGTATTATTTTTACATTATTTCCCCCACAAATCTTGCACTATTGCTAAACAGAGCTGTATCATTTCAATACTACCAAACCATTTACAGATGTAATTAAGCCTGGACCAATATAGCTACCTCAAAAGAATGCAATTATCTAGCTAATTGAGGACAAGGACATAACTAATCTAAAATATTGGGCCCAAAAGGATTGTATTAACTCCCTGGGATACACTGATAAAATAGGGTAAATAATTATCAAGCTCCTCCCCCTCGGACTATTGTTACATAAACAGCAGAAAACTATTATGGAAACATTCTGACAGTAAGTTGCCTGCAAAGTTAAGATCAGTTACCAATTACATATCTCTGGCAGAAAAAATTCAACTAACCAATTTAACCAAATATCATGAGCTGAATATTTCTGAGATAACTCCTGCTGCAAATAATTTCTACAGCCTTAGCCTGCATTAAAATAGACTACTGTAGATATGGGGAACTATCCAAACTTTTAAGGGATTTTCTGGTTTACATAAAAAGGAATTTCTGATTTACATTACAAAGACTTGCTTCATAGTCTATATGAATGTGACTATATAAAAGGGAATGACCAACCTGCTGACATCATTAACTCAGAATGCAAGGTTGGTCATTTCTCTGCCTAGTCCGGAGACATGCTCGGGGGAAAAACAAGTGAGTAAAGAATCTGACTGCAGAGAAAGAGTGAGAGTGAGCGAGAGTGCAAAAGCTCCCTGCCTTATAACAAATGTGACACTTTAAAATGAACTATTCAATCCCGATGTTTCTCCATAATTTGGGGTCTAGACTCCAGACCATGCAGAAAAAATATGCTGCATCCTTTATATAGTTGCAGGTTGGGAAAAATCAAATTCCTACCTTGAGAGAGTGATGATATCAAAATGTGAAAGTGGAGAGCTTTTGTGTACTCAAAATGCCTCTCACATTTCCATCTAGACCCCCAGCTCAACTCCTCCAGGAGGACTTCTCTGATTTAACTGTGTCATTCAATATCTCCTGGAAACTTGAAGGTCCAGATTATATTCTATTATCCACTGCTTTGCAGTGATTCTCAATTGCTTAATCTTCCTACCTAGACTATCAATTTCTCAAGAGCAACAAAGTTTGACTTCATTCTACAAACATCCATTGCTGGCTGCCCCCAGCGTTGCCCTAGAAGTTCCCAGCAGAGGAGGTCCCACATAGGGGTGGACGATGTGTAAGCTTACAGTTATTAATAGAAACATACTCCAGGGGCAAGTCTACCCAGAATTATCAAGGGGCTGATCCATCTCACTACTCCTTATGGCCACTTGACCCTTTTACTCCATACCAGTTTCTCCATGCATCAGGCATACGGAATCCACTTAACTCAAGTACACTACTGCATATCAATCTGTCATGTTAACCAAGTCCACCAGACAAAAGCCAAGAGAGGCAGCCATCCTGCTATCTCAGGGAAAGGGGAAACAATTATCCAGTTTACCTGAGTAACTCAAAAAGTAAAACAGGGCTCAGAATGGAGATTTCAGATTTAGGGGTATTGTAATAATATGTTAATGCATCAAAAAATATTTGCCATGTTCTTATAGAAAAATATTCAAGGAAAACCACTTTGCCTTCAAAATGGTGATAATAATATTATTATATAGTAATAATTACAGTTTACAGTGTGCTTTCATGTTATTTTTGAGTTTCACATGAGCCTTATGAAACAAGATACACCGAATTATTCCCATTATATAAACAAAGAAACCAAAATTCAAAAAAGTAAAATGAAACACCCACAATAATGCAAACAGCACAGCACCAAACCTAAGCTTAAGCTCACTGTCCAGACTCTTAAGTTCAGCACCCTTTCTACAATCTCTTTGTACATTTTTTTTTTCTGAAAAGTTTGTATGGCTACTGAATTCTATGACTCCTGGGACATATTGGAAGTAGTGCACTGTAAGTAACTAGAAGAGAAAGACAATATCTCTTTAACGCGTTTCGTATTGCTCGGGTTCAGTCCTCCTAGTGTGCAGCTTGGTCAACAGTGCAATTGACGCTGATGCCCAAGCTCACAGCTGAGATTTTCAGTACCTTTGCATTGTGGTTTATTTTTCTTTACATCTCTCATCCTGATGTATTTCCTCTCTGAACCTAAATTCCTAACACCAACTGACAGAACATTTCAAAATAACAATGACCAAATCCCAAAGTCAGCCAGGTGGACTCACAGGCAGGCAAATGTTTGGGAATGGCTTCTCCAAGACAAGGGCATATCCATCAAAGAGGTGATGCAATAACTCCCTGCTCATCATGTTGTCTCCTGCATGTTTTGAATCTGCACTCAATATCCTTCTCTCCTCTGAACAAAAAGTAATTTTTGGCAAACAGCAAGCTGGAGGAGAGAATAGCATGCTCTCACATGCACTGTCCACAAACAAAAGTGAGGCTGCTCCTCAAACTACTCTTTCGGTAGCTTTTTTTTTTTTTTTCAATATGACTTCCCTTTAGGTGATAAGAGAGATGCTCCTAGGGAAAAAGTCAATCAAATATTCATAAAGATAATCATATTTCCCCAAGAAATCATATTTTCCCCCCAAATTTGATTTTTACATTAACATTTTAGAGCTAGCTCATCATACCTTACCATCTTTCTATTTTCTTTTCTTTTCTTTTTTTTTTTTTTTAGATGGAGCGGAGTTCCACTCTTGTTGCCCAGGTTGGAGTGCAATGGTGCGATCTCAGCTCACTGCAACCTCCGCCTCCCAGGTTCAAGCAATTCTCGTGCCTCAGCCTCCCAAATAGCTGGGATTACAAGCAGGCGCCACCACGCCCAGCTAATTTTGTATTTTTAGTAGAGACTGGGTTTCACCATGTTGGTTACACTGGTCTCGAGTTCCTGAGCTCAGATGATCCACCCACCCCAGCCTCCCAAAGTGCTGGGATTACACAGGCATGAGTCACTGCGCCTGGTCCATCATTCTGATTTTCATTTGGCAATGGTACCCCCTCCCCATCCCTAAAACTGACAAGCAGTTCATTAATAAATCAAAATGTACATGCATGAAACTAGCCTCATTTTAAGGGAAATCTGCTACAAATCCTTCCTACAATTTTTTTTAATGTGGATAACTTTTCTTCACCTTTTTTAAGTAGGCTACACATGCAGTGGATTGCATACGGCCACAGTACCTAGTAGACTGAGACACAATTTGAGTGCGGGGTGTGGCCCTGACATTGTTTCATACAAGCAGAGCTTTCTGGCCACAGGCAGGTTTGAAGCCCGTCTGCCCTCATTAGCATAAGGTGCTACACTAACCTTCCCCACTGTTAAATGAATCTAAAAAGTTCGCTCTCCTGTGGCTCTCTGCATTGTCACCAGGACAGGATTTAATTCAAGACTCAAATTGAGTCTTAAACTCCATTTTTTACCGGCGTCTGGGTTAAGGGATGTGACAGGCCCAAGGTTACAAAGTCATTGCCAGGGCCTCCACAGCCGCCTAGGAAATACCGCAGCCTCTGACTGCTGTTTGCATTTGCTGGTTAGGCTAGGATGTGGCATCTGGTTGACTTCAATTGGAGGAGATAGGAGCTCTTTATCCAAAAGGACACTGAAATAGGTCAGCAGTTATTACTCAAAACAGATCCAGGGTACCTTAAATCCCGAGACATAGGCAGGGTGAAATAGAAGGGTGAGTTTTGGCAAAAGTCACTTGACACAAAGCCTGGCTGGCCCGGGGAAGCTAGAAGACCTTGCCTGCCAATCAACATGAAGTGGTATAAAAAGAAGTTTCTATTTGTGTGTGTGTGTGTGTGTGTGTGTGTGTGTGTTTAATGAAAAGTATCTTAACAGACTGTTAATAATAAAGCTCTGTCTCACATATGTAAAACATCCTTACTGCTGCAGCTTCTCAGAGAAATCCTAAGAGCAGCCCAGCCGGTCTTCGGCATCAAGGCAGACACAGATGCGTTTTTGCAGCTCTGCTTCTAGTTCTCCCCAACCCCACTCCCACCCTTCCCCGCTTCCTGCCCCACCACCACTGCCCGAAAAGTCCTGTCTTGCTCTGCTGCACTTTTCCAGGTGCAGCGCCTTGGTTCCGAGGAGATGGGGGAGAGGCCTGGAGGAGCAAGTGTGGGAGGTGGGGGAGCGGCCGGGGACCACGTCCGGGAATCCTCTCCCCCAGGAGAGCCCTGAGACCCGCCAGCTGCAGGTGAGCCCCGGCGGCTGCAGGGGAGCCCGCGACAGTCCTCCCCGCGCTCCCTCGGCAGAGACGCCCCGCAGGCTCGACTGCTCCAGGCGCAACCGCCCCCGCGCGGGGGACTTGCCACGCTTTCGGTCTTTCCAGAAACGGGCGGTCTGCTCCTGTCCCGAAAATGGGGACGGGGAGAGGGGGCTGCGCGCCCCCCACCCAAGATCCCTGCACCCTTCCTTCCCGCCGCCTCTCCCGCCCGCCCCCGCCGGCCCCCGCCTCCCGCCGGACTCACCTTGGCCCGCGCCCGCGCTGGTGGCGGTGGAGTTCCCGCAGCCCATCGCGCAGCCGGCCGGGGAAGCCGCGCTCCGGAGCTCTCGGCCGCGGGTCCTGGGGGCGGAGACCCAGACGAAGGGCGGCGCACCCCGAGCGGGAGGCTGACGGGGCCGCGAGGGGCCAGGAACCGAGTGGGGGCCGCCCCCTCCCACCGCCGGGAGACGCGGCCCGGGGCGCAGCGGGCTGCGGGCTGCCGGGCGGAAACCACCCGGCACCCCTCGCCCCGGCCCCGCCCCGCCCGGGGACCCGCCGGACCCACCCGTCGCCCCAGCAACCTCGGCACTGGCCAATCCCCAGCCTCCTGCGCGCTTCGCGGTCGGCCATTGGTCGTTATTACGAGGGGCGGGAGTTTAAAGTGGGCCCCGGGGCGAGGGAGCGGCAAGGGGCGTGGCCGGCGCAGCGGGGTGGGGGTGCCCACCTGCCCACCCTCAGCATCCTCCTCGCCTTGTCTTTGCTTTTCTTTCCTCACTTCCCCTCCCTGCCCCAGGATGTGGGGAGGAGAGGAAGTAGCAGGGGGCACCCTGCACAGTGGACGCCCAATAAATGCTATTGACTGAATGTTGTGCAGGTCTGAAGCCAAAACCGAAATCCCCAGCTGCTTTAACAGAAGGCCAACGCAGCTCTGTTCCCCATACGCACTGCCTGGCAAAAGTTCTTCCCCAGATTGGTCATCTTGACCTATTCCTCTTTAAAACAAATGTCTGCAACGATTTCAATAACTTGGATTCAGGACCTCCTCTCTGATAAATGAGAGAACTGTGGATGGGCACGGTGCTGTACGTTTCAACATGATAGTTGGGCCAGCGTTACTGCAGTCAGACTGTCTGAGTTAAAGTCTTCGTTCTGCCCCGTGATAGCTGCGTGACCTCAGGAAAGTAACTTAACCCATTGGGTACATCCCTTGTTTCACCTATAAAATGACAGTAACTCAGGTACATATAAAGTACCTAACAAAGTTCCCTATCTTTAGTAAATATCAGCTATTATCATTATTATTATTAACTCTAATAGAAATGAATACAAATTCCTTAAAGGGAAAGACTATCTGATTTTTCATAGCGTCCTCCTGGCTTGTAATACAGACTCACTAAATGTTTTGTGAGGTGACTTCAAGCCAGGAATTAAAGCTCCATTTTAAATTCACTTAATATTTGTAGGGAGCCTAGCCTGTGCCAAGTCCTTTGTTAAGTTCCGGGGATACAAATATGTGGGAGACAGTCTAACCAGGCAGATAGATTAAAATAAATTAATTACAATATAGAAGGAATGTTAACAGAGGAATACAGGTGCCATAGAGTCCCAGAGGATGCTGGGATGCTAGTTAAAAGACTTGCCTAAGGCCAGGCATGGTAGCTTACACCTGTAAACTAGCACTTTGGGAGGCTGACACGGGCGGATCACGAGGTCAGGAGTTCGAGACCAGCCTAACATGGTGAAACCCTGTCTCTACTAAAAATACAAAGATTAATTGGGTGTGGTGGCATACACCTGTAATCCCAGCTACTTAAGAGGCTGAGGCAAGAGAATCACTTGAACCTGAGAGGTGGAGGTTGCAGTGGGCCGAGATAGCACCACTGCACTCAAGCCTGGGTGACAAAGCGAGATTCTGTCTCAAAAAAACAAAACAAAACAAAAAAAAAACAGACTTCCCTGAAACCATACTGTTGTGTTTACATAAAAATAAAAATATGAACCAGAATCAAGGACTTGGCAGGTTTTTGAACATGGCCTTTGAGGCAATGGTGCGTTCTATCATTCAGGATGCAAAATATACAGCATTCTCCATTTGAAAATTAGCTGTGGTAGCCATGTGCTGAGAGGATAATTAATTCTTGGATAAATAAAGGCATTTTTTAGTTGACTTCTAGAAGTACTGCTTCTCTACCAGCCTGTGCTGTCTTGGTTCAGTGTCCATCCTAATACATAGCCAGAACTGGGGAAAAGGGAACTATCAAGTAGCCGAAAGATATTCTCCTGCTTATTTCTGTGCTGACACTAGACTCCAGCCTTAGGACACTTGTAAGAGACAGAAAATGGACCTTGACACCTAGAAACTGGCCTAGAAGCTGTGACACTCAACAGCTGGGCCTTTGCATTCTCCTGTTAAACACAGTTGCATAGAACACCAATATCACACAAGGCCACTCTATAAACTATGAAATGAGACAAAAAACAAGGTGACTCGGTAATCTTGTCTAAGTGCTGACAAAAACAAGGTCATTGTGCAAACCCCCAAAACACCAAACATCTCCCCATCCTGCCTGATAGGATTGTCTGCTGCTGCTTTACCAGTTATGGTTTTAGCCCTGTTCTTGTCTTCCTGCCTAGAGATGAGGTTCATTAAGAATCTCTAATCATAGAATTGTCCCTGCTTCCTGACAATATCCAATGTAGAAAAAAAAAAAAGTTCTGCTTCCTTAAATCCCAACCAAAATCACCTATTATGAACCTAAATCCTGTAGGTTCTTTTCTAACACTCACTTACTGAGATATCTCATGGTTCCTCGTAGTGTGCATTCTGCCCTATAATGTTATAGATTATGTGATCTATCCATTATTTCAACAAGCACTATTGAGTATCACCTTAAGAGCTCCAGCCATGAGGACTTACCTGTTGGGTACAATGTACACTATTTGGGTGATGGTTACACTAAAAGCCCAGACTTCACCACCACCCAATACATCCGTGTAACAAAAATGCACTTGTACCCCCAATCTGTTTTTAAAGTGCCAGCCACTCTTCTAAATGTTTGAGAGACAGCAGTGAACAAGAGAGAGAGGAAAAATCAAGTGGGAGGAGATACATCAAAGCAAATACAATCAGATAATTTTAGATACAAGTGCGATGGGAAAAAATAAGTCACTGGAATAGGAGACTAGGAGTAGAGGGAGAGGTGCTATTCTAGATATAAGGTTGGTGCAAAAGTAATCACAGTTTTTGCTATTACTTTTAATGGCAAAAACTGCGATTACTTTTGCACTAACCTAATAGAATGGTCACAGAAGGCCCTCTGAAGAAAGGATATTTTTGTGAGGTGTGGTTGATGTAAAGAAATCAGACATTGGCCGGGTGCGGTGGCTCACACCTGTAATCCCAGCACTTTCAGAGGCCGAGGAGGGCAGATCACAAGGTCAGGAAATCGAGACCATCCTGGCTAACACGGTGAAACCCCATCTCTACTAAAAATACAAAAAATTAGCCAGGCGTGGTGGCGGGCACCTGTAGTCCCAGCTACTCAGGAAGCTGAGGCCGGAGAATGGCATGAACCTGGCAGGCGGAGCTTGCAGTGAGCCAAGATCACACCACTGCACTCCAGCCTGGGTGACAGAGCGAGACTCTTGTCTCAAAAAAAAAAAAAAGAAAAAAAAAAAAAAAGAAATCAGACATGGGAAGATCCAAGGAAAGAGGATTCCAGGCAAAGAGAATGACAAGAACAGGAGCCCTGAGGCAGGAACGTGCTAGGTGTGTTTCATAAATAAGAGGGAATTTTAAAAAAAAGCCAGAATTCAAAGGCCCATCTGTGGAGTAGAGATGGGGAGGGTGCGGATTTCAGAGAGGGGGTCAGAACATACACCGTGGAAAGGAGTTAAAATTTTATTCAAAGGGCAAGCAAGGTCATTTGGTGAGACAGAGTATGAAAAGTTCCTAGTAAAATGTCAGGCATATAGTAAGTACCCAATAAATGTTAGTCCTCTTCCTAATGTGGAATGAAATAGCAAGTCTATGTCCCCTTTTTCCTTTTTAGGAATTTTATTTTATTTTATAGACAACAGTTGATTGCATGTGGATGTTTTTAAAAACAATGAGTCAAAAGAAAATCATTAACACATGCCTCATTTCCTGAGTGGTCAATTTCAGCTTCTTTCCCTGTGTCAGTTAGATCACACCACTTAGCTGTCATTTTCATTCTTCCAAACAGAACTGATCTGGCATGAAGGAGAGAGAAGAGGTGTATGAGTGAAATTCATCTGACAAGAAAAAGAAAGCAAGAGGTAGGAGAATATAAACCTGAGTAAGTCTAAGTTTTCATGATTTTTCTTCCCATGAAGGGCTCCCCACAAAAAGTCTGGCAGCCTAGATTTTCTTTTTGCTTTTCTCTTTTTCCCTCTTGACATGCTGCAGGATGGCTGCCTCAGCACCCGGTAGCAACTTCATACATAACCATACCCACCAACAGAAAAGAGAAAAGAGGCTCTTCCCCACACTGTGTCACTTTTTTTTTTTTTTTTTTTTTGAAATGGAGTTTCGCTCTTGTTACCCAGGCAGGTTGGAGTGCGGTGGTGGGATCTCGGCTCACTACAACCTCTGCCTCCTGGTTTCAAGTGATTCTCCTGCCTCAGCCTCTCCAGTAGCTGGGATTACAGGTATGCACCACCACGCCCAGCTAATTTTGTATTTTTAGTAGTGATGGGGTTTCACCATGTTGGCCAGGGTGGTCTCGAACTCCTAGCCTCAGGTGATCCACTTGCCTCGGCCTCCCAAAGTGTTGGGATTACAGGCGTCAGCCATTGCGCCAGCCTGTGTCACTTTTAAATCCAGGTGGCACCCAGAACACTTCCTCTCCCATTGCATTAGCCAAGATTTCATTGGCCTTTTCTTGATCCAATTACTGGAAATTGGTTATAATTGGCTCTAGTAAGTTACAGTTTACCCTTGAGTCATGATGGAAGTGCAGGATAGACACCTGAAAAAATTGGGGCTCTGCTGGCAAGAAAAGGAGGGTAATGAATAACTGTTTAATCATTAGTTGTATATCAAAAGTTGTCAGAATCGAAGTGGAGTCACTTTATTAAAGCCCTGACAAATAGAGGCTGGGAAGGCCATGAAGGAAATGTTCCCACGTACATATGGCTGATTACAAAAACAACCAGAAAAGGATGCAAAACTCACAATCTTTTTTTTTTTTTTTTTGAGATGGAGTTTCACTCTTCTCACCCAGGCTGGAGTGCAATGGCGCGATCTCACCTCACTGCAACCTCTGCCTCCTGGGTTCAAGAGATTCTCCTGCCTCAGCCTCCTGAGTAGCTGGGATCACAGGCATGTGCCACCACGCCCAGCTAATTTTTGTATTTTTAGTAGAGACAGGGTTTCGCCATGTTGTTCAGGCTGGTCTCCAACTCCTGACCTCAGGTGATCTGCCCACCTTAGCCTCCCAAAGTGCTGGGATTACAGGCATGAGCCACTGCACCCGGCCAAAACTCACAATCTTGCACAAAGGGTACTGCACCCTTATACAAAAAAAAATTTTTTCTGCAAAGACATCTGCCCAGCAACTGCCTGTCGAACCTGACTGGCATAACCCTTGTTATTGATCCTTGTAGCCAAGGACAATTATCTCAAAACAATTATGTAATCCTCCTTATTTATTCTTTAAAAACCATTATCTTCCTTTACTTCCCCGAATACACCCACCATATTCCATTGCAATGCTTACTCCCAAATAAATATTATTTTCTTTTAGAGAACTTCTCTTCCCATTATTTAGGGTTTTTCAGTAGTGATAAAAATTACAAATGTGCCCCAATATCCAGTTCTCCTTTGGGTTAGACTGCCCTAACCCTTTGAAGATGGGCATGGACATGTGACTAGTTTTGGCCAATGAAATGTGATTAAAGGTTAAATATGACTTTGAGATTCTGGACTGCTAGGAGTTAGGAGGTAGGAATGCAAGAGGTTTATTGGGGGTGATGCCTGAAAGATACAGGGAGCGTGGAGTGGGAGGGGATCAGGAGTAGGCAGGGAAAGCCTTCAGACTGCATTGCACATCTGACACCCTTGAGGGGGAAATACAAAGACAGGTAAATTCGGAGTGAGCAGAAAGAAGCTTAGACTGTGGAGCAGCTCTGAGAAAGTCTTGGCCAAGGCCAGTGGGAATCTCAAAGGCAGATTGCCTGGAGGGGAGTCCCATGTTGGGCAGACATGACTAGGCCGTAGTAATTCCACCAGGCTGTGAGCTACCCAGAGCTCAGCTTCAACACAGCAGCAGATTCCAAAGGTGCTAACAGCTGGAGGCTGTCAGCCAACTTCACTCCTCACAACAGAGCATCTTCAAGGGTGGTAGACAAGAAGTACTTGATTACAAGAGTAATAAAGATTCTGCAGGCCAGAGGCCATGGCTCATGCCTGTAATCTCAGCACTCTGGGAGGCCAAGGCTGGGAGACCATTTGAAGACAGGAGTTCAAAATCAGCCTGGCCAACATGGTAAAACCCCATTTCTACTAAAAATACAAAAATTAGCCAGGCATGGTGGCGCATGCCCGTAGTCCCAGCTACTTGGGAGGCTGAGGCAGGAGACTAGCTTGAACCCAGGAGGTGGAGGTTGCAGTGAGCCAAGATCATGCCACTGCAGTCTAGCCTGGGCTACAGAGTAAGACTCTATACACCCACCCCAAAAAAAGATTCTACAGTAAGCTAGATTCTAGATTCTCCAGCTGCAATGACCCCAGAAGCACATGTGGAGGTGTTGGCTCCTCCGTCAGCCTGCACCCCTGAGTCACTGCGTGGCATGGGGTGGAGGACCTCACCCACACCCACACTGAACCTGCAACATGAATGAGAAAGAAATATTTGTGATCTGTAAGCCACCTGAGATGTTAGGGTTGTGTTATCATAACATACCATATTTTAGCACAGCACTGTATAGCATAGCACAGCATAGTATAGCATAGTACAGCATAGCATAGCATAGCACATTATAGCATAGCATAGCACATTATAGCATAGCATAGCATAGCATAGCACATTATAGCATAGCATAGCACATTATAGCATAGCATAGCATAGCACAGTTGCAGCAACTAACTGTGTCTGCTACAGTATACATTTCCAAATATATGGGCCTACAATTGATAATAGTGTTTTCTTGTGGTGATTGTAATCCCTTTTATATCTGTGGATGTGCCTCCTTTTGCCTTCCCGTAGTGTTTATTTGCACTTTTTCCTTCTTGATTAGTCTTGCTATAGATTTGTTCATTTTGCTGGAGTTTTCAGAGTCCACTTTCTTTTTTAACCATTTCTTTCTTTTTCTGTTTTGTTTTCAATTTCATTTATTTCCAGTCCTTCCTTTTCCTGTTGTCTTCTTTCTAATTTCTTTGGATTTACCCTGATATTATTTTTTACAACTCCTTGAGTTAAATACCAAATTCATTTAAGCCTTCTTTTTTCTTCCGAATATTGCTTAAATTGCATCCAGATGGTTTGGATATTTATTATTGTCATTGTCCTTCAATTTTAAATTCCTTATAATTTTCATTGCCTATTAACCCATGAATTATCTAGAACTTTTAAGTTTCCAAGTAATTTATTTTTCAAATGTGTTAATAGTTTTACTCTTGATTTTTAAGTTGTCTTGGAGAGAGTTATCATTATGAAAGTGATTCTTTGAAATGCATTGGGACTTCCATTGTCATTCTCCTGGTGTTTAATATTTGAAGATGTTTCAAAACCCTTTCTTATAGCATATGCTACTTATTCAGTCCATAAATTACATATTTTTACAGACAGCATTGAATATATGTATTTGTATCTGTCTGATTAGACTGGTAGTTCCTTGATAGTAGAGATAGTGTCCTGCAATTTCCTTGCTGCACTAAATAGCACATAAAAGTTCTCTGTGTGAGTGTAAATGTGGGAAGGAAGACAAAGAGAGAAAAGGAGGGAGAAACAAAGGAAGAGAGGGAGAGAATCATTGTAAAATACTTTTTTTTTGTTTTAGCCCAACTGCCATTATTAATCCTAGGGCTGGATTTCAAGACAATTCACATAATCTTTCTGAAAATAATAATAATGAAAATATTTTGACTACTTACCATGGATCAGGCCCAATGCTAACTACTTTGCATGAATTATCTCATTTAGTCCTCATGAAAACCCAAAAGGTAGGTTCTATCATTATAGTCACTTTACAGATAGAGAAGCAGAACCATGGGCTCATTCAGCTTCCTTTTCCTCTTCTGGTCAAGTGAAACTATGTCTTGTTGAGACCTAAATGTCCACTGTCACTGTCATGTCAGATATTTTTCTCATCATTCTGAAGAGAGTAGCAAATGTCATTCTTCACTACAGGCAGAAAATTCTTCCACGTTTATATGAATGAATGAATGAACGAATGCTACATTCACCATTTAATATTATATTGTGGTTTGTTAGCGACATTGTAGCAGTATCTTACACACCATCTTAATACTTAGGAAGCACTATTTGTAAGGCAATGTGCTGGGTGCTACAGAATTTTTAAAGAAGAGTTAGATCTGATGAATGGCTTCAAGGAATCTCTAATGCAGTAAGGGAAAAATGACATGTATGACACAAGCAACCATAAAACAGTCTGTGATGAATGCATTAAGATGGTATTTTAGATACTGTTACAATATTGCTAGCAATCCATCCCAATATTCAGTAACTTATAATAACAAGCATTTATTCTCATGCTCACAGATCTGCAGGTGGATCAACTGTGGGTCAGTTCATCTGGGCTGGGCTTAGCTGGGTGGCTCTGCTTTGGACTGAGGTTGGCTGGGCTTGGATCCTAACTCTGAGTTGTTTGTCCTGGGACTGAAGAGGCAGTGGCTACGCAGGGCATGTGCTTCTCATAGTGGATCACCAGAATGCAAGATCCAAGCCAAACTGTGACAACATATTTAAGGCTCTTATTACATCTGCTAATGTTTCATCGACCAAAGCAAGTCACTTGGCCAAGCCTAACATCATTGGTTTAGGGAATTGTACTTTGTCCACAGTGGAAGAGGGAAAGGAATAAATATTGGTTGAACGATAATTCAAATTATCACAAACGAATACAAAGTGCTTTAAGTGCTTTAGGAAAGAGATTAGCAAACGATGGCCTACAGGCAAATTCGACCCACCATTTGTTTTTGAAAATAATGTTTTATTGGAAACCAGCCACATCTGCTCATTTACATACTATCTATTTCTGCTTCTATATTCCAGCAGCAGAGTTGAGTAGCTGCAACAGTCACTATATGGCCAACAAAACCAAAAATATTCACTATCTGTCCCTTTACAGAAAAGTTTGCTGATCCTGCTTAAGGAAATACAAGAAGGAAACAGTCTGACAACACAGAAGTTCCATATCCATACCCGTGCACGTGCACCCTAAGGACAGCCTACCCCCTGCTACTCTCCAGACCCTCTTCTAACACATTTAGCAGGGGAAAGAGACACACAAACATTTATTTTCCTGCTGACATGAATTATGTCATCCTGTCTTAAAAGACAAAAATGTCTCTAGCTAGTTTGGGGTTTTAATAACATAAGTGTCCTCCACTATGTATCAGCCGGGATACCTGGGATGCAAACAACAGAAACTGACTCTGGCTGATGTAACCAGGAAAGGGATTAACTATAAGGTTGTTGGGTGGTCCACAGACTTGATAGGAAGGTTGGGGAACCAGACCTGGGATGCCATGAAGAAGCCAGGGAGGTTGGGCAAAAGGAACACACAGCTAGCATGCACTGTGCCTGTCCCCTAGTGCCACACTACTGCCACTGCCTCTACCCCACACTGCTGCTGTCACAAACCCAACCCCACCTTCACTTAACCACGTGCCTCTCTCTCGAGGTTCAAAGTCCCAGAAGGAAAGGTCCAAGGTCAAATGCTGTATGGGGTCAGAGAGAGCTGCTGTCCTCCCTTTAGTTGACAGAGGGATGGAGGAGCTCTGCCTTCCATTGTGACCTAAACACTAACCCCAACCAATTTTTCCAGAAGTTGTAAGAAGCTTCATTTTCTGAGTAGTTTTAAAAGGCAGTTATCCAGTCTGATGTGTATAATATTTGATTTAAGAACATTGAATCCAATGCTTTTACTTGCAAGTGAGGAAAACAGAGGCCCAAAGAGGTCTGGCTCACAGTTCTTTTACAAGTTCTCAGAGCAAGAACTTAAACTCATGGCTTATTGTTTCTTGTCCAGCTCTCTAGATGGTTCTGCCCCTTTCATCCTGAAAGAGAGAACAGAGCAATGTCACTCCCTGCCTGTCCTCCTCCCTTGCAGATAATATGCTTCCTTTGGGAGAATGAGAGGTTGAGGTTTGTAGGTGGATCTTTTGGCCTCAAATAACCACCAGACTTGAGAGGCAGCTCTGGCCCTGGAAACCTAGAGAGCTGGCTGAGTGGTCCAGAGGAGCTGGCTGGGGAGGCAGGTACTTAGCGGGCAGCACCCACCATAGGTAAGAACAAAGGACAATCATGGTTTTCTCCTGGCTCTTGGCTGCAAGCACATCTACCTGGAGCTGAAGCCTATCCTCAGTGGCTGCCATGTTCCCCACCCAACCCCACGCTGATCCCTGGCTTCCAGGGCATTGAGACTTCTCTGGTTCCCTGGTTCCTTCCCTTTCTCCCTCAGGTCGGCCAAGAGCTGACTATAGTTTGTAAAAGAAACTTTACTAGGGAACCAGAAGACAACAGCACCCACAGCACTAAGCCTTCAGCATAGAGAAGGGTAAATTTACACAGCTCCTAGCTGACTAGACTAGATTACCAGGCACCAAAAAATGTCTGTTCCCAGGCAGAGGCCAATTTGCTCCTGCTCCTCCTCTGAAAGCCTCTCTGCTTGGCAGGAGTAGCTCAAACAGGAAGCCCAGCTCCTTCCACAGTCCTGATCCAGCAGATGGGCATGCCCGGGAGACTTCTTCCACGTCCCCCTCCTGCCTACGAATCCACTGACTCTTTGGATGAAATGTGGTATAAGCAAGGCAGAAATGGGTTGGCTTATGTAACTGAAAAGTACTGAAGCAAGGATGCCTTCAGTTGTGCTTGGACAAGATATGAAAGCCATCGGGACTTGGTTTCACTCCATTTCTGGGCTCAGCCTCACTCTCAGGTCCCATACGGCAGGCACCTCCTGGTAGCATCAGGCTCTCCACCTTGTGGTGGTAAGACAGCCACAGCAGCTCCTCGTGTGATCTTAAGTTCAAAGCCAACAGGCAAGACCATGCATCAGTTCCTGTAGTCCCTGCTAAATACCTGACAGGACTTCTGATTGAGCCCGATTTCCTTACATGCCTGTCCCTCAACCAGTCACTGAGGACGAGAGGATGTGGCAATATGGCCAGGCTTGCTCCATCAGCCTTCCAGCCAGACTTCCTGGACTAAGAGTGAGGCGGGGAAGAGCAGCATCCAAGCGAGCACCCTTTCCCTTTCTATGCCTTGCACTAAAGAGCGGCTTTCAGAATGTAAACTGACCAAGTCACCACCCCCTCCTTTTCCTTGGACTCTTCAATAGCTTCCCATTGCTTTTATGATACAAATACAAGTCTTTCACGGGGCCTACAAACCCCTGCTTGGTCTGACTTCTGTCTGCCTCTCCTACTTCTACTTCTTTCAGCTCCTACACTCCTTTTATCACCTTCTTTCAGCTCCTTGTACTGCGGGGCCCTCCCCACCACTGAGCCTTTGCATAAGCTGTTCCCTCTGCCTAGAACACCCTTCCCTCCCCTCATTGCCTAATTAATTTCTGCTTAGCCTTCAGGCTTTACTCAAGTGTTGCTTCTTCACAAAGCCTTGTTTCAACCTCCCTGATGAGGCTAAATTTCCCTATTAGAGAACCTGTTGATCCTCAAAGCAGTTGTCACAGTTGCACTTTCATGTTTGTATATGATTCTGAGATGTGCTTCTCTCTCTCCCTCTAGACTATCCCTCATTAGGGCAGAGATCAGGCCTGGTTTTGCTTCATTGTTGTTTGTCAACCTCAAATAATCAAAAGGGTCAGAATCTAGTTTGTTTGTTGATTTTTTTATTTTTAGAGACAGGATCTCACTCTGTCACCCAGGCTGGAGTGCAGTGGCACAATCATAATTCACTGCAGCCTCAAATTCCTGGGATCCTCCCACCATGTCAGCCTCCCAAGTAGCTAAGACTACAGGTGTATACCTCCATGCCTGGGCAATGTTTTTTTGGTTTTTTGGTTTTGTTTTTTTTTTTCCTTTTTTGTAGAGACAGAGGTCTCATTATGTTGTCCAGGTTGGTCTCAAATTCCTGGCCTCAAGTGATCCTCCCACCTCAGCCTCCTAAAGTGCCAGGATTGCGGGCATGAGCCACCATGCCTGGCCAGAAACTAGTTTGAAGAGAGTTGAATTCAAGTGCAAAAGTTGAAGATGGCCACTTGGGAAGCACAGATTCCAAAGAATGGAAGTCAGTGTTCTGAAGTGTAGAAGTTTGGGATTGTTTACATAGACAAGGTTTAGGGAAGCTTAGCAGAATTTCAACATTTTTCTACAAGAGGCCGAATGCAGAGTTACAATGATCTGATTAGTCGAGGTGGTCTTTTCCTTTCAGGAAAGGTACATTTAACATTCCACACTGAAGATGTAACAGTCATGGACTCTTTTGTACCATCTGGTCTGAGTTACGTACAAGACAAAAATGGAAGGGCTTAATCTACAACAAAGATCAGTGATTGGAAGGGAAGGAATTCTGGTCTCTGGTCTCTTCTAATCATTTACAGAACAAGAACAATGCAGAAGAGAGTTAATCTATAATCTAAGAAGCGTAAGTTGCAAACATGCTACATGACTCAGTTTCCAGGGTTTAACTTCCCCCTTGGCAAAATACATTTAAACGGTCCTGAAAATTTCTTTTCTTTTGCAATTACAGCACCTTCATTGTCTAAGTGTATTGACAATTCATGGAGATCAGTCAAACCTTTATACTAGGATCTCAAAAATGTGGCTAACACAGCCAGAATGTCAATATCATGTCTAAGTTTAGCTGCTAATTGACCTATCAAATGGCCTTGTTGCCATGACTAACTAAACAATATACATGAATGGTTAAGATTAAATTGCTTGGAAAAGAGGGAGGGAACTGGAAGGTGAAAAGGAGACATTTAATCATTATCTAAAGCAAAAGGAATTTGGACTCCTGCACCTGGAACCTGGACTCAAAAGAGATTTCTAAAGGAAGTGATTTTCAAATCCAGGACCCTTTAGTAGAGAAGAATCTGCCAGGCTTCAGAGAGATAATGAGGACATCATTTTCTGATTTTAAATGCTACAACAGATGTTTTTTTAAAAAAAAAAAAGATTAATTAAACTACTACAGTGTTTTGTAGCTTGAAGATCTTGCGGTGTGATTTCAGATAGTGTCTCAGGCTGGAAATGTCCTAGATTGAGGCTGCATTCTGAATTCCCATTTCTTGCAGATTCAATCCACCCACCTTGAGTTTCTCCAGCTTCACCCACAACTGGCTGCTGCTAACCCCACCATGAATCAGACTTCTCCCTGTGTTTAATTTGCAGAAATTTCATTTTCTAAATGCCTTAGTGATGACCCTGGTGAACACTCGCATTCTGTTTTAAGATAGAACAGGGCAGGAAATTGGAGGCTTATGACTTTGGAGCCAGACAGACATGGAGTCAACTCCCTACCCTGCCATTTATAGCTAAATAACCTAAAGCCTCCTAACCTCTTTAAGCCCAGGGATGGACATAGTCTATATAGCAGACAGAACACAGACTCTGCGCTACAGTGCCTGGGTCCAAATCCTAACTTCACTTAAGCCCAGGGGATAGAGAGTCTATACAGCAAACAGAACGCAGACTCCAGCTGTGGTGCCTGGGTCCAAATCCTAACTTCACCACCACTTACAAGCAAGTTACTTAATCACTGTGTATCTGTTTCTATCTTTTCTTTTTTCTTTTCTTTACTCCTTTCTTTCTTTTTTTTCTTTCTTTCCTTTCTTTTTTCTTCCTTCCCTCCTTCCTTCCTTTCTCTCTCCTTCTTTCTCTTTCCCTTGCTCTCCTTCCTCCCTTTCTTCTTTCCTTCCTTCTTTCCTCTCTCTCTTTCTACTTCCTTTCTCCTTCCTTCCCTTTCTTTCTTCCTTTCTTCCTTTCTTCCTTTCTTTTCTTTCCCTCACAGGGTCTTCCTATGTTGCCCAGGCTGCAGTGTGTTCAGCTCACTGCAGCCTCAACCTCCTGGGCTCAAGCCATCCTCCCACCTCAGTCTCCTGAGGAGCTGGGACTACAGGCATGCACCACCACACCTAGCTAATTTTTGTGTTTTTTGTATAGATGGAGGTCTCACTATATTGCCCAGGCTGGTCTCAAACTCCTGGGCTCAAGCGATCCTCCCACCTCGACCTTCCCAAATGCTGGGATTATAGATGAAAGCCACTGCTCCCAGCCTCTCAGTTTCTTTATTTGTAAAAAAGAAAAAGAATAATGTGTTCATCCCTCAGTATTTGCAAGGAATTGGTTGCAGGAACCACCCCCAACCATTCCCCATGTACCTAAATCCACACACACTCAAGTCCCACAGTCTGCCCTGCAGAATCTGCTTATATGAGTTTTGCATCCCTTGAATACTGTATTTTCCACTGGGGCTGGGTCAAAAAAAATCCACATATCAGTGGACCTGAGCAGTTCAAGCCTCTGTTGTTCAGGATCATAAAAGGGTTCATATGAGAATTAAATGGGTTAATATAAGCAAATCACTTCAGTGTCAAGCACGTTAGGCACCAGGTGACAGTTTTAGTATAGTAGTAGTCATGTTATTGTCATTATCATCTAAGTTTTGTATGGGAATTAAATGAGATCATAAAGCACATCACAAACAGTAAGGATTAAATCAATGGTAGTAATTACATACTCACAACTTCAGAAAATATGAAAGCAGAGGATGCTTATTCTTATTTATTTAACAATAAATATTTTTAGTGAGTCATTATAAAATGCTGGATTCTGTGCCAGCTGCCAACCATAGGGAAGTGCAGACAGGAGCCCAATCCTCAACAGACCCTCAGGCTGGCCGGGAAACAAATGTGCCCTAAGATGTGTCAGGCTCTGTGATCCAGGTTTATGTCAGCTTCAACGGAGGCCCATGGGACGGGTAGGTGGCCAGGCCGTGAAGATCATGGAGGGCTCCCTAAAGGAAGTGACGCTTGAGCTGAATCTTTAAATATGAGTAGTGCTAGTCAGATGAAGACAACAAGGAAGGCATTCAGGAGAGGAAGCAACCACACCCCACACTGATGCCAAGTGCTCTTTCTGTCTTAACATGTCTGATCACATCATTCTACTTTATGTCCAATCTCGGCTTCCCAAGAAGATAAAGGCGAGGCTTTCCAGCAGACATTCAAAGCCTTGTCCCAACCCAACCCTAACCTCTGGCCTTGTCCCCACCTGACCCATCTCCAGCCACTCCTTGTCATGAGCACTGTGTTCTAAGCTCACCACATGGACTCCCACCACCATACCTTTGCTCATGCAGGTGCTCCTGCCAGGCATGTTTTCATCCCCTCCTCCACCCAGCACGTTCATACTCCACCTTCAAGGCCCATCAAGTGCTGCCTTTTAAACAAGGCTTCTATATGCCTGAGAAGAATTAATTCCTATTCCCTCCATACCTTAGGCACATTCCTTACCACATTGTATCATTATATCTTGTTTAGATCCCTCTGTATCCCACCAACTAAAATATAAACTCCACAAGATCAGGGTTTTATTTGACTTTGCATTCCCAGAGCTCAGTCAAACACGTGGTAAGCATGGGTAACCTCCCATCGACTTCAGCTATTATTTCTCTGATGGATGCTGAGCAAATGTTCATTGAGTCAGGAAGTCAGTACAAGTAGAACTTGTTTGAGGAAGGAGTCAATAAACCAGATCAGAGATTGTTCAAAGCAATTTTGTGCAGCATTTCCTGACTTTCTCTCTCCTTAGTTTCCTGAATACAGGCTTTTGAAATGTACAGCCAATAAGAAAAAAGTAATTGGAACAAATTACTTTGTTCCAATTGGAGTCCCACATCCCCTTGAAACACATAGTTCTGGTATATGGGCTTCTCTTGCCATCCAGTGAGCACTCATTGGCTATTAGAGATTGTGACCTAGATTTCCCTGCACAATAAATCAGAAGCAATTTCTACCTATTGGCATGGAATGAAATTCTTATTCTCCATAGCTTGCCAGGGACATACATGAGATCAATTTGGGCTCTGCTACTAGAAGTGGGGACTTGGCCCTCAGCTCCCCACAGTGAATGGTGCTAAGAGCTTCTTCAGTGTCACTAGGAATGAACCACACCTTCTAGGAGAAGGCCTATGACAGCAAAAGTAGGATAAGGCCAAGCAATAGCTCTATATTACAAAGCCCCAGGGACACCATTCAGATTTTATTTTACATATGTGCCACCCCGGGAGTACGTGGAGTACAATGAAAATGTACCCCTTGGACTTATGAAACACAGAAACACTGGTCTGGTGAAACTGGTTCAGTAGTTCTCAGCTTTTACTAAGCATCAGAATTAGATGAGTTTCTTAATAAAAGTGCATTCCTAGGCCTCAGCCTCAGAGAGTCACATTTAGTAACTTTGATATGAGCCTACAAATCTGAATCTTAAATTAGGACACCCACAGGTGATACAGATGCAAGTCTCCTTGGGATCATTTGCTGATCAACATTGACCTAGCAAGTACATTGTTATAGGAACACTATGATATCGGGGGAACCAGCCCCCGATAATTCAACATAGGTTCTTTTCTATTTTCCCTAAGTGTCGGCCAGTCTGAGAAGTAAAGGGAAAGAGTATAAAAGAGAGAAATTTTAAAGCTGGGTGTCCAGGGGAGACATCACATGTCAGCAGGTTCTGTGATGCCCCCCAAGCCACAAAACCAGCAAGTTTTTATTAGTGATTTTCAAAGGGGAGGGAGTGTACAAATAGGGAATGGGTCACAGAGATCTCATGCTTCACAAGGCAATAAAATGTCACAAGGCAAATGGGGGCAGAGAGATCACAGGACTGGGGCGAAATTAAAATTGCTAATGAAGTTTCGGGCATGCATTGTCATTGATAACATCTTATCAGGAGACAGGGTTTGAGAGCAGACAACCAGTCTGACTAAAATTTACTAGGCAGGAATTTCCTCGTCCTAATAGGCCTGGGAGCGCTATGAGAGACCGGGGCTTATTTCATCCCTTATCTTCAACCGTATAAGACAGACATTCCTAGAGCAGCCATTTTAGAGACCGCCCACTAGGAACACATTCTTTTTCTCAGGGCTGTTCCTTGCTGAGAAAAAGAATTCAGTGATATTTCTCCTATTCGCTTTTGTAAGAAGAAAAATATGGCTCTGTTCTGCCTGGCTCTCAGGCAGTCATACCCAATGGTTATCTCCCTTGTTCCCTGAACATCACTGTTATCCTGTTCTTTTTTCAAGGTGCCCAGATTTCATATTGTTTAAACACACATGCTTTATGAACAATTTGTGCAGTTAAGGCAATCATCACAGGGTCCTGAGGTGACATACATCCTCAGCTTACAAAGGTGATGGAATTAAGAGATTAAAGTAAAGACAGGCATAGGAAATCACAAGAGTATTGATTGGGGAAGTGATAAATGTCCATGAAATCTTCACAATTTATGTTCAGAGATTGCAGTAAAGACAGGCATAAGAAATTATAAAAGTATTAATTTGGGTAACTAATAAATGTCCATGAAATCTTCACAATTTATATTCTTCTGCCATGGCTTCAGCCGGTCCCTCCGTTCAGGGTCCCTGACTTCCCGCAACATCTCTCCCTTTCTTTTTATATAAATGTGCCATGGTGATAAAGGCTTGTTCATTCTCTCAATTTTGATGCAGGATTCTTTGACTGGTCTGGCACACTAAAGACAAGCCAGTTAAACAGAGAAACATAATTCCAAAATTTACTACAGTGGAGCCCCCAATAGACTTAATCCAAGTCGTGGGGTTTAGTCCAGAAAGATTTTCTGCTGCCTGATCTAATGCCTCAGCTCCAGGCACAATGGATAAATGAGCTTGAGAGGCTTCAAAAATTTGTTTCTTTAATTCAGTTATGTCCAATGATAAATTATCTTCCCTACCTAGAAGGTGTCCTTTGACCATTTCCCATGAATGATCAGTTTCATTACAGGAATACGGGGTGATACAGAAATCAGAAGTATTCCAATCGCACTGCATTTGCATGCGATGTTCAAGACTCACTACCCAATCTCCAAGCCAAATAACAGACTGTCTTAAATCATTAATTTGATTAGCAAATTTTTGATCAATGCCTTGTTGAGAATTCCACATTTGGGTGGAATTGGCTTGCCAATCATTAACAAAATGAGCCGTTTGAATAGATTGGTGTAATGCCATTCCAGCAGTAGTGGCCAGTGCAGTGACTGTAATTAGGCCCATGATCACAGCAATTAAAGTGAAAACAAATCTCTTAGATCTTTTTAGAATTTGCTGTAACACTTCATTAATTAAATGTATTGACGGGGAGGATTCCCAAAGTCTGGGCAAAGTTACCGGAATCCAGATTCCTTCTTGAGCTCGAACCAACATTACACTTTTCCCAGAGTCAAAATGGGAGTTAATACAAGTGTATAAATGACTGTTAATGCATTGGACAGTTTGATTGCTCGTCCAAATTTTGATATTTCCCACTAACAGCATGTAAGGAGGCTTAACACAACTCTGTATGGGAACAGTCAGGTTGGAAGTAAGCAAAGCAGAAAGTCTGCATTTATGTTGATACTGAGGGAGAGCAACGGTATTGGGGACAACAGACAGAATAGTTTCCCCTTCCCATACTTGCAGTCCAGACATGGCAATAGCCAATTTCCAAAGTTCTGGGTGTTCTGGGCTCAGAATGGGGAGTATCATATGAGGCCTCGGGGTGGGGGGGTGGGTAATGCCTTTATCTTCCCATTTTAAGGGAAAGAACGAGTTGAACCTCCTATGCAAAGTAGAATGATGATTCTTGTTCTCCTGATAAGAAATCAAATAAGCAGCCTCCAGGCATTCCTTTCCGTCAGAGGAGGAATTGTTTTTTAAATAGCCCTTTGGTGCCCAGTCTATTACTAAACCATATGAGTCATTTTTTAATATTACTGCATGTGAGTTAACACAGTCTTCCCAAATTAAAGTTTTAGATGGGCCCTCAAAATTTTTAGGGCATGGTTTTCCTGCAGGTTTATATTGAAAGTATGGGGTATCTCCCATTACTCCCCCTTTCATTTGTTTTAAACAAGAAAGGGAGAGGCCAGAGACTAAATGTCCCGGTTCCTCTGTAGCTGATCTCTCCAGAAGATAAGCAGCCCAGACTTGAGTTTGTAGATGGATACAACCAGGTGTATGTCCGAGGCACAGAGAGGGGTATTTATAACCCATGGTAACATTAAATGCAGTGCCTTCTTCTCCTGGTTGAGTGGGGCAGTGGTCATCTGTAGCTCCAGGCATCCACACACTATCATTAGTGTAGATTTGTGCAGGAGCATCCATCCAGGTGAGAGGTCGAATAAGTGGAGGAAAAGGCACATAAGCCCAATAAGAATAATTTTGTGTAGCAGGTAAATCAGTGTGAGAGGAAACTGGTGAGACAGAAAGTATAAAGAGGAGAATCATTAAATAAAACATAGTGTAAGTGAGATTCAGTGCTGAAGGAGGAAGAGAAGAACAGAGAGATGTTATTTTCAGGCTAATAGAAATGGTGAGATTTTTAGGTTTGTAAGGAGAAAAAGAAAGGTAGTCAGGAGAAGTGGGATTAGTTAGATGGGTCTCCATTGCCATCAGGGAGGATTGAATCAGACCCATTGTGATTTGGTGTGCCAGCTTCTAAGGAGTTGACACAGATCTCACCACGTCTGAGGGCGGTCTCTGATACGGATGTCTTTTCTCTGTGGTTTTCGTTGTCAGTATTCACCCAAAGCTTGAGTCTCCTGGTGGGTACCCAGACAGGGGATTGATGATCTCCTGGTGAAACACAAGCATATCCTCTCCCCCACATTATAACTGTGCCAGGTTCCCAGGTATTGGTTTGGGAGTTTTTCCATAACACTGGCTTGCCTTCATTTAGGGAGAATTTTTTGCCTGTATAATGGCGTTCAGCTGCAGTTAGATCTTTAGGAACATTAAAAAATTTTAAAGTAAACAATGCCAAATGTAATTGGGAGTTGGGGGTAGTTAAATTATGTTTTTGTTGCTCAGACTGTTTGGAGAATTGGGTTTTTAAAGTGCAATTGGCCCATTCCACCACAGCCTGTCCCTGAGGATTGTAAGGGATTCCAGTAATATGGGAAATTCCCCACTGTTGCATAAATAAATCAAAAGCCTTACTGACATATCCAGGGGTGTTGTCTGTCTTTATTTGATATGGAAGCCCCATAACTGCAAAGCAAGAATACAGATGTTTTTAACATGGGCCGTGCCTCCCCTGTTTGGTAAGTAGCCCAGATAAAACCTGAGAAGGTATCTACAGAGACCTGCACATATGACAGTCTGCCAAAGGAGCTAACATGGGTCACATCCATTTGCCATAAATCATTAGGAGTTAGGCCTCTGGGATTAATGCCAGGTTCCTGATTTGGAAGTACAAAAACTTGGCACTGAGGGCAGCAGTGGATAATAAGCTTAGCCTGTTTCCAGGTAAGAGCAAATTTATCTTTTAATCCAGCAGCATTGACATGAGTGAGATTATGGAACTCCTGAGCTTCTTGGGTTGCAAAAGAGACCAAACAGTCAACTTTATGATTACCAGCAGACAGGGGTCCTGGTAAAGTGGTATGAGATCTAATATGCATAATATAGAAAGGGTGTCTACGTTGGTGAACCGACTGTTGTAACCTTGAAAATAAAGAAGCCAATTCAGAATTA
The DNA here is from genome assembly GCF_000001405.40 of Homo sapiens. Lineage (NCBI taxonomy): Eukaryota > Metazoa > Chordata > Mammalia > Primates > Hominidae > Homo > Homo sapiens. The sequence continues at coordinate 105,310,278 of NC_000012.12, read as the reverse complement.
TCAATGTTTGATAGTAGCAGTTTCTATATTTTTAGTGGCATGTAAAACACAAGCAGAATCAGAGACAATATTTAAAGGTTTGGGGAAATCCTGTAAGGCCATAATCACAGCAATTAACTCTGCCTTTTGAGCAGAGGTATAAGAGGTAGAAATAAGCTTGTCTGTAGGACCTACATAACCAGCATTGCCATTACTGGAGCCATCAGTGAACACTATAACGGCCTCAGGAATGGGCTGATCTTTGGTTAATCGAGGGACCACCCAAGACGTCATTTTTATAAAATCAAACAAGTTGTTCTTTGGGTAATGATTGTCAATAACGCCAATGAAATCAGCAAAGTGAATTTGCCACAGTACGGAATGTTGAAAGGCGGCTTGAACTTCCAGCCAATTTAAAGGAACTACAATTAAATTCGGATCAAATCTGGAAATTTTAAGTATTCTGCACTATGCCTGTCCAATTAGAGTGGCCATTTGAACTAGATAAACAGACAAAGTTTTTGACACAGAGTGAGGAAGAAAACACCACTCCACTAAATCATTATATTGAACTATTAGTCCAGTAGGGGAGTGTAATGAAGCGAAAACCAGAAGCTGAAAAGGCTGAAACGGCTGTACTCTAGATAACTGGGCAGTCTGGATTCTTTCCTCTATGAATTCCAGTTCTAGTGAAGCCTCAGGGGTCAAAGTCCTGGGACTGTGGAGATTGGAATCTCCCTGCAGCATAGAGAACAAGTTAGACAGCACATAGGTCAGAATGCCTAGAGTAGGTTTTAAATATTTAATGTTACCAAAAAGTTTTTGGAAGTCATTTAAAGTTTTTACAGAATCTCTCCTAATTTGAACTTTTTGAGGTTGAATACATTGTTTATCGACCACCATTCCTAAATATTGAACAGGAGTGGTCTGTTGAATTTTATCCTGAGCGATGTGTAATCCAGCCTCTGTAACATGGCAGCTCAAACTTTGAGAACAGTCAATTAATTCTTTATCAGTGGGGGCAGCAATTAAAATACCATCAATATAATGAAGAATAAATGTTGGGAGCAAAATCTGGCCATAAGCTGGTCCCAAGACTGGCCATAAACAAAATCTCTGCAGCAGTGTAACATGTTCATAATGGCCCTAATGTGCTGCAAAGTTGTGGGTTTACGGGAATGAGGGCAAGGAACACCTGGCCCGCCCAGGGCAGAAAACCGCTTAAAGGCATTCTTAAGCCACAAACAATAGCATGAGCAATCTGTGCCTTAAGGGCATGTTCCTGCTGCAGTTAACTAGCCCAATCTATTCCTTTAATTCAGCCCATCCCTTCATTTCCCATAAGGGATACTTTTAGTTAATTTAATATCTATAGAAACAATGCTAATGACTGGTTTGCTGTTAATAAATACATGAGTAAATCTCTGTTTGGGACTCTCAGCTCTGAAGGCGGTGAGACCCCTGATTTCCCACTTCACACCTCTATGTTTCTGTGTGTGTGTGTCTTTAATTCCTCTAGTGCCACTGGGTTAGGGTCTCCCCGACCGAGCTGGTCTCGGCAAGTGGCGTCCATCGTGGGGGCTCGAATCCAAGTCAAAGGATTGCTGGAGCGACGGTTGGAATGGAAAACTAGCTGGAGGACACCCGAGTACTCTTAAAGCAATCCCCGTGGTGAGTAAGAAGGGGAGCTCAGAAGCGTCAGGGTAATGATGGGACAGGTATGGTGTCTGGTTTGTATCACCTTGGAACTTTTTCACACTGATAATGAGGAGGAACAAGAGTATAGCGAAGTAACAAAAGAGGTTACAGAGCATGTTTATTTACCAGCTAAAGCTAAAGCGGCAAAGGAAGGAGAGGTTCATCCCTACCCTTCTGCACCCCCTCCTTATTATTTTGAAGACAAAGACCCTCCAGATCTTTCTTTTCTGGAGGACACTGGGCAAAAAGTAGTTGCCCCAGTGACTGTTCAAGCAGCCCCTTGAGCGACGGCTCTTAGTTCTATTCAGGCAGGAATTCAGCAAGCTAGACGAGAGGGTGATTTAGAGGCTTGGCAGTTCCCTGTTAGAATACACCCCCCAGATCAACAGGGAAATATTATAGCTACATTTGAGCCTTTTCCTTTTAAATTCGGGAAAGCACATTCAGTTGATTATATCAAGGCCTGTGATGGTATCGGAGGTAATCTGCATAAAGCTACTTTGTTGGCACAGGCACTGGCAGGACTGAGAGTGGATAAAGGAAATACTCCATTTCCTGGAGCTTGTTTTAACTGTGGGAAGCATGGTCATACTAAAAAAGAATGTAGAAAAAATCAGCGAGTCAGGCTGCCAGATAGGGGAAAAAAGAAAACTGTTGAGCCTGAAATATGTCCAAAATGTAAAAAAGGAAAACATTGGGCTAGTCAGTGTCACTCTAAGTTTGATAAAGAAAGAAACCCAATTTCAGGAAATGCCATGAGGGGCCCATCCCGGGCCCTGTTCTAAACCAGGGCATTTCCAGCTCAGGCCATTCCCTCACCCCTGTACAATGTCTGTTCCCTGCCACAGCTAGTAGTGCCACAGTAGATTTATGCTGCACAAAAGCTGTGAGCCTTCTGCCTGGGGAACCCCTGCAAAAGGTCCCAACAGGAGTCTGTGGACCCTTGCCAGCAGGGACAATAGGATTACTTTTAGGAAGGTCTAGTGTAAGTTTAAAAGGAGTACAAATACATACAGGAGTCATTTATTTAGATTACAATGGGGAAACTCAAATTGTTGTGTCTACTTCTGTTCCCTGGAAAGCAGAGCCAGGAGAGTGCATAGCACAGCTCCTGATTGTGCCACATGTGGGAATGGGAAAAAGTGAAATTAAACAAACAGGAGGATTTGGAAGCACAAATAAACAAGGCAAAGCAGCTTATTGGGTAAATCAAATTACTGATAAACGTCCTACCTGTGAAATAACTATTCAGGGAAAGAAATTTAAAGGTTTGATAGATACAGGAGTGGACATTTCAATCATTTCTCTACAGCACTGGCCATCCACATGGCCAATTCAACCTGCTCAATTTAACATAGTTGGAGTTGGTAAAGCTACTGAAGTATATCAAAGTAGTTATATTTTGCATTGTGAGGGGCCTGATGGACAACCTGGGACTATTCAACCAATTATAACTTCTGTACCTATAAATTTATGGGGAAGAGACTTATTACAACAATGGGGAACACAAGTTCTAATTCCAGAACAATTATATAGCCCTCAAAGTCAACATACAATGCATGAAATGGGGTATGTCCCTGGTATGGGACTAGAAAAAAATTTGCAAGGTTTGAAAAAACTGCTTCAAGCAGAAAAACAAAGTTCCCGCCAAAGATTAGGAAATAATTTTTGATGGTGGCCATTGTTAAGCCTCCAGAACCTATACCTTTAAAATGGTTAACAGATAAGCCAATTTGGATAGAACAATGGCCGCTAAGTAAAGAGAAACTGGAGGCTTTAGAGAAATTAGTTATTGAACAATTAGAAAATGGGCACATAGCTCCAACATTTTCCCCTTGGAATTCTCCAGTTTTCATAATTAAGAAAAAATCAGGTAAATGGAGAATGTTAACTGACTTAAGAGCCATCAGTTCAGTTATACAAACTATGGGAGCATTACAGCCAGGATTGCCTTCTCCTGCTATAATTCCAAAAAATTGGACTTTAATAGTCATAGATTTAAAAGACTGTTTCTTTACTATCCCTTTAGCTGAGCAAGACTGTGAATGGTTTGCATTTACAATTCCTGCAGTAAACATCCTGCAGCCTGCTAAGCATTATCACTGGAAAGTGTTGCCACAGGGCATGTCAAACAGCCCAACAATTTGCCAGACATATGTGGGGCAAGCAACTGAACCTATTCTTAAAAAATTTTCATAGTGTTACATTATTCACTATATGGATGATATACTTTGTGCTGCCCCAACTCCAGAAATATTACTCCAATGTTATGATCACTTGCAAAATTCGATTTCTCATGCTGGTTTAATTATAGCTCCTGACAAAATTCACACTACTACTGCTTACTCCTACTTGGGGACCTTAGTGAATGACACTACCATTGTGCTACAGAAAGTAACCATACATAGGGATCAACTAAAAACATTAAATGACTTTCAAAAATTACTAGGGGATGTTAATTGGATACGACCTGCTCTAGGCATTCCTACCTATGCCATGAGCAATCTGTTTTCTATCCTTAGAGGAAATCCTAGTCTCACTAACCCTCAGCAATTAACAAAGGAGGCTGAGGCAGAGTTACAACTGATTGAGAAGCAAGTCCATAAAGCTCAGATAAATAGAATAGATCCAGAGAAGACTCTAGATTTGCTAATTTTTCAACTCAGCATTCACCTACTGCTGTTATTGTCCAAGAACAAGACTTAGTAGAGTGGCTTTTTCTTCCACATACTAATTCACAGACTCTAACTCCTTATTTAGATCAAATCACCATGATAGGGATTGGAGAACTCGAATTGTTAAATTACATGGATATGATCCTGGAAAAATTATTGTCCCTCTCACGAAGGCACAAATACAGCAAGCTTTTATAAATAGTCTTACTTGGCGAACCCATTTAGCTGACTTTGTGGGTATTCTCAATAATCATTTTCCTAAAATTAAGCTGTTTCAGTTTTTGAAATTAACTAATTGGATTCTCCCTAAAACAACTAAATTTAAACCAATTTAAGGTGCTGAGAATGTTTTTACAAATGGGTCTAGTAATGGTAAAGCTTCTTATTCTGGCTCAAAAAGTAAAGTTTTCCAGACGTCCTATACTTCAGCTCAAAAAGCGGATCTTGTAGCTGTAATTGAGGTATTGACTGCTTTTGATATGCCTATTAATGTGATTTCTGATTCTTCATACATGGTTCACTCCACACAGCTAATTGAAAATTCTCAGTTATGATTTCATACAGATGAACAACTGATGACTTTATTTACCCAGTTGCAAACAGCAGTTAGGAGTAGAATGCACCTTTTTACATCACTCACATTGGAGCTCGTATACCTGTTCCAGGACCTTTGACTGAAGGGAATCAAATGGCTGATTGCCTAGTTGCTAATGCAATATCTAATGCTAGACACTTTCACAATTTAACCCATGTTAATGCCTCTGGTCTCAAACGCAGATACAGCATTACCTGGAAAGAAGCTAAAGCTATTATCCAGCAATGCCCAACTTGCCAAATGGTACATTCCTCATCTTTTACAGGAGGAGTTAATCCTCGAGGACTGGAACCTAACTCTCTTTGGCAAATGGATGTCACACATGTTCCCTCATTTGGGAGACTAGCTTATGTACATGTATGTGTGGACACCTTTTCTCACTTTGTCTGGGCTACATACCAATCAGGAGAGTCTTCTGCCTGTGTTAAACGTCATCTTTTGCAGTGTTTTGCGGTGATGGGCATTCCAGCTTCTAGTAAAACAGATAATGCCCCAGGCTATACTGGCCAAGCTCTAGCTACATTTTTCTCTATGTGGAATAGTAAACACATTACTGGTATCCCATACAATTCTCAAGAACAAGCCATAGTGGAAAGAATGAATCTCTCCCTAAAACAGCAGTTGCAAAAGCAGAAAGGAAGAGACAGAGAATATGGAACCCCACAGATGCAACTGAACCTAGCATTATTAACTTTAAATTTTTTGAGCCTGCCCAAAGGCCAGATGTTTTCAGCAGCTGAACAGCATCTACAGAAACCAGCTGCAAAGACAAAAACAGAACAACTGATTTGGTGGAGAGATCTGATAACAAAAAGTTGGGAAATAGGTAAAATAATAACTTGGGGTAGAGGTTATGCTTATATTTCTCCAGGACAAAATCAACAGCCAATTTGGATACCATCAAGACACCTGAAACCTTATCATGAGCCAGATGCCGAGGAAGAGACTCCAGGAAGATCCCAAGGACACCCCAGTTGCAGCCATGTCGAGACTGATGCTGAGGAGGACCCCAACTGTCACGAGCAACACCCGTCGAACACAGCCACCCACCTGTGGACAGATCAAGAAGCTGTCACAGATGGCGGAAGAAAACCTGAGGAAAGCGGGACAAACAGTCACAATGAATAATTTAATCGTAGCTATGATAGCGGTTATCACCACTGCCATGAGTAATCCTTCAATAAGGACTGGCAATAATGCCTGGATGCAATCACTCTATGACACAGTTACACATACTTTCTGATCTCAGTATTTACCATAATAAATCTGCTCCTATCATTGAGGCATACCACCCTCAAAAAACTATTTGTAAACAGGATTGGACCCAGTTAGAAAAAATGAATGTACTTGTTTAGGAAGATTGCTTTGCAGAACAGGCAGAGGTGCTGCACAATGATTCCTATGGAATCATTATTAATTGGTCCCCTAAGGGGATGTTTAGCTTGATTTGCACCTCTCAGTCTGCATGCCATGGTCACACTATGTTCAGATGATCTGAACAAAATGGTCAGATGGTAGAAATGATAAGAAGTACGGCAAAAGTTCCTGTTATCTGTAACCATGATGGTATAGTGGCACCTCAACCTCAAATGATATGGCCCGCTCTAGGAGCTAAACATAAGGATTTGTGGAAACTATTAAATGCAAACTTTGGGAAAGAATAAAAAAGCATCTAGAAGGACACTCTACAAACTTGTTTTTGGATATAGCAAAATTAAAGAACAAATGTTTAAAGCATCCCAGGGACACCTGACCTTAATGCCAAGAACTGGAGTGCTTAAAGGAGCTGCAGACAAATTAGCAGCTAGTAACCCATTAAAATGGATAAAAACACTTGGAAGCTCTGTGATTTCAATGATGACTATGCTTTTAATATGTGTTGTTTTTGTATAGTCTGCAGATGCAGATCCCGACTCCTGCGAGAAGTAGCTCACCATGACAAAGCTGCCCTTGCTTTTATCGATTTGCACATCAGAGAAGGGGGACATGTTGGGAGCAAGCCCCCCAAAATCTGGCCATAAACTGGCCCCAAGACTGGCCATAAACAAAATCTCTGCAGCACTGTAACATGTTCGTAATGGCCCTAACACCCACGTGCAAAGTTGTGGGTTTACGGGAATGAGGGCAAGAACACCTGGCCCGCCCAAGGCAGAAAACTGCTTAAAGGCATTCTTAAGCCACAAACAATAGTTGCAGTGATCTGTGCCTTAAAGGCATGTTCCTGCTGCAGTTAACTAGCCCAACCTATTCCTTTAATTCGGCCCATCCCTTCGTTTCCCATAAGGGATACTTTTAGTTAATTTAATATCTATAGAAACAATGCTAATGACTGGTTTGCTGTTAATAAACACGTGGGTAAATCTCTGTTCAGGGCTTACGGCTCTGAAGGCTGTGAGACCCCTGATTTCCCACTTCACACCTCTATATTTTGGTGTGTGTGTCTGTAATTCCTCTAGCACCACTGGGTTAGGATCTCCCCAGCCGAGCTGGTCTCAGCAAATATAGGCCTGGGGAAATTGGGCTTGAACTAGTGAAAGCACTTGCCCAATATAAAGCTGGCAGATTGTAGGGCTATTTAGCATTCTCTAAGGAAGTACTTTCCATTGATAATGAGCTGCAGGCTCCTGATTATTGATAGATGGTACAGTAAAAGCAAATTTTTTGCAACCCGATTTATGTAAAGAAATATGAAAAAAACAATCTTTAAGATCAATAACTATGAGAGGCCAATTTTTAGGTATTAAAGCAGGGGCAGGCATCCCGGGTTGGACGGCCCCCATAGGTTTAATTACAGCATTAATGGCCCTTAAATCGGTTACCATCCACCACTTGCCTGATTTTTTTTTTACTAGAAACACGGAATTCCAGGGGCAAAGAGAAGGTTCCACATTTCCAAGTTGTAACTGTTCAGAAACCAAGTGAGTTAAAGCCTCCAGTTTTTCTTTAGAGAGCGGCCACTGGTCAATCCACATAGGTGTGTCAGATTTCCATTGTAAAGGGATAGGATCAGGAGGCGTGGCAGTGGCCACCATTAAAAAGGATAACCTAAACTAGCCCTGTCTTCTTTTACAGTAATTAGGAGGGGTTTAGTAATCCCTTCATGTTTTGGACTGAGACCAAGCCCAGGAACAAACCCCATGTTTTCCATCATATGCTGACTGGGAGCACCATAAGAGTTATGTGGAATATTAATTTCAGCCCCCCATTGTGCCAGCAAATCTCTACCCCAAAGATGAATGAAAATTGGCGTGATATAGGGCTGAATTGTACCTTTTGACCATCAGGGCCAGTGCAAGGCAAGATAAATGTGCTCTCATAAACTTCCTCAGCTTTTCCAACACCTACTAGTCCCATTTAGCAGGATGTTTAAGCCAGGAGGAAGGCCATAAACTAGAAGAAATAACAGAAACATCAGTGACCTCATAAAAGAAACAGGAGCTTGGCCTGGGGCCCGTAATTTATCCGAAGCTCTGATACACACCTTTGTTACTTTTTCTGTGGCAAGAGCATCAAAGCCTAATTGGGCATAAGTATCAGAGAAACTGTTGGAGCCTGTGAGCTGAGCCTGAGTAATTAGAATGCCATTAGTCCGATTTAGCCGAGCCTGCAAATGGGCCTCCTCTGCCCACCAGGTATGGAATTGTAAATGCTGAGATGGAGTTAGAACAGCTTTTGCCAAAAGGTCCCAGTCTAAAGGAAGCAAAACGACCTCAGTACAAAAAGTTTGTAATACCATTTTAACATAAGGAGAAGTAGGACCATACTGAGTACAAGCATCCTTAAATTCTTTTAAAAAGGTAAGATTAAGAGGTCCATAACAATGCATTTGTACCCCTCGGAAGTTAGGAGGGCCTAGCGTGACCAGATAAGCCCATGCATCTAATCCACTTGTTTCTTTGTTTTGGCATAATAAGCATTGCATTGAAGTTTCAAGAGTAGGTATCTGAGATGGAGTTGGCATAGAAGTGACAGGAAAATCATGTGTAGATAAGGGAAACTGAGGGTGAGGGGGTCAGACCGGAATGAGAGTATGAGAAAGGGGAGCAGAAGGAGCAGAAGTATACTGATGATTACTGGCATCCATGTGTGAGGAAGGCTATAGAGAAGCAGGCTGAGTGGATGGCAAAGTGACCGGTTGAGGAACCGAAATGGCAGGAGGGTTAGGGGCTGTAATGGTTGGGGGAGGGCCTGCAGAATTACAGGTAAACTGTAGTTTGGTCCCAGAGCCATTAGGTGACGCCCAGAAGCAAATACTGCAAAGGTTTGAAGAGGGAAGAATTAGCATATATATGGTCCCAGGCTGTGTGAGTTGGGGCCACAGGAGCTACAAGTACCAGCTGTTCGTGAAAAGGAATAAGGTCAGCAGGGGGTAACATTAAGCCAAAGTCACCGGAGTTAGACATTGAATTTTCAGCATCATTAAGTGGGGGAGGAGTAGCTGAAGCGAGGGGCTGATCAGATAATGAAGGCCGTGTGGGAGAGGAAGGTTGAGGAGGTATTAGGACAGCACACACCAAGGCCTAATCACCCCAAACAGTGATGGGAACATAATTCTCTGTCGAGACCAGTTCCTGGAATGTTGTACCAACAAGATCCAATACTTTTACATGTACGGTTCCTCTTTCAGGAAACCAAGGACAGTATTTTTCCACCGCCCTGAATAGAGTTACCATATTTTCCATGGTTACTCGGACCCTTCCCTGTTTTAACAGGTTTACATCTAAGGTTCCTTTTTCAGGAAACCAAGGACAGTATTTTCCCACTGCCCTGAATAGAGTGACCATATTTTCCATGGGCACTCGAACCCTTTTCTGTTTTAACTGGAGTTTAATATAGAAGAGATAAGTATAATTTTTAGACTTCGTGTGACCCATAGTTAACTCAGATCATACACAGACTACTCACCAGTCATCAGGGAGTCGAACAAGCATTTCTGTGGAACAAACCGATGATGTTTCTGCCCACCTACCAAAGGGAATCAGGTTCCCACGTGCACTTAGGATAAAAGAAAGACCATGTGGGCGCCAGATATCAGGGGAACCAGCCCCCGATAATTCAACGTAGGTTCTTTTCTATTTTCCCTAAGTGTTGGCCAGTCTGAGAAATAAAGGGAAAGAGTATAAAAGAGAGAAATTTTAAAGCTGGGTGTCCAGGGGAGACATCACATGTTGGCAGGTTCTGTGATGCCCCCCAGCCACAAAACCAGCAAGTTTTTATTAGTGATTTTCAAAGGGGAGGGAGTGTACGAATAGGGTGTGGGTCACAGAGATCTCATGCTTCACAAGGCAATAAAATATCACAAGGCAAATGGGGGCAGAGTGAGATCACAGGACTGGGGCGAAATTAAAATTGCTAATGAAGTTTCGGGCATGCATTGTCATTGATAACATCTTATCAGGAGACAAGGTTTGAGAGCAGACAACCAGTCTGACTAAAATTTACTAGGCAGGAATTTCCTCGTCCTAATAGGCCTGGGAGCGCTATGGGAGACCGGGGCTTATTTCATCCCTTATCTTCAACCATATAAGACAGAAATTCCTAGAAGCGGCGATTTTAGAGACCTTCCCCTAGGAACGCATTCTCTTTCTCAGGGCTGTTCCTTGCTGAGAAAAAGAATTCAGTGATATTTCTCCTATTCGCTTTTGTAAGAAGAGAAATATGGCTCTGTTCCGCCCGGCTCTCAGGCAGTCAGACCTAATGGTTATCTCCCTTGTTCACTGAACATCGCTGTAATCCTGTTCTTTTATCAAGGTGCCCACACTTGCTTTATGAGAGATTTGTGCAGTTAACACAATCATCACAGGGTCCTGAGGCGACATACATCCTCAGCTTACAAAGATGACGGGATTAAGAGATTAAAGTAAAGACAGGCATAGGAAATCACAAGAGTATTGATTGGGGAAGTGATAAATTCCCCAATCAATTTATGTGAAGATGAAATCTTCACAATTTATGTTCAGAGATTGCAGTAAAGACAGGCGTAAAAAATTATAAAAGTATTAATTTGGGGAACTAATAAATGTCCATGAAATCTTCACAATTTATGTTCTTCTGCCATGGCTTTAGCCAGTCCCTCCGTTCAGGGTCCCTGACTTCCCGCAACACTATGATAGGGCCTGATATTTTCTCCTTCCACACCCTCCCCAGTCTAACTTTAAATTGCTATGCATTTTAAATCAGCAAACTTTTCTTTTGTCTCATTTGCCATGTGGTATTAGTCTATTTTCATGCTGCTGATAAAGACATACCCAAGGCTGAGTAATATACAGAAGAAACAGTTTTTTGGTTTTTGGTTTTTTTTTTGAGACAAAGTCTCGCTCTGTCACCCAGGCTGGAGTGCAGTGGCGCAATCTCAGCTCACTGCAAGCTCTGCCTCCCGGGTTCACGCCATTCTCCTGCCTCAGCCTCCCGAGTAGCTAGGACTACAGGTGCCCACCACCATGCCCGGCCAATTTTTTTTTTGTATTTTTTAATAGAGACGGGGTTTCACCGTGTTAGCCAGGATGGTCTCGATCTCCTGACCTCGTGATCCACCCGCCTCGGCCTCCCAAAGTGCTGGGATTACAGGCGTGAGCCACTGCGCCTGGCCAGAAGAAACAGTTTTAATGGACTCACAGTTCCATGTGGCTGGGGAGGCCTCACAATCATGGCAGAAGGTGAAAGGCACATCTTCCATGGTGGCAGACAAGAGAAGAGAGCTTGTGCAGGGAAACTCCCCTTTAGAAAACCATCAGAACTTGTGAGACTTATTCACTATCATGAGAATAGCATGGGAAAGACCCACCACCATGATTCAATTATCTCCCAACGGGTCCCTCTCACAACACATGGGAATTATGGGAGCTGCAATTCAAGATGAGATTTGGGTGGGGACACAGCAAAACCATATCACCACGTCACTAGGCTTGGGCTGCTGGGGTAGCCACATAATATGGCCATGCTCATAAAAAACTGAGATGGGCATTACCAACCCCATACCACACGTGAAAGCACCCATATATAATTTTTCTGCAAATAGGTAACCCTCTACCTGCAACTCCACCCTCTGCTACCAAAATACCAACACGTTTGCCACTTTCCTCTCCTGCAGGGAGCATGGGGTTTATCTCTTCTCTGGCTCTAGGGCTGTGAATATCTCCCATCATTACAGAAACAAATTCTATCAGGTTCCTATCCCCACTGCTCTTTCTGGCTGTCCTCAATTCCCCAGAGTATGGGTCACCTCTGGTCTCTCCACAGTCTCTCTAGGTGTATGCATCATGAACATTTGTTGAGCTTCTCCTGAGACCACCAGTCTCCAGACTCACCACCTCAAATGTAGGGAGAGACAAGCACAGTCTCTCCTGTTCCCAATAGTGTTGGGTATTGCTGCTTGATGTAATAATTGATATACTAGGTGATGGCAGTGGCCTGATCTGGTTTTTGCCTGTCCAGCATTTCTTCTCCTTTCCTCTTGTCACACGCACCCAACTTTTTTGGCAGGAGTAACTGTCCATCTCCCCTTCAATGTGGTTCTGCTGGGACTTTGAGCCATGATAGCTCATCAAGCAGAAGGAGTGGTTGAAGGGTATGCTGTCATCCAAACTAGGCCAATCCAACTCTCCCCCAAGAATCTGCACCTTGAACAGAGGGGCACAAAGCTGGAAAGTGGTTGGAGCTGTCATCCTGATGACAGTGCCCAGAAGGGCCTGTTCATGGCATCTCCAGAGCTTTCCTGCTTGCTTCTTTCCAGAGGCATCCTTTGATTTTGTAAAGCTATGCAGTTTTCTTTCAATACATGCCATTTTCCTTAAGTTAACCTGAGTTGGTTTTTAACCATAACCAAAGAAATGTAACTGATACAGTGACTAATAAATATATTAATTAATGCTTCTTTAGAAACCAACCTAGAAGTACAAATTAAACTATGCAGTTTTCCCAAAGTTATCATAATTATAACATGCATTCTCATGCAGTTTGATTTCTTAAAGTGATAGTTTCCAAAATGGGATAGTCCCATGGCTGATAAAAATCAAACTGAAATCTCTAAGGGTGTTCTTTCAAAGTACTCAGCTTCTATTCCAGTTGTTCCTGTATATACATGACAAAAAAGAATTATGCTTAAAAGATCTCTTGAGTTTTGTTCGAATTTTTTTTTTATTTTAGAAAATATAATGCAGTTTTTAAAAAGCTTAATCTTTATGCCTTGGGAACATATCATTTCTGCTACTTGTCACAAGCTGGGGAGGTGTTCAGCTTGGAGGGGCAGGTGCCTCTCTCAGGAATTTAAAAGATCCAATATTCTCATACCCCCTCCCCCATACTATTCATAATCTTTACTAAGGGAGAAAATGGACTCTAACTTATATTGCTTTAATTAGTGTTCTTGGCAAGTCTTAATTTGACTGGCCAAGATTCATCCTGCAGAAAAACACGTTTCACTGCTGGTAGATGACAAGCTGCCTAGTGCAGGGGAGCCCAGAGAAGTTCCTTGGCAGGCTTATTGACTTGTAATTGTTTCCTAGAAAACTATTCAAAATCCCTACCAACGGCTTTAAATAGCTCTTTTCAAAAATGAAGTATTTATCCCTCGACAGAAAAATAATAGTTAAGGCAATTCACCAGAACCCAAGTTCAAGGTAAAGATTACTTTGTTAGAAGAATATAGTTTCAGCTTAAAAAAAGATTATTTAATTTTAACTACTTTGCCATTATTTATCTATTTATCTATGAACATCAGGCATTCATTCTGGGCTCTTCATGCAGACCTGTGAGTACCATGTTTACACTGCCTCACTCTGACATGCTCTCAATAGAACGTCGCCTTATTCTTATGATAAATTCCATCTATTATCTTCCATACTTGCCACCTGTTGCCAAGGAAACTTTTCTTCCTTGTGTGTACGGTAGAATTTTGTTGTGTCTTTAAAAGAATCTCTTTGGGAGCAATTGTGTCTTACATTTCTTATTCTTATTAGGCAACAGGAAAGAAAACATAGTTTCTAATCTTCAGTGAGGAAAAGATCCAGCCAAACATAGAAATGATTTATCTTAAAACATGTTTTGTCACATGAGCTAAGACAGTGGTTTTGAAATACTAGTTCATAGACTGGTTTACACTCGAAATCATAGGGAAGCTTCTTCAAAAGCATAAATCTCTAGGTCTGGCCTAATCCACTAAATCAGAATCACTTGAATGAAAAACGTGTGCCCACTTCAAAGAATAAAGTAGAGCTAGATGTGCTACAGTAAAAAGTATCCGAGATACCGTGGTTTGGAAAAGCAAGTTACAGAACAGTAAATACGGGATAATCATATTTGTAGAAAAAAAACAAATGAAAATGCATATGATTGTATTATGTACCAACATTTTTGGAAGGCAAGACACAATAATGTGTTAAAAGTGGGGTTATTCTAGTAAGTGCAAAGTGGAGGAGAAGTCATTTGTACCATTTGTACCATTTGAATTATTTTAACCAAAAGCATGTACTACTTTTATAATTGAAATTAATTAATCAACAGCAAAAAATATGTTAAAAACTTCCCAAAGGATTCTGATAATCAACCAGTTTCAGGGACCATTGCACCAGCCAAATGAGATAAAAGTACATTGGTTTAATTTCTCAATTAAATGAATTGAGCTTCCTCTCAAGATGCAAGTTCTTCCAATTATCCTGTAACTACCAGGCCTCAAGCAATGTTGACACCTGCTAGCACTTGTCTACACAGCAAGTAATAAAGCAGAGAAGAAATGATGAGGGGAAAAAACTCATTTGAAACTGGGAGGCGAAACGTTACAGGCTGGGAAGAGGGAGGAGCCCTAAAACCTTTTTTACAGGTACAGCAGACAGGAAACCTAAATTCCTACCCACCATCTAATACTTCCAATATGTAAAGTGCTTTGTCTTACTTCCTTTAATGAAAAGATCTATAAATCAAGCTAAAATTTTACTCGTTGAGTTCCTTCCTAGAAAGTTTAAATTTTGCTTGTCCAATGGCCAAGATATTGAGTGTTATTATTTCGAACTGCAATCATCTATGTTTCAAGGTAGGTCTTAATGAAATAGGATGACTCAGCACCAAGTGGAGTATTCTTTAGTATTCCTCAGTGATAAAATTCCACTGCCACTAGACAAAGAAACTGCTCTTTAGGTTATGGTTTTGAAACACCAGCTTTTACACTGTTGCTCTCCTTCAGGTAGGACTCAGCCCAACACCCTGTTAGAGATGAATGCAAGTTTACAAGCATGTAGAGAAGCCTCAGGACAGAAATTCCTACGGGTAGGAATTTAGAAAGATACAAATGATTCTTAGCTCAGGCTCTTCATCAGAACAGCATGCAGTGCCAGTTCAATATTCAGATTCCTAATGGCCACATTTAATACTTCGGTGACTGGGCTCAAGAATCTGAATTTTTGTCAGTGCTCTAAGTGATTCTGATGCTGCCTTTAGAGGAACCATTGGAGTGGAAATAGTTCTGAACTGAGAGTTAAAATACTTAGCTAGTAGGCTGAGACCTGGTGCTGTCTGGGTTATTCTGGGCAGTCACATCACATCACTATGCCTTAGTCTTCTTCCTGTTGAATGAAGGTTTAGATTATTATAATAATGTATTACAATCATCTCTAAGGTCTCTTCAACTTCTAAACTTTTATGATGCTATAAATTAACACAGGGATCAATCAAGTCTTTATGGAACCTCTCCATATTGCTTCCTAATTCTGCCGTTGTTTCCGCTACCACTCAATGCAAGAACATTCTTTACGGGCTCTTCTGGAAAGCAAGGAATCAGTCCTTTTCATTAGATGTCTCAAAGTGTTATTTTCAAGGCCAGACCAGGCTAGACCACAGTATTGCTCTGAAGCACTTAATCACTTCAATAATTACTAATTCAGTAGTTTCCAGTGGGTCTCCCAGCCATGGAATTTCTCTGTACGAGTGTTTCTCTCCTGACCTGGGCTGGTCACTTGGGTAAATTCCACTTGCGTAATTGGTTATCATCTTCCCTAACCAGGTGACTCTTATCATCTAGTCATGCTTTGACAGATTCTGGTTGCTGACCCAACATTCATGCCCACCCCTACTCTTTGTCCCTACTAAGAGAAGCTCAATTTTTTTCAAGGAAGCTGAAAATATCCAATTTCCCAGTTTTGTTTGTAGCTAGAGATGGTTATGTCACACAGTTCTGTCCAGTGAAATATAGGTAGAAGTCCCCAGAGAAGCTACCCCTTCTTGAATAAAAAGTCAAATCCTTTTGCTCCTTTGTTCTTTGTTCTCCCTGCCCACACACACACTATTTTTTTTTTTTTTTTGTGAGTGTGAACTTGGATGTGAGACCTGGAGGTGTAGCAATCATATTGAAACCCCAAGATAAGATGTATGAGGATGAAAGCCTATATGCTCAGGATAGAGACTGAGACAATGCTGGGACCCTGGAGGTATTATTAAGCCATGATACCAGCCCTGGACTGCCTACCCCTAGACATGAGACAAATAAACTTCTGTGTTTTAAGCTATCAAATGGGTTTTTTTTTGTTATTTGTGGCATCTGATGAAATGCATACCTCCTTAGTTGGCCAACGTAGCTCCCTTACCCTCACACAACTGCCATGCCTGCTGGCCATCAGCTTTTCTGAAACATTTCCTTTCCTTCTTTCTGCTCTTGTTCCCAACGACTCATTACATCTTTACACTTTTAACTTTGGGGACATCTCCCTACTCCCAAGAAATTTGTCTTGCCTTTTCCTGTAATTAATATTTTCAAAATATAAATATTCCTAAATATGATAATCTTCCATATAGATTTATTATAAAACAAGTTACAATATAATCCACATAAATTGAAAAGGTTTACAGACAGCTTTGAAATTGTCAAGCTTCTAGCAGTCATTAATTCATCCATTTATTCATTATTAAGCAAATTCTTGTTGCATGTGTATAATCTGCTTGTCACCAAGTGATGCAATAAGCACTGAAGGATTTTTCAAAAGGAATAAGGTCCACCTTCTCCCCTGGAGTTGGTATAGAAGAGATATACAAGCCTGAAACTGTTATGTAATAATGCAAAGACAGCAGGTGATCAAATGTTAAAAGAGAAGATTTTGCAAAAATAAATTATCATTCAGAGAGGATGGAAATTACACTGGTTGGAACAGTTTTCTAGACAATTTCTTTTTCTAAATAAGACATTTACTTCAGCAAAAGAAGCTCTTCTAACAGAAGAGGGCAAATAGTAAGTCTATTTTGGAATAAAGAGGGTTATCTATAAAAGAGAGAGTCAGAAACTCTTTGTAGAAATGTTTTCATGTCCAGCCCTCAGTTCCAAATGTCTCTTTATTTTACCCCAAAGACACATTAAACCCAAAGTAAATATGAAGCTGTATTCCAAACCTTTCCTGCCAACTAGAACTCCAAAGTGGTGATGCAAATGATTTTCTTATCATATCCTGTTTTTATATGTACTATGTACTCTTACCAATGAGGCTGCAATCACACGGAATGCAAAGACTGGCACTTAGTCACCTAAGTCCCCACAGTGCTAAGCACAATGCCTGAAATCTGGAGAGGAAGAAAACCTTTGAATTAAATCACAGAGATAATGTATGTGAAAACACATTAAAGGCAAAGAAATTTCTGTGGAAATAAAGCTGTGTAATTGTTGTCTGATAAATATGGCAATAAAACCCAATACAATTTTTCACACTTTTCAGTTTCATTTCATCATTTTATTTATGTTTTTAAAGAGACAGGGCCTCTCTCTATCTCCCGGGCCGGGGTGCAGTGCTGCAATCATGGCTGCCTGCAGCCTCCAGCTCTGGGCTCAAGTGATCCTCCCACCTCAGCCTCTCAAGTAGCTGGCACTACAAGTATGTGCCACTGACACACAATTGTACATATCTATGGGGTACAGTGTGATGCTTTAATACATGTGTATCAAATCCAGGTTATTAGCATATCCATCACCTCAAATCCTTGTTATTTTTGTGGTGAGAACATTCAATATTCTCTCTTCTAGCTGTTTTGAAATATGCCATACATTATTGTTGACTGTAGTCACCCTACTATGCAATGGAACACCAGAACTTATCCTGCTATCTAACTGTAATTGCGTTCTCATTGATCAGCCTCTCCCCAGCCCCTCCTCCCTACCCTCTGCAGCCTCTGGTAACCACTACTCTATTCTCTACTTCTGTGAGATCAACTTTTTTAGATTCCACATATGAGTGACATTATGTGCTTGGTTTGTTTCGCTTAACATAATGTCCTCTAGGTTCATCTGTGTTGTCATAAATGACAGAAGTTCATTCTTTTCTATGGCTGAATAGCATTCCATTGTGTATGTATACGGTATTTTTAAAAATCCAATCATCCGCTGATGGACACTTCGGTTGATGCCAAATCTCAGCTATTGTGAATAGTGCTGCAATAAACATGGGAGTGCAGATATCTCCTCAGTATACTGAGTTCCTTTCTTTTGGATATATACCCAGCTAAATCATAGGTCGATCTATTTTTAGTTTTTTGAGGAACCTCCATCCTGTTTTCCATAGTGGCTATACTACTTCACATTCCCTCCAGCAGTGTACTGGCATTCCCCTTTCTCGGCATCATTGACAGCACCTGTTAGTTTTCCTCTTTTTGATAATAGCCATTCTAACTGGAATGATGTGGTATCTCATTGTGGTTTTGATCTACAATTCCATGATGATTAGAGATGTAGAGCATTTGTTTCATATACTTGTTGGCCATTTGCATGTCTTCTTTTGAGAAATATCTATTTAGATCTTTTGCCTGGTTTTTAATTAGGATAGTAAAAAAGAAAAAAGTAATCTAAATTTTTTCACACTTTTTGTGTCACTATACACTCATGTATTCCCTTCAACATGTCACACAGAAAACCTAGATGTTATAGTTTCAGAATAACAGAAATGTGAACCAATTAGAAACATAACAAAGAATGCTACTTTGCAAAAGGTCACTTTCCCTGAGTACCAGAAAGTTTACTGTCTTTGTTAAAAGGCCAGGTATGGTGGCTTATGCCTCTAATCCCAGCACTTCAGGAGGCCAAGGCGGGAGGATCACTTGAGCCCAGGAGTTTGAAACCATCCTGGGCAATATAGTGAGACCTTGTACCTACAAAATATAAACAGAATTAGTCGGGCATGGTAGCGTGTGCCTGTAGTCCCAGCTACTTGGGAGGCTGAGGTGGGAAGATCGCCTGATCCCAGGAGGTCAAGGCTGCAGTGAGCTGAGATCATGCCACTGCACTCCAACAGTCTGGACAACAGAGTGAGATCCTGTGTCTAAATAAATACATTAGTTAAGTAAACAAATGAATATATATTTTCAGAAACCTGTTTGCTTTATCATATGAATGGCATCATTTATCAGCCATACTTCTATCATAAAATAGTTTATTTGGTTTGTTCCTGAAAAATAAGTTAAAATGTCAATTTCAGGATTATAATTGACAGCTTCTACTCTGTCACAAATACCAATAATAATCATCATTGAAAGTAGAAAGGAAAGGATGTAGTACAGCTTTGTTTAAGGTATCCCCTGGACTTCCCAGAATAATCCTAATGTCAAATATTCTGTACCACTGTCTCTGTACATGTCCTTGAACTGGTCAAACCAAGCATCTCTCTAATAGGCATCTATTGTTTTTTCTACTTAGCATCGCCTGCTTTGCAAGAACTGCTCCTACCCTGACTCCAATCAGATGGTTTTGTTGGTGGCTCTAAATTAGAACATCAAGGGTAGGCACACGACCCTTAAAAACAGATGTGATTACTGTGTCCTCTTGATTAATTGGTCCCTTTATTATAATGGATTTACCTGTGGCCCTTCTTTAGCCCTGGTAATATTCTTTGCTCACAAATCTACTTGATGAATTATTCATAACAATAAACTTACACAAAGTTTTGCACATCAGGGCTTATATGAATTAGTGATTTCAGGATTTTGATGAAAATAATGCCAAGGAACAAATTTTAGATTTTTTTTCACATCCGAAAACTGTGGTCACTATGAAGAGGCATTTTCATGAAAAATCTCTGTAGGTACTTTCATTGCCTCTCATTTTCCTTCACTGAGAAGTATAAGGTTAAAACATTTCAGAGGATTATGAATTCTCAGCGGCTTACAGTATATAGGCTTTAACTACTTTAAAGGCTTTTATCTGGATCTAGGCTACACTCCAATGGTGAATTGATTTCTGCCTCTTGAAACTTTAAAGAACCCCTTTACCTTTAAAAAAATTGTATTAAAATACACATAACATAAAACTATCATCTTAACCATTTTTAAGTGTACAGTACAGTAGTGGGTTTTTTTGTTTTGTTTTGTTGTTGTTGTTTTTGAGACAGGGTCTGGCTCTGTTGCCCAGGCCAGATTACAGTGGCACAATCTTAATGTACTGCAGCCTTGAACTCCTGA
Organism: Homo sapiens; assembly: GCF_000001405.40. Classification (NCBI taxonomy): domain Eukaryota; kingdom Metazoa; phylum Chordata; class Mammalia; order Primates; family Hominidae; genus Homo; species Homo sapiens. The sequence continues at coordinate 105,289,914 of NC_000012.12, read as the reverse complement.
TCTCAAGTGATCCTCTTGCCTCAGCCTCCTGGGACTGCACCTCATCTGGCTAATTTTTTTTTTTTTTTTTTTTTTTTTTGTAGAGATGAGGTCTCACTATGTGGTACAGCCCGGTCTCCAACTCCTGGACTCAAGTGGTCCTCGCACTTTGGCCTCCCAAAGTACTGGGATTGGATTACAGGCATGAGCCACACAGTGCCCAGCCTCAGTTCAGTAGTGCTAAGTATATTCGTATTGTTGTGCAACCAATCTTCAGAACTTTTTCATCTTGCACAAACTCTATACTCATTAAACAACTCCTCACTTCCCCCTCCCTGCATCCTCTGGCAACCACCATTCTACTTTCTGTCTCTATGAATTTGAGTTTCCTTTACCATTTAAACTACATTACACTTCATCAATAGCAAAGTATTTTTTTGCATAAAATTCAGATAATTTGGAAATGTACAAAGTAGAACATTAAATCCTTCCTATTCCCAACCCCACAATCCAGAAATAGTGACTAGGTTTATGGACATACCACCATGCTTTTTTCCTATGCATCTATTTGAGAAAGAGGGGAGGGATTGAATCATATCCTCTTCCCGTAGAGTCATCTGATCACCATGCCTGTAAATTTCGTGGTTGTCTTGCTGTTATTCACTCACTGTGGTTCCATGCTCATTTGTACTGTTCACAGACCGTAATTCCTGGACTCCACCACCAATCACTCCCACCATGGGTAATTGGTAATTAATGGATAATTAATCCACTCTCCTTGCAGGGACCAGGAGGCACATGTAAACATGGAGTTTCAGTTTAGGACCCCATCATTTACTTCCACTCTCAATACCAACTCAGAAGAAGCAGCAGATTTTACTAAGGGAGAGCATAAAATACTTCAAATAGCTGATAATAAATAAAATAGTTTATTTATAATAAACCATCTACTAAATAGTACTTTTCCCACCAACCAAAGGAAAAGCTATTCATGTAAACTTTCCCCAGGGGTTCCCCCATGGATTCATCCTGGTCCTATTCTTGTTCCCTTGGCCTTGAGTTTGCCGTTATTTCTAAGATACCTCCCTTTTCTAGGCTCTGTCAAGAAACTATCACCCCATCTTTCTGGAAATCACACCCTCTACTGGCAAGGTTGTTCTCACCCAAGTTCTCTCACCTGCCTCAGCACTACATATGCCTGTCTAAGTTATTCAGTCCAAAATAACATGCCAGGGACTCCCATAGAATGGTTCCCCAGGACTTCCCATTCCATGTTTCCGCAGCCCTGTGAGTTACAAATATATTTCAACAAACTTCCAAGTCTCCAGTTGGATCAGACACTCATAAAACCACATGGTTATCCTCCACACCTTGTTGTTAACGTCTGCATCATTTCAGGACTGAGTAATATAGCACTAGCTGCCATGACAAACCCCCAGATCTCAGTAGCTTCATGTATGAAGCCTAATGAGGATGTTCTTGGTTGGTGGCAAATCTTCTACCATTCAGGAGCCAGATCCCTTTCATCTGAGGCTCTGCCATGCCCTGGATCCTCAAAATTTTCCACAGATGACCCTTTGAAATTCCCTACTTCAGTTAACAGACATGGGCAAAAGAGTGTGAAGGTGCATGCAGGAGTGCTGATGGGCCAGATCTGGAAGGGGAGTGCATCTCTTTTGTCCATGTTCCATTGGCCAGAACTCAGTCACGAGACCCCCAACCACCTGCAAGGGAGGGCAAGAAATTTAGTATAGCTACGTCTCAGCATGTAAGGGAAATGGATTTTGTGAATATATAGCAGTCTCTGCTACAACCTCCATAGTCTCAGTTTGAAGCACTCCACCCTCTCTCTGATGACCATCTCCTGTTTCCAACTCATTCCTCAAGTACCCATGTACAGCAATGCTTTGTCTTCCCAGCCACTCCAGTGCACTGAGCCCATCATCCCTTCACTCTCTGTGCCCCCATGTCCCATGTCATCACCTATATTTTTACGTGGTTTGGAAGCTCAGTTTCATTATTATGATCACCCTCTCGTGTGCATCTTTGACTCTCTTGTTTCTCTCTCCCTTTGTCTTAGAATTTCTATTGAGTTGCTTAAAATCATTTCAATGATGCTTGAGCCATGTAACTCTCTGCACATATACCAAGAGCACTAGTTTCAAACATTCTACCCCAATATCTGGTTCAAGTTCTTGTGCTCTGCTTGCTGGTGTCATAGCCTAACTAATCTGCCTATATGGATATGTGATTTTTCTTTCCCAATTCTCAGATATGCCAACTCTCAACTCTATGAACTTTTGGCTTGTAATGTTTGCTTGCTCCTCTAAAGCTAACATAACTCTGAGTCCTTATCATCCACTGTTCCTGAAATCTCCTTAACAAAAAGTTATTGCCTTGATCAACCCTACCTGCTCCCATATCTACCTCTCTAACTCCTACCTAAGGGAGATCTCCACCTAAGTCATGATCACAATCCAAACCGACAGTGGAATTTGGACAAGAAAAATAGACAGAGCATTTCAAAGAAAAGGAATAAAATGAGAAAAGACACAATAGTAAGGCTATGGATAATAAACTTAGACTGGGGAGGCCCTGCCTTGGGGACAAGCTATACAGAAACTATAGGAGTAGGTGCTTGCAAACAATTATAAGTTTCTGAGAAACATTAAAACATATTTATAAAGCTATAATAATTTTAAAATAGTGGAGTTTTCTTTACAGATATTGATGTGTGAGGTGGGCATACTAATGAAATGCAATAGAAAGTCCATACATTGACTTAAAACTATGTAAGAATTGAGTATGTGATGAAGGTGACATTTTAAGTCTGTAAGAAGAAGAGAGATTAATTATTAAGTCTGGGACAACTAGGTAGCCATCTCCAAAACAATAAAGTTGAAGTCACACCTCATACCTTACCCCAGATAAATTAAGGATTTAAGTGTTAAAAAAAAAAACTTTGCAGGTACTAGATACAAAGTTAGGAGAATAGTTTTATAAATGTTGAGTATGAAAGTCATTATAAGTATGAAAAAATTCCCAGAAGTCAAGAAATGATTATTACATTCCATTTTCCAAAAGACAGGCAACAAATTAGTGGGAAATGTTTGAAACTCTAGACTGAAGATTAATTTTCCTAAAATATAAAGATTTCCTCAAACCAATAAGAATAACCTCAAAACCCAGTAGAAGAACAGGCAAAAAGAATAGCCTATTGCAAAAAAAAGAAAATACAAGTGGCCCTTAAACATATGACAATATGCTCAACTTTATTCATAAGAAGAAAAATATGTAAAAATTAGATCCACACTGAGATACCCTGTTTTCTCTGTCAGGTTAGTAAACTATATTAGTAAGGGTTTGAGGAAATAAGAATTCCCTCACACAGAGATGGGGAAAATGTAAATTGATAAATCTTTCTGGAGGCTAATTTGGCAATATTAAAATTACATATCCACATAGGCTTTGATCCAGCCATCTTACTTCCAAGGATTTTTCCTAGAGATATGTGCAAAATACTTACGTAGACAATTATTCATCATGGAATTATGGGTAATTGCAAAAGATTGGGAACAACTAAAAATCCCACCAATAGAAATCTGGTTAAATTGATTTTTCATACAGTAGTACCCTACGGAGACTTTTAAAAGATTGAGGAAGAGCTCTGTGTATTGATATGAGATGATTTCCAAGTTATACTGTTAAATTTAGAAAAGCAATATGTAGCACAAAAGGTACAACATGCTATTATTTGGGGGGAAAAATAGGATGGGTAGAAATAAGTGTATAGAATAAGGTTTATATTTGAATTGGTAGCATTATACCAATATCATTTTTATTGACTATATGCTATGCTAATGCAAGATTACCATTTCTGTAACTTCTTGTGATGTTACAAAAATTTTTTTGAAATATTTGCTATAAACTACTTCAAACTATAAAGTTATCTTTAAGGACAAATGTATATACCTATGCAGGTGTATAAGTATTTGCGTGTGAATGCATAAACTATCAGGAGGGGGGAATCCATGACCAACTGAAAACATTGATTACCTTTGGGAAGGGTAACTGGCTGGCTGGGGAGGTAACGGAGGATGTTTCTTTGTATGCCCTTGTGTTCTTTGTAAATTTTAAATCAGGTTTAAAAACACAGCTTATCAAATAAGGTTTTGAGCAGTGACAGAAAAAGAAGGAAGAGAAGCAGAAATCATAAATGAACATTCGGTTTCAACCCTGTGTCTCTCAGAAGGTAATCACCAGCAGTAAGAAAAAGTTTCTCCCTAAACTTCAGAAAGGAAGTGCCTACCTTCTCCAGTGTTCACTTTGTTCTTCCTTTGAAAATGATTTGCTGAAATAAGCATTTTTATAACAATGTGGTAAAAAGGAGTATCTAGCACAAGAATAAATATTAAAGAAATTCACAATCATCAGCAAGATCTAAAACTAAATGTTCCTCCTTTCCAGGGATACTGATAATTTTTAAATGTTCTTTTTACAGTTTGTCACATTATTGCAGGAAAAGCACTATGATTCTTTTGAAATTGTTTTCCAGCTTTTAAAATATAAGATACTCATATTCATCTCTTTGATGAATATAACTTAAGTGTTCCAAAAACAAGAAATCCATAGCAGTTAGAAGCAGGAAACTCTTGTGAAATTGGCAGAGTAATCTCAGGAATTGGAGAAGGGGTGGTCTTTACATATAAGTATTTTTCAAATTAAAAATTATTAAAGAGGTTATTTTTTCCTTTTTGCTGGCCGAACTTAAAAAAGTCAACTTTTATTTTATGCTTTAACTATGTTTAATAACTTATTTAGAGTAAGTAATTCTGGAATAATTCCCAGTACTGAGTCTATAAATTGAGGCTAATTCATTTGAACAACTGAAAGCAGTGTATGCTGATTGCTGTTTTTTAAAGAAAATTAAAAGAAAATTGCTTGTGTTAGAGAGTATTTCTTAATAATTAAGAAGTGATTTCTCAATCTCAGAAGTAGTACAGCAGAGGGATTTAAGAGCTCATGTTTGCCTTTTGCTGTTTTGCATTTTAAAAACGCACCCAAATTAAAACCCATGTGTAAATTGTTGGGCTTTTACATGTTTTTTGTGAAATTAATCTTTGTTAATTAATGACCATGTGCCTTACCCCAGAAAGAAGGAAGGATTCCATCATTTCACAAAAATTCCAAAGAGCCCTGGGTAGATGTGGAGCTGAAGGCACCCATCCCTCTCAACTCCCCAGCCTCCCAGCATCCTGAACCAACAACCCAACAACCCAGCTTCTGTGACTGGCACCTCCAATCCACTCAGTTGCACAGATCAAAACTGTGGGAGAGATTTTTGGTCTCTCTCTCTGCTTCACCCACCACATCCAATCAACCACAAAGTTCTTCTCAGCGAAGTTCCTATATAGACATGTCCATATTTGATATCCTCACTTTCCTACTTCCCATTCTGTATTCAATTTAGTCCAGTTGGGTTATTATCTCTACCACTTCTCCATTATCAAGGTCATTATCAAGATGTAGATACTCTACATCTAGCCAAAGCCTAGTTCCTTTTTCATTACCTTTTAGTTAACCTCTCAGCAACAGTTGACCATGCTGTCACTCTTGAAAGTCTTTTCTGAGCCTTTGTAAGATCACTCACCTGGACTTTCTCTTAACTCAGTGGCCACTCTTTCTCAGCCTTTTTATTTTGTTCTTCCTTTCTGTAAGGCTTCTATCTTTTAGGTAGCTCAAATTTCTATCCTTGGCCCTGTCTCTTCTCTACATTCTCTCCCTTGACTTCAAGTACCATCTCTATATTTATGATACTCAATTCCCAACCCCCCAATTCCAGAATCATATATCAACTTGGAAGTCCAGTAGGCATCCGAATTTTGTAGAACCAAAACAAAGCTATCTACTTTTCTACTCCTCTCTCTCCCCTACCAGTCAGCCCCTTACCTGCTTCCTCACTAAACCTTCCTCTTTTTGGTAAATTGCACTGTCATATTCTCAATTGCTCAGGTACAAAACTTAGAGCTTATTCTGATTTTTCCCTCACCCTAAAATCTTGCATCGAGTCCAGCCATGTATGTTGCTGACTCAACCTCCAAAATAGAACCACAACCCTACATCTCATCACCCAAGTTGAAACCATGATGTCTGGCCTCATCTTTGCAGCAATCTCCCAACGAGTTCCCCTGCCTCCACTCTTACCCTTACACAGTCCATCCTCCACACAGCAGCCAGAGGAGAGATTAGACTCCTTAACTTCTCCTTCTGGGTACTGCCAATGGTTTAGCATTAACCTTATAGTGGCATCTCATTGTGGTTTTGATTTGCATTTTCCTAAGGATTAGTGATGAATCTCTCTGTGCTTATTGGCTATCTGTGCATCTTCCTTGGAGAAATGTCTATTCAAGTCCTCCAATTAAGTAAATTAATTACAGTACATTAAAGTAATTAAGGTCCATTTTTTAATTGAGTTGTTTGTGTTGTTGAGATGTAGGAGCTCTTTATATATTCTGGATTTTAACCCCTCACCAGATACATGATTTGCTATTATTTTCTCCCACTCGATGGGTTGCCTTTTTCACTCTGTGATAATATCGTTTGCTGTTGTACAAGTTTTCTATTTTGATGAAAAACTATTTCTTCTTTTGCTACCTGTGCTTTTGATGTAATATGCAAAAAATCATTATCCAATCCATGTCATGAGGTTTTTTCCCTATGTTTTCTCCTAGGAATTTATTAGTTTGGGGTCCTACATTTAGGTCTTTCATTCATTTTGAGTTGATTTTTGTGTATGATCTTAGATAAGGATTCAACTTCCTTCTTTTGCATGTGGATGTCTGGTTTTCCCAGCACAATTTTTTGAAATCTGCTCTTTCCCCCATTGAATTATCTTAGCACCCTTGTCAAAAATTATTTGGCCATGGCCGGTCATGGTGGCTCACGCCTGTAATCCCAGCACTTTGGGAGGCCGAGGCGGGCGGATCACGAGGTCAGGAGATCGAAACCATCCTGGCTAACACGGTGAAACCCCGTCTCTACTAAAAATACAAAAAAATTAGCTGGGCATGGTGGTAGGTGCCGGTAGTCCCAGCTACTCAGGAGGCTGAGGCAGGAGAATGGCATTAACCCGGGAGGCGGAGCTTGCAGTGAGCCGAGATCGCGCCACTGGACTCCAGCCTGGGCCACAGAGTGAGACTACGTCTCAAAAAAAAAAAAAAAATTATTTGGCCATACAAGCAAGAAATTATTTCTGGACTTCCTATTCTATTTCACTGTCTTTATGTCAGTAATCTACTATTGATTATTGTTGCCTTGTAGTAAGTTTTAAAATCAGGAAGTGGGAGCCCTCCATATTTGTTCTTTTTCAAGATTGTTTTGTGTATTTGGCGTCCGTTGACATTCCATATGAATTTTAGGATGGGCTTTTCTATTTCTGCCAAAAGTATCATTGAAATTTTATAGAAGCTGCATTGAATCTATAGATTGCTTTAGATGGTACTGCCATCTTAACAATAATCACCCATGAACATGGATGACTTTCTATTTAGCCAAGCCTTCTTTAGCTTTTTTCAGCAATGTTTGATACTTATGTACAAGCCTTTCTCCTCATTAGTTAAGTTTATTCTTAAGTATTGTATTCTTTTTTATGCTATTAAAAAGGAAATTGTTTTCTTAATTTCACCGTTGGTATAAAGAAACAGAATTTTTTTTGTGCATTGACTTTGTATCTTGCAACTATGCTGAATTCATTCATTAGTTCAACACTTTGGATTTCTTAAATGAAATCTTTACGGTTTTCTAGATATAAGATTATGTCCTCTGTGAACAAGGGTAATTTTACTTCCTTTCTGATTGGTACTGTTTTTATCCTCACTTTATAAATTATAAACTGAGTATATCAGATAAGAATGCATTCAGTTGTACATAACAAAATTTACTGGGGCTTGACAAATGAATTGCTTATTTTTCTCACTGAATAAGGAGTCCAAAGTCCAGAGCTGATGCAGAAACTGCACTATACAATTAAACTACTGGACTCTAAAACAAACAGCAACAACAAACAACTACCAGGCTCCTTCTGTTTTCCCTTCCTGCCTTCTTAGCATGTTGACTTTCCTTTCCAAGCCACAAGGTGGTTGCTGCCCCTCCAGGATCATGTCTGCATCTAGGCAGGAAGAACAAGGAAGGATTTTCTCCTCCTAAGGATCTGCCTTATATTTGGTATGGATTATGTTCCCGACTTACCTCAGCTGACTCGCCTTTCCATCTCTCTGGTCATACCTGGGTTGCAAGCCCACCTTTAGACTAATCGCTGACCAAAAGGAATAAGATTTCTATGAGTATTTTTGACCAATCATGATTCATATCCTGGGGCTGGGATAGGGTATAGGAATACCCGAGGTCAAGGGACATCACACTAATATCAGAACAGATCTGTGTTCTGTTAGCACCAAAGAGGGCTTTTGGCAGGTGATATCAGTGGAGCTAAGGCACAGAGAGGTCAAGTGATAGACCCAAAATTCAAATTCAGACGGTTTAAAGCCTGCTCTCCTAACCAGATCAACAGAGGAACAGAAGGTTCTGTGCCCAATAAGCCAAACTGAGTTAATGATTGAGTAGCACTTGTTATCCTAGGACACTAATGAGAGTGGGGATACCAAAAGGCAGAGATATCAGAATCCCCTGGAGGCCTTCCTCTAAACTATGGCCTCTCCCCAGAAAGTTTGCCGTGATCCCCAAGTAAAAGTGTGGCCCACAGCCAACCCTCATTGGAATCAATGTAGTCTGAGTCACTGTTAACAATGGCTTTGTTGAATTTGGGAGGAGGGAGGGGACTAAGAACCACTCTGATAAGAAATATGCAAACTACAAGAATTCAGTTTTATGTCCTTTAACTGGTTTTGGGCGATTTGCTTTTTTCATTTTGTATTCTGATACTATTTCTTTAAAAAAAAATTCTGAGTCTTTGTTAAATTAAGTGGAAAAGGAATTTGTCTCTACTGAGTCTCGATACTTATGAAGATGTTTTAAAGAAGCAAATGTCTAAATATTAACCACTTTAAGTCCTTTTCTGGAGCAAAACAAATAACTAGTGTGTGTGTGTGTGTGTGTGTGTGTGTGTGTGTAATTGTTTCTGCATTTAGGATTGCTGAATTGAGATTTAGTTCATGCAGTTCAATTCAACAAACATTTACTAAGTGCCCCATACAAGATTCTATACTGGTTACAAAAATGAGTAGTTTTGCAAAAAAAGTTCAGGGAAATCTGTAAGTCCTTAAATTTGTTTGCAAAATTCCAGGATATTTGCTTAAATGATACATATATCAGTAAAGAGTTCTTCTTAACCTTCATCAGATTCTTAAGTGCTTCTGTGACACACAAAAGGTTGACCCACTGATCAGAATGGTCAGTCCCCAGAGGTGGGATGTGGCCACAGTAGTCCTTAGGCAGCAACAAGATGCATTACAAGGTGGGTGGCATTACTTTGGTTCCAGGAGAAACTTCCCCAGGGATGAAGGAAAATTCTAGCCACTGGACATAGACAAGAACATAGTTCAACCCCCGAGAGAAAAGGCTAGTGCGAGTTCAGCCACACAAGTCATGACTTACCTCTGCCAGTCAGGCCAGACACACAGGGTGGGTGATTGGAAGGCTAGAGTTGGATAGTTCCAGTGGTGCCCAGGGAGTCACTCAGGCTTAATAAATGCTCATTTGGGGGAACGGCAGAAATTCTGTTCTCTACTTGCTGTGCAAATGGGCGCATTTTATGTGCTATCAGGCTTGGTGAGCACTGACTTAGGAGCTGAGCCCATGGGTTGGAAATCTTAGGTAGAGCACACCCTTGGATCGCTCTACCTATTTCCAACCCATGGATTTTTAGTGGTGGTTGGCTTGTAGTATGGCGGAGATGCACAGAAAAATCTAATAACTTAATTACAGATAAGGGCTATTGTACTTGAGTTATTTGATTTTTCTGTGCATCTCGCCCTACTATATACTACATACTCCAAGGGTGAAGAGTAAGGAAGAGACCAGGTAAGCATGCAGAGAAGTTGGTGTAGAAGGGATAGGAGTTGATGAACTTAGCTTTGTTAGTGAAGTGAGACTTCCTGCAAGCCCTGACCATGCAGGTTTATATAGCCATTTAATCACCAGAAGCAGCGGTGAAGAAGAGAGAAGGCTGTCAGCACAGTACAGTGGGTAAGGCAGCACAGTGTGTTGATTACCAGCATGAACTCTGGCGCTAGACAGCCTGGGTTCAAATTCTGGCTCTGCCCCCTAGTGGCTGTTTAACATCAGGCAAGTTATTTAACAACTGTGCCCCAGTTTCCTTATTTGTAAAATGAGAGTATAAGGGTACAGTCATGCATCACTTAATGATGGATATTTATTCTAATAAATGCATCACTGGGTAGTTTTATCATTGTGTGAACATAATAGAGTTAACTTACGCAAACCTACATGGTACGGTCTCCTACACACCTAGGCTGTAAGGTAGAGCCTGTTACTCCTAGACTACAAACCTGTATGGCATGTGACTGTACTGAATACTGTAGGCAATTGTAACACAATGCTAAGTATTAGGTTGGTGCGAAAGTAATTGCAGTGATGGCAAAAACTGCAATTACTTTCTCACCAACCTAATATTTGTGTATCTAAACATAGAAAAGGTATAGTAAAAATATGATATCCTAATATTATGAGACCACTGTCATACATGCAGTTAGTTGTTGACGAAAACATTGTTATGCAGTACATGACTGACTTTAGCCCATAGGATGTGGGCTAAATAGGTTGTGATGATTAAACGGATTAATCTTCAAAAAGAGCCGGGAACAGTGTCTGACACAGGGTAAGCATTCTAAATCAAAATCATGATTAAGGCAGGGTTGAGAACTACCAGAAAGTCAAGGAGGTGAGGGGATTTAGGTAGATGTAGTGAATTCATTGATGCACCATATGGGCCAAGGTGGAAAAGGAAGAAGATAAAATGAAGCCAGGAGGGGTGACAGGCTTAGAAGATAGGGAGGAGTCAAGAAGAAAGAAAGGGGAAGAATGATTTTAATGGACACAAGATCATGAAAAAGGTAGACTAATAAGACGCTTTTAATTTTTTTTTTATTTTTTTATTTTTGTGGATATGTACTAGATGATCTGATACAAGAAGAACTTCACAATTTTAACTTCTAGAGGTGGCCCATTTGGAGAAATGGCAAGTCCCAAGGTGTGATCAGGCAAGTAGAGGTAGCCAAATGGATAGGAGGGGAATGTTATTGGAGCAGAGAGCCAGGGTCGAGAACCTGGGAGGACATCAGTGTTAGGTGACTGATCTAAGGAATGTTGAAGTCCCAGAGACAGCACAAGCAGGGGAACAAAAAGCCAAGTGCCAAGGCCCTGTAGTCCAGCTTGCTTTCCCACACATGCATGCCCTCTGCCCTTTCCTTATCTCTAAGGCAGCTCAGGCTCAAACGAGTGGTAGCTTAATAGTGTATGGACTTTGGGGTCAGTACTACTAGTCCTGACTGCCTGCTGTTGACTCACTGCTAACATTAAATTCTTCAGGATTCTATTTTATCACTTGTAAAATGGGACTCAATATCTGCCTAATAGAGTTTTCAGAATTAAATGAAATAATGTGTGTGAAGTACTTAGTGCACTCACAGTCAGTGCCGAGAAAGCAGCCTTGAACATCCTGGCACTGGGCAGATGCTCACAGCCAGGCCATGTTCTCCTACTGGATAGAAACAATATTACAAGACTTCAGTGTCAGCCAAGGCCACTCTGAGATCATGATAAAGTGAGAAAAAACATGGTCACTGTGCAGCCCATAAAATATTAAACATTCCCCTCTCTAGGCCGAAATGAGTGACTGCTACTTCTTTACCAATTATGGTTTTTTCCCTGCTCTAGTCTGTCCTACCTAGAGAGAATATTTTTTGAGATGCCCAGTTGAAGGACTGCCGCCCCCCCCCTTCTGACAATACCCATTCTAGAGTGGGCTTCTGCTTCATTAGACCCACCCCTAAATTACCCAAGCATGTCCCAATCCTATAATAAGTTCCTTCTGACAACCTCACACTGAGAAGTTCCATGGTTTTTCTAAGGTATGAGTTCTCCCTCGATGAAGTGAGCAGGGAACCCAGCTTATTCAAGCACAGGTGTGTTCCTGTTGGTCTTGGCTGAAGAACATCAAAGTGCTCAGTTAGACATAATTATTATCTTGGGAGTTCACTTCTCTTCCTCTTCTGATGCTGAAATGTGTTTACAAAACATAAACATTGAATTTCCCATTGGTGTTAAATTGGAAAATCCAAAATTAACCTATACTAAACTGATGACATTATGAGTTGGCTTCATGAAAAACAGAATAATCTTGGCAGTATTTTTTTTCTTCTTTACAGACAGAGTCTAGCTCTGTCTCCCAAGCTGGGGTGCAGTGGCATGATCATGGCCCACTGCAGCCTTGAACTCCTGGGCTCGAGTGGTCCTCCTGCCTCAGACTCCTGAATAGCTAGGATCATAGGCACATGCCACCATACCCAGGGTTTTTGTTTTTGTTTTTGTTTTGTAGATATGAGGTCTCATTATGTTGCCCAGGCTGGTCTCAGACTCCTGACCTCAAGCAGTCCTCCAGCCTCAGCCTCCCAAAGGCCTGTGATTACAGGTGTGAACCACTGCACCCGGCCCTTGGTGGTATGTTTAATCTCCTCTGGGATCACTGAGTGCTGGCTAAAAAGGAATATCAAGGTGTTACAGAATACCTTTTCCTTTATCTAGAATTCTCTGCACAGTAAGTACAAGGTTGTTATTTGTCTCATAATCACTTGGCCCTTGTTAGTTCAGCATGTCCCAGATTTGATATGATACAAAGTTTTAGTCTTGTTTTTATAAACGCTCACTCCTGATCCAAGTACAATGAAAGTCACATAGGGCTGTAGGGACATGTTGGTCCCTAGGAGCAGGAAGAGAGGCAGTGACTATGTGGTGTTATGAAGGGGCATCTGGAGCAACTGTTTATGAACTGCTACCAGGCCCCCTTTTCTCTCTCATCATATCCACTAGAAGATTGTTAAGATTCTTTCTTATGCTAAAATTCCAGCAGCCTAATACTATATTTTAAGACCGTTGCTCTAACAGGCTTCCATTCTATTTTTCTTTGCCCTACAACATGGAATAAATTCAGCAAATCTTTTCTGAGCACCTACTATAAACAAGTGACAGTATCGGGCACTATGGAGACCAGAATGATGAGTAAGACATGTCCTCGCCCTAAAAGAGCTGGAGAGTAGAGAGTAGGGTGACATCAGGATACAAATGAACAGGTTCATGCAGGATGTGGAAATGAGTTTGGGAGGGAGGTGCCTGGGTAGAAGGAACCTGAGGGAGGGAAGTTGCCATTTAAGGGTTGCCAGCTGCTTCTCTATTTGGAAACAGTAAATCATCTTGCTGCAAACATTCTCTATTCTAGAAAGACTTATGTAGATGGCTCCTCTTAGTGGTGTAAATAAAAGGAAAGATGGCAGCTATTGTCCTGGGGGAGGGTGTAACAGAACTCTGGTCTGACAAAGGCTGCCCTTTGGAGGATCAGGAGTATGAAAAGCTGTTAAAGAATAATGCTTTAAATATATCATGTGTATTTAAATATATCATGACCCTCAAACAAACGTAAGATGCACATTTGTCAAAATTTTATTTAACTCCCTAATTAATGAGGGAACCAGTAAGATGTTGCAATGAGTTCAAAGGCAAATTCAAAGTATCACACATATATAGGTCAACCATGAATGCTAAAATGAATTTAGAAAGAGATGCAAAACTGGCTTCTTTTGAAAAGAAGGGGAATCAATTGTCCTTACACAGATTTTACATTTACATTCCTATCAGTTGTCTACAAATCAGAGTTATAAAATTGTTCAAAGACAATGAAAGTCACAGAGGTCCCATAGAATCAGATAATCCAGAAAGGTGTGCTAGATAAAAATAAAGACACTCAGTAATCTTTCGGTTCATTTTAAAGTCTTAAACAATTTTTCCTCGCAAATCTCTTTGGGACACTGATATTGTCCTAATAGAATTCTACTGAGAGAGAAAGGCATTAAGGGCCCCAAAAGGAAGTCTCCTTTATTATTATTATTATTATTATACTTTAAGTTTTAGGGTACATGTGCACAATGTGCAGGTTAGTTACATATGTATACATGTGCCATGCTGGTGTGCTGCACCCATTAACTCGTCATTTAGCATTAGGTATATCTCCTAATGCTATCCCTCCCCCCTCCCCCCACCCCACAACAGTCCCCGGAGTGTGATGTTCCCCTTCCTGTGTCCATGTGTTCTCATTGTTCGATTCCCATCTATGAGTGAGAACAGGCAGTGTTTGGTTTTTTGTCCTTGTGATAGTTTACTGAGAATGATGATTTCCAATTCTATCCATGTCCCTACAAAGGACATGAACTCATCATTTTTTATGGCTGCATAGTATTCCATGGTGTATATGTGCCACATTTTCTTAATCCAGTCTATCATTGTTGGACATTTGGGTTGGTTCCAAGTCTTTGCTATTGTGAATAGTGCCGCAATAAACATACGTGTGCATGTGTCTTTATAGCAGCATGATTTATAGTCCTTTGGGTATATACCCAGCAATGGGATGGCTGGGTCAAATGGTATTTCTAGTTCTAGATTCCTGAGGAATCGCCACACTGACTTCCACAATGGTTGAACTAGTTTACAGTCCTACCAACAGTGTAAAAGTGTTCCTATTTCTCCACATCCTCTCCAGCACCTGTTGTTTCCTGACTTTTTAATGATCACCATTCTAACTGGTGTGAGATGGTATCTCATTGTGGTTTTGATTTGCAATTCTCTGATGGCCAGTGATGATGAGCATTTTTTCATGTGTCTTTTTGCTGCATAAATGTCTTCTTCTGACAAGTGTCTGTTCATATCCTTTGCCCACTTTTTGATGGGGTTGTTTATTTTTTTCTTGTAAATTTGTTTGAGTTCATTGTAGATTCTGGATATTAGCCCTTTGTCAGATGAGGAGGTTGCGAAAATTTTCTCCCATTTGGCAAGAGGTGAGCCAGGCTCCGCACTAGCATCCAGAGGGCTGGTCCTGGCGTGTGGCCAAAGCTGTCCCTCTACTCCTAAGCCCCATAGCATGGTGGACATGCTGCAGGGACCATGACAGAGTATCTGAGTGCAAGCCCAGGACTTGGAATGTTGGAGGCCAAACAAGAGGCCTGTGCACTTACCTTGGCCGGCAAGGGCATCACTACGGCAGTGGACAAGAACCCAGTGACTGTACCACATGGATTTTCAGTGGTGGTACTAGTAGTAGCTGAAAATTGAATCCCTAAAAGACCAGTTAGATTTTCTAGTTCTTCAGCTTTATGGGGTATTTGGAAGTGGTTCCCTGGAGTCTGAAATTTCAGGGGAAGCAGAATTCTGAGAAACCGCATTGTTTAAAAAGCAGGTAGGGAATTGAGTTTGGCAATTTCTTATACAAGAGTTTCAAGAGAGTGGTGGTTATGGAAGCCAGATTGTAAACGGTTGAAGAATGGGTGGGAGGTTAAAAAATGATGGCAATGACTGAAAGTAATAATAATACAGCAAATTCCATTTTCTATCTGTTTAAAGCACTTGGAACTGGTTATTGTTTAGTTAATTGAAAAAATAGCTAGAGCATGGAATCGTAAGAAAATCTCATAAATAATTTTAGGCATATTTAGATTTAAAACACATAATTGTATGTACAGCCATCAGTCAATTGATATTCTACAGACAAAGCCTTTTATTTAAGTATAAGTCTTTGATTAGAGTTCTGTGTTATGTTTCTTGAATAAACCACACTAATAAATCATTTTGTGTGAAGACTCTCCCTAGAGCTTTATAATTTTCACCAATCTTTTATAAAGTTTTGCCAATATCTAATTTTGTAGCAATTCTTTTTAGCAATTCACTTTTATCAAGTCTTTTGAAAACATTAACAAAGCATGCAAAAGAAGTTTCACAAAAAGCACTTTTGCACTTATAGGTCATTGGTTTAGTATTATGTGATTATAACAATAAGTACAGCACAAATAAACAGGTTTTGGGCCAATTGCAATTCAAAGGGCGGGAACCGACATGTCCAGATACTTAGCATGCCATGGGCATGTCAAAAGTGGCTGTATATTTTAAGAGGGAATGGAGAGTTGGGTTGAATTAGATGGATGGGTTAGGTAGAAGGTAGTTAAGAGAGCTTCTATGCAACAGAAAACATTGATTGTATTCTTAATTGGTCTAACCTTTTAAGTGTTGCTTTAGCCTAATCTCAATTCATCTTTTCAGCAACCAATGAAGTGAACACTATTATTATCTTCATTTTAGAAATGAGACAATTAAAGCACAAAAAGGCTAAATCATTCATCCAGAGACACACCAAGCTAATAAGTACAAGTAACAGAATTTAAACACAAAGCTAGTGTTTTTAACAGCTTCTGCACAAAATTCTCTTTTGGGAATTTTGAGGGTGAGCAGGAGCAGGTATGAAAGGGGATAGCCTCAGGAATGTAATTTATACCAACCGTTTTGTTTCTTGGGAATAGCACTGATTTTCCTTTGGGATAACACCCCTCTCTTGCTCTGAGGTCTACATTAAATAGAATTCATCACCCACCTGAGCTCCGGGAGAGAACATATGACCCGGAAATGGCCAATGAAAGTGCTTTATTCCCCTAACCACAGTGATTGGCTGAAAGGTGAGCACATGGCTCAATTTTGGCCAATGAGGGCCAGGCCTAGGACTCTTCCTAGTAACGTTGGGAAAGAAGAGTACTTTTGTATCCCTATTCTCCTACCCCTCTCCCCCAGGATCACTAGCTAGGGACCATGAAATCCTGTCTGAACATGAAGCTTACAAAGGCAAGCAGGGACTAGAGGTGAAAAGAAGACCAGTAACATACCAGTTTTTCAGCTTCTGGTTCCAACCAGCTCCAGTTCCAGTCTGGAACTCTACCAGACCAATTCCTCATGATGTACAAAACTGAGTTTAAAATCCAGTTTCTATTCTTAAGGTGCAGGTAGCTGAAGTCAGGTCTCATGGATATGTTAAACTTATATCAAACAAAAAAAATTTAAAAATGTGTTTTCTGGCCCAGCGCAGTGGCTCACGCCTGTAGTTCCAACACTTTGGAAGGCTGAGGCAGGTGGATCACTTGAGTCCAGGAGTTCGAGACCAGCCTGGGCAACATAGTAAGACCCTGTCTCTACGAAAAATACAAAAATTACCAGGGCGTGGTGGTATGCACTTATAGTACCAGCTGCTTGGGAGGCTGAGGCAGGAGGATCACTTGAGCCCAGGGAAGTCGAGGCTGCAGTGAGCTGAGATCACGCTGTTGACTTCCTAGAACTGAATCAAAAGAAAAACCCCACCTCTCCACACCCAAGTAACAAAAGGATCAGAGGCTACTCCCTTTGCACTGCATGGTAGATGATAAATGAAAAGTACCTCCAATTGGTCCCTTCCCACAACCAATCAGACTACCCAATTCTTCATGTGTAACATTGTAATTTCACTTCAGCCTCTGACTGGTCACCTCCCATGACCAATCAGTCTGGTCGTGGGCCACTCCTTCATTTACATAGGGTGTAAACAAGTAACCAATGGGAAACCTCTAGAGAGAATTTAAACCCCAGAAAATTCTGTAACCAGCCTCTTCAGCCGCTTGCTGGAGCAGGCTCCCACTCCATGGAATGTACTTTTGTTTTAGTAAATCTGTGCTTTCGTTGCTTCATTCTTTCATTGTGCTTTGTTTGTGTGTTTTGTCCAATTCTTCGTTCCAAACACCAAGAACCTGGACAACTCATAGTCAAGACCCTCCACCAGTAAAAGGGAACAACTGCACTCCCCCCAGGCAACAGATTGAGATCCTGTCTGATTAAAAAAAAAAAAAAAGTATTTTTCTACTCCAATGTGCTGTGTCTATTGGTCTATACTTACCTCCCTTTTTCTCTTAGACTTCCCATTGTTCCTGTTTTACTCCTCTGACCCACTACTAATGGCTAATTAAAATGTTTTTCCCAGTCTAGAAATGGATTTCCTGTCTAAGTCTACAGAAAGACATGCGTGCAGAAAAGCACAAGCGTTTTAGCCGTGAACCTCTTTTCAAATGAAATCTTACCTGGAATTCTAAGATACAAAATTGTAGTTTTTCAGGTTGAAGTTGGTGCAGAGGACCTGAGGAGCACAATCCAACTCCAGCTGTGGCAACTCTGTTTGTTATCTGACAAACTCTCAGATGTATAATATAGGATGGTGACTCTTGACAAAGCACAGAATAGAATTTTGACAAGCCTAATGATTTTTGAAAACTCTTTGTCAAATCTTGTCATATACTATGAGGATCCATCAAAATGACAATCTGCACACCCTGCCAACATGACTAATTCCTTAAAACAATGAGAAAACTCATTACTTTGAAAGAAAGAAGAAAATGTAGAAAGAGATGTTTAGCATCCTCTCTCTTTTAACAATTATGTGGCTTATAAAACAGACAATAGATATACAGCCAACATTGCGATTTAATTAGGGCAATAGTTTCAAAATGACTCTATCAGAAACTAGAGAAGGGAATATCTTTGGAGAGCCTGAGCCTGTGTTTCAAACCACTGCAGCAGCAGAGCAACTAAGAAAAGAATAATAAACGGTTGTGATATTTAAGGGTGGACACTTTTAAGCAGTAAATAAACAAAAATTATCGTTATCACCATCATCATCATCAAATCTGACACTTTGAGCACGAAGCCTGTGTTGGACACTGTGCTAAATATGCTGTGTGCACCCCCTCATTTCATCCTGACAGCCCTCTGAGGGTGATACTGATATTATCTCTGAGAGATTAAGTGGCTTGCTCAGAGTCACATAGCTGATAAGTGGCAAAGCTGGGGCCAGACCTCAAGTCCATCTGTCTCCCAAGTTCTTTAATACAACTGAAGCTTGTAAGTATTGGAATGTGAGGAGCCCAAAATCCCAAGCACAGATCCATAGCCAGGGGTTCCAGTACTCACTGGAATTTGGTCTCCCCCTCCCTACTTCACTCACCGAAAAAGGATGACTACAGATGTGAACTTTCACAAGTCTGGGATTCATGACACCTTATGTGGAACTGATTAGTTCAAAGACCTCAAGCAGAGAGTCTCTCCTTTATTTTCTCAGTAGGTCTGTGAGTTAAGGAGAGGAAGGTTTTATTATTGCTGACATCCATCCTAAAGAAGAAAAAACAGGCACAGAAGATGGTGAAACTTTTCAGGGTCATACAGGGAATCCTTATGACAGCAAGTCTTTCTGTAATAAACTATTGGCTTGCATGCTAGAAGGGACTTGTGGCCCCAGAAGCAAAGCCTAGACCCTGGCCTTCCTCCTTCTCACCTTCCTACTAAAGTCAGGGGCCTGAATGGGACCTTAAAAACAGGATCAAAATAGCTAATATTTATTAAGTTTTACTCTGTGCTTTATGTACATTACATCATTCATACCTCTCTGAAACCTTCTGCAGTAGGTACTATGTCCTCCAGGTAAGAAGAAAGGAAAATAGAGATTCAGCGTGGTTAGGAAGCTTGCTCAGGATGACACAGCTAGCTGGAAACAGAGCTGGAATTTGAATTTGGCCAGCCTTGCTTCTAATTTATACTCTTAACCTGGCACAAATCAGCCATGTCCAATGTACAAAAGGGTTATGTTTTAATTTGTTTGCTTAGAATTGGAACATGTTTTCTCTTATAAACAATTTTTAAATGGTAGGGCTCCCAGATCAGCCCACAGAGGCCTATTTATGCCTTGATGTTGTTCAAATTCACCTATTTGCAGAAAAAAATAGCAGGAACAAGATGTTTCAATTGATGATAATGAAAGTAAATATGAAAGCAAATACAATGAATAAGGAACATTTTAAAAATCTTAAATATCTATGTTGGGAAACTCCAAAATCACTAGAAGAGGTAAATGAAAATTTTGGGAAAGCTTCTGAAAATTTTTCCCAACCAATTTCAAGTACTTTAGAGGTGATTACTGCTGGCCATTTGTTATGAATTTCCTCTTTTCCGATCCAGATGCAACAGCATTAGTCATACACTCATCAAAAATATAAAGGCTGTTGTCTTTCAGTTTTGCACCCAAAAAGAGAGGTGCGTGATATAAAGAAAATGCATGAACTTTGAAACCCAGCAGACAGGGATTAAAAATCAAAATTCTGACAGATAGAGAAGCAATCAGAAAATCTCAGTCCCACTTTAGCAGGGCTTAAGTGAGTCTGTAAGTGGAAAGCTATAAGTTTGGGTTGTCTGGTCATTCCTCTGAACAGAATAGGGTATAAGACCTTGGGTATCACACGTACAGACAGTTCGAAGAATTGGGGTGACTAAGTAAAAAGGCTAAAATTAAGAAAGATTAAAATGTATCATGAGAAACAAAACATTGAAATGAGTTAGGAGAAATTGCATGTACAAAAATCAACTCTGGTTCCAGGCTTGAAAGAAATCATTCTACGAACAAAGTAGGTATACTAATGAATGCCCAGAGGAGACCCACTGAACTGGTAGCTTTTCAAGATATCCCTCGCTGCAGTCAGGCCATAGGAGTGTAGGATAAGAAGAGACTGTAAAAAGTGAACCAGTACATTTCTTGGTTCTGGCTCAAACTGCCCTTACATCAAACCAGAAACCAAACCTTGGTCCTTTACTTAAAAATACCCAGATGATATTGCAAAACCTTTCTCAAGAACAACTGTTAGAAAGTGACATTCTTTTGAAAACTCAATAACCATCAACTTTTGTTAAATATTTTGCCTTCTTTTAGTTTATACTCTTGCCAATTGGACCTTTAGTAATGTTGACTGGAAGATTGATTGACTTTAAAATCCAAATCAAATTCTGAATCCTAACATTTTACATCCAACCAAATGCAGCTATTATCCATCCTTTTTTAATACCAAAAAGTTTTTTTAATACAAGATTTTTCTCAGTATGTCAATAATATCTCAGTAAAAAAAGAAAGACCTGTAAAATTTCAGTATCTTTTGTATGAAAGGTCACTTTTTTAAAAAAGGTGTTATTTTTCCATTTGAAAAATAAGCACACTGGTCAATCAACAGTTTATATCTGGTCCTTTTAGAGATTTTGCAAAACAATGAAGATTTTCTTTTTTTGACAACATTTTTCTTTCCATAAAACAATTATTGTTCAGGGGCAGATTTCATTGTTTTAGCAGTGGAGTAAGCCACAGCCCCAAACTGAGAGGAGAACGTGGAGGTCCTTGAGGCATCTTGAGATAAACAGTTCCCTTGGAAAGCTACAGCACCTTCTGTTTCCTCATCTCCACTGCTAGGAGAGGAGAGTCACTCTCCCACTAGTGAAAAAGCCAGACTTGGGTCTTGTTTATAGGACCAAATCATAGCCTAAGTAAGAGCAGGGAGAGCCAGGAAGCCATCTGACAGCTACAGAAGTTTTCTCTTGTATTACTTTCTTGAAAGTTTCTTAAAGCCCAGGGAATGCCAATCTAGATCCTGTTTACATTTTATATGCTCAATAACGGGGTGATGATCTGATATAAAAATCAGTCTTTTACAGTGTGGTCGGTAATATGTAGCCCTCTCGGGTCTAAGTGAGCCTTGCTAAAGCTACATTCAATGAGCGCAGTCTCTTATCTCACTACTCCAAGAAATATGTGTGTGTGTCTTTATGTGTACACACAAACACAGAAACACACACAGACTCACACGCATATATATAAATTGAAACTATGTGCCAGGGTTACTTGACACACATTTTTTAGTTGATGTTCACAGCCACCTCATAAGCTGGTGTTAATTCTTAAGCTTTAATACCGAGTCTTAAGAAAGGTTACAAATTTGCTGAAGATCTTATAGCTGGTAATGGTGGGGCTGGGATAGGAACCAGATGAACCTGGATGATTGCAGTGGTTAATGTAGCAGCTGTTACCAGTGTCCTGCTTACAGTCTTCACCGACGCTCCAGCTGATGACACAGCTCCCAGTGTGGGCCTCTAGGGCCTGGAGGCTCTTTTTGGAACCATGGAAAGCTATTCTAACTGACATATGCTTGTGCAGAGAAGCACCAGGAAATGACCACAGCCTGTCTGCACTCCAATAGCCCTCCAAATGTATCTCCCCTAGCCACTTGCTACTCAGGAAGAATTATTCTGAGATGTGTTTTTTACGCCATTTTTTAGAACATCCCTGTGAAATTACATTTCAATTGCCTACAGCAGTAGTTGGTTTAATAATGGAGCCTTGGCCAGGCACAGTGGCTCACACCTGTAATCCCAACACTTTGGGAGGCCGAGGCGGGTGGATCACCTGAGGTCAGGAGTTCAAGACCAGCCTGACCAACATGGTGAAACCCCATCTCTACTAAAAAATACAAAAATTAGACGGGCATGGTGGCAGGCGCCTGTAATCCCAGCTATTCTGGAGGCTGAGGCAGGAGAATCACTTGAACCTGGGAGGCAGAGGTTGCAGTGAGCCGAGATCGCGCCAATGCACTCCAGCCTGGGGTGACAGAGCAAGACTCTGTCTCAAAAATAATAATAAGAAGAATAAGAATAAGAATAAGAATAAAATAATGGAGGCTTTACTAGCTTCCTTTCCTGTGTCACTTCCCCGTTTCCTACCAGTATTCCCTGCACTTCCCAAATAAACGACTTATACTCAAATTATTGTCTCAGGGTCTGGTTTGGGAAGAACCCAAACTGAGACAGTCACACAACCCAGTTCAGATATATAGATCCATAACTATGGCTTTCCAAAGATTTCCTTTTGGGGTTTTACAAAGGCCACAAAATGAGGAGTGCAATTGAACACAATAGAAGGGAGAACTATATACATTTTATTATTCAGTTAATACAGTTCTATCACAAACCACCACTTGTTGGGGTCTGACTATCATTTTCCTATTCCCTCCTCACAGAGGAAGTGCAACCCTAAGAAAAGAACCCTAAGGAAAGGATGGTCAAGATAAGTCTTTTTCTTCTGGTCTTTGGGCTGGAATCATTTGTTCTGCGGATGTTCTGTGTCTACCACTCTGACATGCTGGGATGGGACTTCCTGCATGGGACTACTTATTCCAGATCTCTGCTCCATGGACTTTTTCAAGCTTTAATTTAAAGGGTTTTTAAAACAGAATTTATTTTTTAGAGTAGCTTTAGCTTCACAGCAAAATTGAATAGAAAGTACAAAGAGCTCCCATATAGTCTCTGCCCCCCACAACACAGCCTCCCACACTATCAACACCCGCACACTGGAGTGGCTACATTTATTACAATGGATGAGCCTACATTGTCATCTCATTATTGCCCAAAGTCCATAGTTGACACTCTTGGTGTACATTCTATGAGTATTGGCAAATGTATAACGACATGTATCTACCATTATAGTATCATACAGGACAGTTTGGATTCCCTAAAATTTCTGTGCGTTCTGCCTCTTTATTCCTCCCTCCTCGCAACCCTTGGCAACCACTGGTACTTTCACTCTCTTCATAGTTCTGCCATTTCCAGAATGTCACATAGGTGGACTCATACAGTATATAGCCTTTTTCAGATGGGCGTTTTCACTTTATAATATTCTTTGAAGTTTCCTCCAAGTCTACTCATGGCTGGATAGTTCATTTCCTTCAAGCGTTGAATTATAGTTCATTGTCTAAATGTACCCTGGTTTATTTATCCATTCGCCTACTGAAAGACACCTCAGTTGCTTCCAAGTTTTGTCAATTATTATTAAAGCTGCTATTAACATCCACGTGCAGGTTTTTGTGTGGATATAAGTTTTTAATTCATTTGGGTCAATACTAAGGAGCACAATTGCTGCATCATATGGTAAGAGTATACATAGTTTTGTAAGAAACAGCCAAATTGTCTTCCAAAGTGGCTGTACCATTTTGCATTCCCACCAGCAATGGATGAGAGTTCCTGTTGTTCTACATCCTTTCCAGCATTTTGTGTTGTCCGCATTTTGCATTTTGGCCATTCTGATAGGTGTGTAGTGGTATCTTATTGTTGTTCATATTTCGGCACCATTTTTTACATCACTTACATTGCTGAGGAAGGCTAGCCCTACAAAGTGTCAACGATGTACTACTTATCCCAGAGGGGGTGGCTTCTCTCTCTATTTGCTTGAGGACACAGCTCTTGCAGCTCCCCTGTGGAGGGGAAGGGATCCAATTCTATTACTTTTGGGAAACAGTGTCACTTGCTGGTGGGACTCATGAAAGGTCCCTCTCTGGGGGCTGGTTCTGTAACACTTCCAGGTAATGTCACTGACTACTTCCTGGGACCACAGAAGTTACTGTTCAGGGCTTTCTTACCCATTTCATTTTTAGTCCCTTTCTTGCTAAGCATGCCATGAAGGCCAGTGGTTTTCAATCTCATTTGTCTTGATCATTTGACAAATAATCAAGTTTTCTAACGATTTACACTTTGTTCTTAAGTTTAAAAAGATGCAAGATTATCTTTATAACTTTATATTTCACCTGTTTTCCAAAACGCTTTCTTTAGTATGAGGGAAAGGGATGGAGTAAAGCCAAATGGGAGGAACCTAGAAATTTCCATAGCACATGGGAGTGTCATGGGGAGAATTCTGAGAACCTCTGGGGCAGGCTTTTGTCTTACTGGGCAGTGCTCAGCATTTGGAAAAGCTGATGATGAGGTGGGGGCAAGAGGTGGATGTGAATGCAGAGGCTTAAAGTTTTACCAAGCAATGACCTAATAGCAATAATTTTTTTTTTTTTGAGACAGAGTCTCACTCTATCCCCCAGGCTGAAGTGCAGTGGTGCGATCATGGCTCACTGAAGTTTCTATCTCCTGGTCTCAAGTCATCCTCCCACCTCAGCCTCCTGAGTAGCTGCAACTACAAGCGCACACCACCACACCCAGCTAATTTTTTGTATTTTGTGTAGAGACATGGTTTCATCATGTTGCCCAGGCTGATCTCCAACTCCTGGGCTCAAGTGATCCTCCCACCTCCGTCTCCCAAAGTGCTGGAATTACAGGCATGAGCCACCGTGCCCACCTGCTAGCCACTATTCTAAGAGCTTTGTATGTATGATTGTATTTAGTACTCAAAACAGTAGCAGGTACTTTTACTATCACCTCCATTTTGCAGAGAGTTTAAAGAACTTACCTGTAGCTCCAGTGGTGCAATCAGTTAGTATATGGTACTCTTAAGAACTTACCAGACAGCACAGAGATACGGACTGAATCTAGCCAGGCTGATCCAGGTTCTGTGTTCCTCAATGTGCCACATCACCTTGATGCTGAGACTCATCTGAGACTTTCTTAGTGGCATTTCCTCACCCCACGCCGCCTCCTCTGTTAATAGCATGATATTATTAGGTTGGCACAAAAGTAATTGAGACTTTTGCCATAAAAGTAATGTATCCATTCACCTACTGAAAGACATCTTGGTTTCTTCCAACTTTTGTTAATTATTATTAAAGCTGCTATTAACATCCATGTGCAGGTTTTTGTGTGGACATAAGTTTTTAATTCATTTGGGTCAATACCAAGGAGCACAATTGCTGGATCATATGGTAAAAGTACGTGTATTTCTGTAAGAAACAGCCAAACTGTCTTCCAAAGTGGCTGTATCATTTTGCATTCCCACCAGCAATGAATGAGAGCTCCTGTTGCTCTACATCCTTGCCAGCATTTGGTGGTGTCAGCAAACCTGCTCTCCCCTCCATTCTATTAGATTGGTACAATTACTTTTGCAATTACTTTTTGCAATTACTTTTGCACCAACCTAATAGAATGGAGAGGAGGGCAAGTTTCCCAATGACTGTCCTCACTCACCCGTGTATTTATTCATTCATTTAACTGACAACTTCTGATCAAGCTCCAATTGTGTGCTGGGTACTCTGCTTAACCTTGAGAATACAGCAAGGAATGGGACAAAGTTCCTTCTACTCTCATAAGAAGTATATCTTTCATGTTGGAAACCAACAATAAACATATACATAAATATGGAAACTGTGATGGTGACAAGTGGCGGGAAGAGAAGAAACATACACAATAGAGAGTGTCTGGGAACTACTTTAGATTCAGTGGGCTGAGACCTGAGTCACAAGAAAGGCTTCATGAGAAGATCTAGGTTAAGAAAGCCCCAAACAGAAGGAAAGGGAGCCTACTGCGTGTGTTTGGAAACACAATAGGGTGGCATTGTTGGAGTGAAATAAGGGGGCCCGGGGCCCCACCAGGTACAGCCCTACAGGCCATGGAGAGGACCTTGGATTCTACAGCATGTGTAATGGGAACATGGGAGGGTTTGAGCAGGGGAGTTAGATGATCCACATACACCTCATTTTTTAAGGTTTTCGTTCCTTACAGGTGCAGTGGCTCACGCTTCTCATCCTAGCACTTTGGGAGGCCAAGGCAGGAGGATTACTTGAGGCCAGGAGTTTGAGACCAGCCTTGGCAACATAATGAGATCCTGCCTCTACACAAAGATTTAAAAATTAGCCAAGTGTAGTGTGTGTGCCTGTAGTGCCACCTACTCGGGTGGCTGAGATAGGAGGAGTGCTTGAGCCCAGGAGTTCGAGGCTGCAGTGAGCTATGACCACGCCACTACTCTCCAGCCTAGGTAACATAGCAAGACTTAGTCTTGCAGAAAGATAAAAAAAGTTTTCATTCCCTGATTTCACCTGTAGCAGGAGTTGCCAGCTGGTTGACAGAGACCTTTCTGCCTGTGTTAGTGTTTCGTGTCTTATTCAGTTGATCTTCAAATGGGTAGCTGCCACCATATTCCTTTTCCTACTGATTTCCAGGATTCCCAGCTAGGCAGAATCTGAGTGGTCCAACTCTCAATCTGTACACTGCTCTTAGGGCCCCAGAGAGCCACAAATAGACTGCAAAGCTGTCAGCCAGCCCCTAGGTTGTGCCCAAATTCTGTCTGGCCTGTGTGTATGTCGGCGTGTGGAGAGGTTGCTCTGCATTCCCCAGATACCCAAAGAGATCCCTAAGCCACAGAAACATTAAATCCACTGCTCATCTGCATGAGAAAAATGCAATGAGGGAGAACCCCTGACAAACAACTCTACTTGCAAAAGTAACACCTGGGATCATATCGAGTCCACATAAAATGCTTACAACTATCATATAGATTTTGGAGATGAATGTTAAGTGCTCGACAAATATTTGTTAAATGAATAAATGAGAAATTATCCAGCTCCCCATCCCCTGCATATTTCATGGTTGAGAAAACTGAAGCCCAGATGGGTTCCATATTTTGCCCAAAGTGACATATTTAGAATGTGGCAATGTTGAGCCTCAAGCCAAGATCTTTCAACTTCAATAACTGAACTCTCCACTTCAGTACACATCAGATTAAAGAACATATTAAGGAATATTTGCCACAAACGTAAATATCTTACTGGGATATTAGAATGCAATAATGGTAATAGCTAACATTTCCCTAGTACTCACAATGTGCCAGCCAATCACTTCATCCTCTCAGTAACCTCATGAGGTAGGCACTCTCATTACCCCCAATTTACAACGACGCCCCTGAGGCACAGAGTGGGTAAGTCAGTTATCCAACGTCACACAGAGTGGCAGTGGCAGTAGTCAAACCTTGGATCTGCATGCTCAATGCCACCCAGCCCCTCAGACTGAGTTTGTTACTTTGCAACCTCTTATACTGGAAACCTGGGCACAGCTTGGGTACAGGAAGACCCTAGCCAGGAGGTTGATGGGTTCTTAGCAGTCAAAAACAAAAGTTCCCAGGATGTGAAAGTCCAAAACACTGAGAAAACCCTACCTGACTTGTGAAATGAAAACCCTTTCCTTAAGAATGTAAAAGCAGAGGGAATTAACAGTACAAGTAAAAGGATAGAGAAAAAGCATTAAGCTCTCTAGAATACAAAACCAGTGGGCAATAAGACGTTTTACAAATTGAAGATGGCAGTTATTTATGTCTGTGAGACTTTTGTGGCATTTTCTTGACAGTCACATAATGAAATTATTTCAAAATGGGCCCTTCAAGTTTATTAGCATTAAAAAAAAACCCCTCCCCAACATGGAACAAAGAAGCCTAAAGCGGCTGCTACTTTTACATCATTTTATTTTGCCCTTATTTTTCCTGCTGAGAGTAGCATATTTTGTATACGGACCTTGTATTTTTCTCTTGTATGTACTCCAAGTTTCTCCGAGGCTCCCAAAGCAACCCCTGGAAGGTACATGTCACATGCTGGATGGTACATGTCACATGTCGCAGACTCAGCTGTACTACAGATGGCTGGATAGGTTTTCTCTTCTTCCCTGGATTCTGATGAACTAGAGTTACTTTGTTTTCTTTTAGGAAGCAATGCCTTCAAAATATTTTGCATCCAGTTTTGACATATGATGGCTTCCATATTTATAATTTTAGTTTTGTAACAGCACTGTCCCTGTTGTTTAAATTGTTATCCAAAGGCATGATGAAAGACATCAAGACTTGTCACAGTCAACTCTAAGTTTTCTCAGGTTGTACATGTGAGCTTATATGTACATTGGAGCAAAATAGAAAACAAAGTGTAATTTGAAACCTTATATGTACGTAGTGTAGGAAATAACTATATAGTTATATATATGCAAAAGTCCATATGCAAAAGAGGTTTAGTAACTGAGGGAACCAAACGTTCATAGGAATGAGAAAATCTGAGCTGCTTCTATAATAATGCCCCATGGCTTTGCTAGGCTACTTAACTTCATAGTTTCATTTCCCCATTTGTAATACTAAACTAGGTGAGATTGCTTTTATTGCCATTATTAAAGCTGTTTTTCAGGATCTCTGGTTACTCTCCTAATGAGATTTTTAGAGTTATTTTAGCATAAATTTCATATCAGGCATACATTAGCTTATTCCACAGTACAGTATGTTTAACCTGTTTCTAAAAATGGGACCCTCTGCCCATTAACCTTATGCTAGATTTGTTCTTCAACAGGAAAAGTATCCAATATTTCAGAGGAAAAATTTGGACTATAGCAATAAATGGCCTAGCCATGTTTTACTATTGAAATTAAAAAATAACCATTGTATTCCATTCTTTTTTTTCTGGTTCCTTGGGTGCACATAGATGGGAGGAGGCAAAGTACTTTCCCTCTCCATTTTTTCCTAATTCTTTGCTTGAATCCACATATTTGAGCCAAGAACCTCTTGCCTATAGCTGGGAATGCACCCAGCAGTTGATTTTTGGCTTGTATCTGCTTGTTTCTAAGAAAGTCCTCTTTATTCACCAAGGTCCCAAACAAAAGCTGTTCTCTGTTAGACCTTTCCAGACCATCCACCGTGACCCTCCAGAAAGTCACTCATCCCTTCCCCCATATCCAATAATACTTTGAAACTACCACTGGTACAGCACAGAAGCCATTATACCACTTTTATTTAGGGAAGAACTGTTCCTTATTTATCTTTGCATTCCCAATGCCTAGATTTATTGCATATGTATCAGTGTCAGGCATAATGCTAAGTCATGTTATTATTGACTGAAAAGAATACAGTGAGGTTTTAGGGACCTCACTTAAATTCCTTGAATGTAATGAATATAATAAGGAGAAGTGGATGAGTTTGTGCAGCAAAGACTGATTTCAATATTCATTTTCCATTTCCTCCATTGTAATAGAACTCCTGGTTTCTGGCTGGACACAGGGCAATGCCAAGATAAAGACTGAATTTCCCAACCTTCTTTGCAGCTAGGTATGGCCATGTGAGTCAGTTCGGTCCAATGGGATATAAGTAAAAGTCTCATATGGCAGCTTCTGAAATCCTCCTTAAAAGAGATCTGGCAAATACCGTTTACTATTTCTTCCTTGCCCCTTTCTACTTTCTGCCTGGATTGTAGATTCAATGGCTGGAGCTGAGCAGCCTTCTTGGGCCATGATGTAACCTATGGAGGTTATATGATGGAGCTTCGGGATAGAAGGAGCCTAGATCCCTGAGGACCTCATGAAGAAAAGCTACCACATTAGCCCTAGATTGACAATTCTGGACTTTTACGTGAGAGAGAAAATCTGTGTGTTTAAGCCATGGTTATCCAGGGAGTAGGGAAGGGGGCTGTGCTACTAACATTGAACCTAATCTTGATACTGGATTGGGTTTTTCTGCTTCTTAGACAAAGTGTTTTGTAACAATCTCAAGCAACAACAACAAAAACCTTCCCTCAAAGGTTTAGATGAGGCATCTGGAATCCTTAAGCTAGAAAACTAAATTTATTAATATCACTGATTGCCCTCCCCCTAATCTTGGGCAAAAGTTAGTAGGTTTTGTTATTGCATTCTTATTGTATGCCAGAAATGATAGTATGCTTCACAAGTATGATTTTATTTTATCCTTGTAAAAACCATATGAGGTAGGGACTTGTATCATCTTCACAGTAGAGATGCTAAGTAAACAGCTGTGAGTGATCAAACAGGCCCAAAGAAAGGGCCGACTTCCCTCCTAGTCCATGCATTAATCACTGCTGGACCCTCACTGCAGGGAGGGGCTAAGGAGAGACCCTTCCTCTGTCGGCGAGGGAGCTTTACTTGCAAATTCAGTGAGCAACAATGTGGCAAATGCCAGATCATCAGGGAATGGAATTCTGCTATCAACAAGGTGACCACTGTGTACACCCCCAGGAGAAGAAGGAACTGGTTTAGGAGCTTGTCTGCTGACATCTCTATAGAGAGTCAGAGGCTAGTGAAACTCACCTCTTATGAGGAAGTCAAGGAAGGACGATGGGTCAGGAGAGAACATGGGATGGATCAAGTGGAGTGCTGCAGCACAGGCAGAGGTTGGGGAGGTCTGCCCACAGCCTAAAATGACCTCAGCCATAGAACCAAAGTCATACATAATGACACAGGCACACAGAAACCATAGAGCCAGCTTCACATTTGAAGACTGGAGAGTGAAACACCCACAAATTCATATTTAATATGAAAAGCATTCAGGAAAAAAAGATGTATACATTTTGCTACCCTGACCTCAATAACAACCCCCCAATCATAATGAAAAAGTAATTCACTCCCTTTTTATCATCTATGGTATAAACACTCATTCATTCCAGAAATATGTATTGAGAGACCACTCTGTGCATGGGCTGTACCAAGCAGGGCCTGGGGCACACGGTGGAAGGAGGGCCTCCAGCACAGTGCAGTCAGGTGGGAACACCTGCCTATAAAGAGATCCTTATAGTGCAAGGGGCCACATGCCATATGGAGGTATGTAAGGGCTGGTTGAAGCTTAAATGAGAAGCATTCCACCTTGGGGTCAGGGAAGGTCTCCAAGGAAGATGATTAAGTAGGGTCTTGAGAGATGACTTTGACATCCCACAAAACAAAAAGAAAAAAAAGGAACTCATGCTGGTTAATATAGAGGAAACACCCTCTCCCTCATAGACAGCCTACAGTAGCTCCAGGGATAGCACTATTCATGTTAGAGAATCACAATTCATGCTTATAAAAATGGCCTTAACACACCAAGAATAGAATGTTACATTCTGTCTACTCTGTTTAATAAGGCTAAGAAGAACAAAGGCACTTTTCTCCCAAGATTTTCTGATCCTCCTCAAAAGTATTTTTTAAATAACAAACTGACAATTCAGTTATATGGGGAAAAAAACATTGTATTCCTAAAAATGCTACATCAAAGGAATCTTTTCACAAGAACACTCCTTCTCCACATATTTCCATTGCTCCCATTTTTCTTAATTAAATATTTTTAATGATTACAGGTACATAATAGGTATATGTATTCATGGGGTACATGTGATGTTCTGATTCAGGCATACAATGTGTAATAATCACATCAGGGTAATTGGGGTATCAAAGACTTTTCTTCAATTACATAGCATCCCAGAAAGCAAGATTCAGGTATAGAATCACATTTTCAGGGCAGTTCAGTGTGGTGGGCAAAGCACAGGCATCAGAGTCAGCTAGATCTGAGCCCAAATCCCAACGCCACCTCCAAACTTGTCATGTAAGCCTCTGTTTCCTAATACACACAATAAGAATAATGATACATGCCTTGCGTGGTTGTCGACCTCAATTATATAAGCACCTAACACAACATCTAACATACATTAGGCCTCAATGTATGGCAGTTATCATGGTCTATGATTGTGTTGCTGTTGCTGTTACTCTATTCCAAGCATTCCAAAATGTTGTACTAGATAGGCAAAATTGCTATAGAACAATTTTCCAGCAGAGATGGACAATCCTATCTGCCTCATTTGAATCTTCAGTGACCTTCTGGGTGAGCAGAGTGACTCACAGAGCTATGACTAAGAGCCAAGTCCTCCACGGTGTGTCAAAATCATGATTTAACTTTATTCAGGAATGAGAATTCCGTGAAAACTTATTTGTGGGTTGGGAATGATTTCAAGTGGTCATTAGATCCAGCAACCTACTCTCACTTCCAATATGTCAGAGCTCATGGGAGTCGTTTAAATTAATGAAGTGCAGTGAGTGGCTGAGGCTGTAGACATGGCCAGTCTAGCCTCTAACATACCCTGGAGGGACCCAAACTATTCAACAAAGGGATCTTCATGGAGTCCAAGCTATTCCACAGTGCCTAGGACTTAACAGAGGCTTGCCGAAAGTAATGATGACCCTCATGAAACTTCTTCACCTAAAACACATCTACAACTTGATTTTCTAAATCCTCAATAGTTTCTGAAGTGAGTTTGCTCAAACTTTCCAAAATATTTCTTCTTTTAGACATGATTAAGCCTGAAAAATTTCATCCTAGCCGGGAGAACGCTAGTGAAAAATAAACTATGTATGAGTAATGTACTTCTATAAAGGAGGCCTTCGTGACATTCTTCTCTACTGGAGAACACTTTGAAATTACATGAAGGCAGAAGGTTGATGGGTCCAGGGATGGGGAGAAAAAAGGGAGAGGATGGAAAACAGACCTATGTCATCAAGAATCCAAGCATCAAACAACAAATCTGTTCTCTCTGGTTACCCAGAGTTGAGCACTGTAACCAACTGCACTCCAAATGAGCCACGTGCAGTTTTGATGACCAGATATGGTAAGTTTTGCAAAGAAATAAACCTGAAATTTGTGAGAGAAGCTATTAAGTGAGGGGAAGAGATGGAAAATGGTTGATATGGTTTGGCTCTGTGTCCCCACCCAAATCTCATCTTGAATCGTATTCCCCATGTGTCAAGGGAGGGAGGTGATTGAATTATGGGGATGGTTTCCCCGATGCTATTCTCATGACAGTGAGTGAGTTTTCACAAGATCTGACGGTTTTATAAGTGTCTGGTATTTCCCCCGCTTGCACTTCTCTCTCCTACCACCATGTGAGGAAGGTCCTTGCTTCCTCTTTGCTTTCCACCAAGATTGTAAGTTTCCTGAGGCCTCCTCAGCCATGTGGAACTGTGAGTCAATTAAACCTCTTTTCTTTATAAATTACCCAGTCTCAGGCAGTTCTTTATAGCAGTGTGAGAACATACTAGCACAACAGTATTCAACCCGTAGTGGCTTTCTGAAGTCTAAGGAGGACCTCTGTGAGAATTTAGTGAGAAGTCTTGAGCCCTGGCCCAGGAGCTGGTGCAGCTCTTGCAGCAGCTAAGGGACTAATTTCATGTTCATTCTGTGTTGATCTCTGCAGTGGATGGAGGAAAAAAAAAAAAGATAACTCTGGCAAGACTGAGCATCCATCTTTTGGTATCTGAGAATGGAGCAAAGAAAGAGAATCCTGAGCAGGAGGTGGAAGGAGATAAAGTCTTAAAATATGCATGACTTGATCCGGTTACTCGTGGGAGGCACAGTGAGAAGGAGAGGAAGTGAAATGGCATTTACTGAGAGGCAACAAGAATGTAAGGTTATGGAAGGAAGGTATTCTGCCTGTCTTGTTCACCAATGTGTTCCCAGCTCCTAGCATAGATCCTGACATGCAGTAGACACTCAATAAATATTTGCTAAAGGAAGGAAGGATTGGCATGGCACAGGTCTCATTCCATACTGGGAATTCAGTGATTTTTTTTTTTGAGATGGAGTCTCACTCTGCTACCCAGACTGTAGTATAGTGGCACAATCATGGCTTACTGCAGCCTTGACATCCAGTGCTCAAGTGATACTCCCACCTCAGCCTCCCAAGTAGCTGGGACTACTGGCATGTGCCACCACATCCAGCTAACTTTTAAATATTTTATAGAGACAGGTCTCCCTATGTTGCCCAGGCTGGTCTAGAACCCCTGGCCTCAAGCAATCCTGCCACTTTGGCCTCCCAAAGTGCTTGGATTACAGGTGTGAACCACCATGCCTGGCCTCAGTGAATATTTTTGAAAGACTCGTTTAATTAATGAGTACCTACCGTATGCCAGGCATTGTTTCATTTCTCATTCCATTTACAAAAGTTTATTGAGTGAACTCCTATCATTTGCTAGATACTCTATTGGACACTGTAGTCAAAAAAGAAAAGAAACAGTTCCTGCCCTCGAGAAGCTTATAGTGCAATGGCAGTGAAATATCTAATGACCACAGGCTGCATCAAAGTGCAGGGAAACACAGAAGAGCATCCCAGTCTTTCTGGGAGAGCCGAGGCAGTCTACAGAGGAGGCAGCCTTCAAACAACTGAGACTTAGGATGAGCAGGTGCTTCCAGGCATTCCAGGCAATGAGAACGGTGAGAGAGAACTGCAAATAGATCATATCTGCAGAAGCAGAGATTTCTGTGGGGCAAAGAAGGTGGGAGAAAGGAAAGAAATGAGGCTTAGGCCTAATCACAAAAAGCTTAGTCTTTCGTTTGAAGCTGCGTGATATAGAAAATAGGAAAGAGGACCAGCTTTGTGGGCATGTGGCCTGTACACTTTACTGCATTAGGCCCCTGCACTCAGAAGGGCCCCATGCTTGGTTTAATGCTCTGCTGTCGACAGTCTTGAAATTCTTAATAATTGTATCTTAGAACTTGTGTTTCATTCGCTTGTCCTGGAGCATGAGCAGAGGAGATGTGTGCAGTATGCATGTTCACTTTTTCTCGCCAATTCATTTAAATATGTTCATGATGCCCCCGGGCACAGAATTCCACTGTACCTACTATGTGTGGGAGTTTGGCAAGACTCAAAGCAAGTACAAGGTACCAAGAAGTGTGTATCAAGAAGTGAAATAGTGTAAAACAGAGGGTTAGTTTGTGCAGCATTTCCACTGTTGTGGTAGGAATGAAATACAATGGGCTAAAAATACAAATTGCATGACTTCAGTGATTCCACATGTGCATTAAATGCTCTTATATTTTCATGTAAAACTGGCATTGCATAATATAAAGAGGAACAGTAAATGTTATATTAATAATTTATAATTCAAATTTTTCTTTACTTAGAACACTAAGTAATAGATAAAAACACCATGACAAGTTGAGACAGAAACTATGAAAAAGCAAAAATCTTTCTATTTCAATCCAGCTAATGACACTTTTCCCTTGCTTTCTGAACATTTTGCTCTGGGCCCCACAAACTATGTAGCTGGCCTTGATGAGGCACCACTAAAAAATGTTGGGCAGGGAAGAGACAGGACATGACTATCATTTTGGAAAAATAACTGTCACCAGAGTGTGGAAGTTACAGCAGGGGGAGAAAGATACGACCAGGAGCTAGAGGACCAGTCCTTGTGGGTAGCACAAGCTTGTGAGGTCTGTGCTGGAGCAGGGTCAGAGGGGCTGGAGAATGGGACAGATGTGCAAGGAATTAGCGGGCAGAGCCCTAGGGCTTGAGAATTTATGGCAAGTGGGAGATAAGCCAGAGGAAAGAATACAGCTTGGCTCCCAGATTTCTGGCTTCAGCCCCTGGGTGATGCTTTTCACTGAGATGTGGAGTAGGAGAAAGGGAGCTGGGTATGTGAGGGAGGAAGGATGGGTTGACTGGGACTGGGACATGCAGTAGACATGTGTAGACATAGGGTAGACATGAGTCATGTTTGGGTGTGTGCAGTGCCTCTCCCCATCCCCCTTCTTCTGGTAACAGACTCCACCTCCTCTGGCCTCAGGGGTGTGGCCCTGACCTAGGCTGGGCCCAGCATGGTACCTGGTGGTATGCACACACATACACACACACGGTCACAGTTAGGGGTCCAAGAAGTTGGCAGGTAGGTGTCTGAAGTCAGGGTAATCAGATTTCTTCCCTAGGACTTTTGAAGCCAAAGCTAGGAGATGTCCCTTTCCTCTCTTTGACCAGAAGCGAGCCTGCAGCGCCAGCCGATATGGTTCTAGCGACCCTGAGACTCAGGTTTTGAAGAATAAAGACAGCATGGAGAGACGTGTTTGCATGAG
The DNA here is from genome assembly GCF_000001405.40 of Homo sapiens. Lineage (NCBI taxonomy): Eukaryota > Metazoa > Chordata > Mammalia > Primates > Hominidae > Homo > Homo sapiens. Next base: position 105,253,652 of record NC_000012.12, on the reverse strand, counting down.
TGGTGAAGAGAGAGTCCAAGGGCTTTGGCTTCCTAGTTCCAGGAAGTTTCTGCCCTCACATCTACCCTTCCTGGTTATACAATCCAAAAACTCCAGCCCCCAACCCCACCACCATCACTACCATTACCACCACCACCACTAGCAGCTCCCGCTCTTCCAGGTTTTTATGTTTTCCTTAAGCTAGTTGGAGTTAGGATCTGTCATTTGCAACTGAAAAAATCCTGATTAATACAGACACATAGATAAGTGCCTACGGAAGCAGGATATAGTAGGCAGTATCGTGCTCATCTCATAGAGAAGTGAACTGAGGTTCAGATAGCTTAAATACATTTACTTTACTTGCGCAAAGTCTCATGGCTAGCAAACTGCAATGCCAGGGCTTGAACGCAGGGCTAACTCCAAAGTTGATGATCCTTCTACGATGCTACACTTTCCTCTTAATCTGTTAATTATTCTTACCACTCTTTTCTATAAACCCAGGGTTTCAAATTTAGGAATATTCATGCCGCTACTCCCTCGAGTTTCTTACTCAATGACCAAAAGTGATGAGGGCCAGACCATGATTTCTCTGGAGTGTTTCCCAGGCTCTGACTAGTCCCACTTTGAAAGTCATGGATAGCAAAGGACCAAGTTGCTAATTTTGCAGAAGTTTAAAGTCAGCGACCTTGTGCCTTGGACATTATTCTCCTAAACTTTATCTTGTTTTATGAGTTCAAATGGAAAGTCAAGGCTTAATGCCTACCAAGAGTCACAGGAGTGGTAACAAACTGAACCGAAGGCTTCAGAACTTGAGAACATCTCTCTTTACCCTTTGCTTGGACTTGTTCCTCTGTGTATCATTGTGTTCTCTTCTTTTTTTTTCTTTCTATTTCATTTTTTCCCTTCTATTCCATTAACTCAAACCTATTCTAAAGAGAATTTTTTCTGATGAACTCATTCTAGGGAACTGTGACAGACATCATTGTCCCCAAAATGATATTTCCTCCTTTTTTATCTTCAATAATAGAACACACTTTTAAAATTTTTATTTTGAAAGAGTCTCGCTCTGTTGCCCAGGCGCAATTACGGCTCACTGCAGCCTTGACCTCCTGAGCTCAAGTGATCCTCCCACCTCAGGTTCCCAAGTAGCTAGAACTACAGGCATGTATCACCACAGCTGGATAATTTTTTAAAAAGTTTTTGTAGAAATGAGGTCTCATTATGTTGCCCAGACTGATCTTGACACTGTGAGCTCAAGTGATCCTCTCACCTCCACCTACCAAAAGTGTTGGAATTACAGGCATAAGCCGCAGTGCCCAGCCTAGAACCCATTTTAAAAACTCTATTATTTTTGCACTGAGATATAACATAAAATTGAACATTTTAAAGTGCATGATTTAACAGTTTTTAGCAAATTCATATGGTTGTGTGACCATCACCACTAATTCCAGAAAATGTTATCACCCCAAAAAGAAACCCTATACCTGTTAGCAGTCACTCCCCCTTCCCTCCTCCCTCCAGCTCCTGGCAATGACTATCCTACTTTCTATCTATATGGGTTTGCCCATTCTGAACATTTCATGTAGTAGCTGGAGTCATGTGTAATAGACGGCCTTTTGTGTCTGGCTTCTTCTAATTAGCAGATTATTTTCAACGCTCATCTACATTGTGGCATGCATAAGTGCTTCATTCCTTTTTTTTAATTTTTTTATTATAATTACACTTTAAGTTTTAGGGTACGTGTGCACAATGTGCAGATTTGTTGCATATGTATACATGTGCCATGTTGGTGTGCTGCACCCATTAACTCATCGTTTAACATTAGGTATATCTCCTAATGCTATCCCACCCCCCTCCCCCCACCCCACAACAGGCCCCAGAGTGTGATGTTCCCCTTCCTGTGTCCATGTGTTCTCACTGTTCAATTCCCACCTATGAGTTAGAACATGCAGCGTTTGGTTTTTTGTCCTTGCGATAGTTTGCTGAGAATGATGGTTTCCACTTTCATCCATGTCCCTACAAAGGACATGAACTCATCATTTTTTATGGGTGCATAGTATTCCATGGTGTATATGTGCCACATTTTCTTAATCCAGTCTATCATTGTTGGACATTTGGGTTGGTTCCAAGTCTTTGCTATTGTGAATAGTGCTGCAATAAACATACGTGTGCATGTGTCTTTATAGCAGCATGATTTATAATCCTTTGAGTATATACCCAGTAATGGGATGGCTGGGTCAAATGGTATTTCTAGTTCTAGATCCCTGAGGAATCGCCACACTGACTTCCACAATGGTTGAACTAGTTATGGTTACAGTCCCACCAACAGTGTAAAAGTGTTCCTATTTCTCCACATCCTCTCCACACCTGTTGTTTCCTGACTTTTTAGTGATCACCATTCTAACTGGTGTGAGATGGTATCTCATTGTGGTTTTGATTTGCATTTCTCTGATGGCCAGTGATGATGAGCATTTTTTCATGTGTTTTTTGGCTGCATAAATGTCTTCTTTTGAGAAGTGTCTGTTCATATCCTTCACCCACTTTTTGATGGGTCGTTTGTTTTTTTCTTGTAAATTTGTTTGAGTTCATTGTAGATTCTGGATTTTAGCCTTCTGTCAGCTGAGTAGGTTGCGAAAATTTTCTCCCATTTTGTAGGTTGCCTGTTCACCCTGACGGTAGTTTCTTTTGCTGTACAGAAGCTCTTTAGTTTAATTAGATCGCGTTTGTCAATTTTGGCTTTTGTTGCCATTGCTTTTGGTGTTTTAGACATGAAGTCCTTACCCATGCCTATGTCCTGAATGGTATTGCCTAGGTTTTCTTCTAGGGTTTTTATGGTTTTAGGTGTAACATTTAAGTCTTTAATCCATCTTGAATTAATTTTTGTATAAGGTGTAAGGAAGGGATCCAGTTTCAGCTTTCTACATATGGCTAGCCAGTTCTCCCAGCACCACTTATTAAAAAGGGAATCCTTTCCCCATTGCTTGTTTTTGTCAGGTTTGTCAAAGATCAGATGGTTGTAGATATGTGGCATTATTTCTGAGGGCTCTGTTCTGTTCCATTGATCTATATCTCTGTTTTGGTACCAGTACCTTGCTGTTTTGGTTACTGTAGCCTTGTAGTATAGTTTGAAGTCAGGTAGCGTGATGCCTCCGGCTTTGTTCTTTTGGCTTAGGATTGACTTGGCGACGCAGGCTCTTTTTTGGTTCCATATGAACTTTAAAGTAGTTTCTTCCAATTCTGTGAAGAAAGTCATTGGTAGCTTGATGGGGATGGCATTGAATCTATAAATTACCTTGGGCAGTATGGCCATTTTCACGATATTGGTTCTCCCTATCCATGAGCATGGAATGTTCTTCCATTTGTTTGTATCCTCTTTTATTTCCTTGAGCAGTGGTTTGTAGTTCTCCTTGAAGAGGTCCTTCACATCCCTTGTAAGTTGGATTCCTAGGTATTTTATTCTCTTTGAAGCAATTGTGAATGGAAGTTCACTCATGATTTGGCTCTCTGTTTGTCTGTTATTGGTGTATAAGAATGCTTGTGATTTTTGTACATTGATTTTGTATCCTGAGACTTTGCTGAAGTTGCTTATCAGCTTAAGGAGATTTTGGGCTGAGACAATGGGGTTTTCTAGATATACAATCATGTCATCTGCAAACAGGGACAATTTGACTTCTTCTTTTCCTATTGAATACCCTTTATTTCCTTCTCCTGCCTAATTGCCCTGGCCAGAACTTCCAACACTATGTTGAATAGGAGTGGTGAGAGAGGGCATCCCTGTCTTGTGCCAGTTTTCAAAGGGAAAGCTTCCAGCTTTTGCCCATTCAGTATGATATTGGCTGTGGGTTTGTCATAGATAGCTCTTATTATTTTGAGATACGTCCCATCAATACCTAATTTATTGAGAGTTTTTAGCATGAAGGGTTGTTGAATTTTATCAAAGGCATTTTCTGCATCTATTGAGATAATCATGTGGTTTTTGTCTTTGGTTCTGTTTATATGCTGGATTACATTTATTGATTTGTGAATGTTGAACCAGCCTTGCATCCCAGGGATGAAGCCCACTTGATCATGGTGGATACGCTTTTAGTGTGCTGCTGGATTCAGTTTGCCAGTATTTTATTGAGGATTTTTGCATCAATGTTCATCAAGGATATTGGTCTAAAATTCTCTTTTTTGGTTGTGTCTCTGCCCGGCGTTGGTATCAGGATGATGCTGGCCTCATAAAATGAGTTAGGGAGGATTCCCTCTTTTTCTATTGATTGGAATAGTTTCAGAAGGAATGGTACCAGCTCCTCCTTGTACCTCTGGTAGAATTCGGCTGTGAATCCATCTGGTCCTGGACTTTTTTTGGTTGGTAAGCTATTGATTATTGCTTCAATTTCAGAGGCTGTTATTGGTCTATTCAGAGATTCAACTTCTTCCTGGTTTAGTCTTGGGAGGGTGTATGTGTCGAGGAATTTATCCATTTCTTCTAGATTTTCTAGTTTATTTGCGTAGAGGTGTTTATAGTATTCTCTGATGGTAGTTTGTATTTCTGTGGGATCGGTGGTGATACCCCCTTTATCATTTTTTATTGCATCTATTTGATTCTTCTCTCTTTTCTTCTTTATTAGTCTTGCTAGCGGTCTATCAATTTTGTTGATCTTTTCAAAAAACCAGCTCCTGGATTCATTAATTTTTTGAAGGGTTTTTTGTGTCTCTATTTCCTCCAGTTCTGCTCTGATTTTAGTTATTTCTTGCCTTCTGCTAGCTTTTGAATGTGTTTGCTCTTTCTTTTCTAGTTCTTTTGATTGTGATGTTAGGGTGTCAATTTTGGATCTTTCCTGCTTTCTCTTGTGGGCATTTAGTGCTATAAATTTCCCTCTATACACTGCTTTGAATGTGTCCCAGAGATTCTGGTATGTTGTGTCTTTGTTCTCGTTGGTTTCAAAGAACATCTTTATTTCTGCCTTCATTTCGTTATGTACCCAGTAGTCATTGAGGAGCAGGTTGTTCAGTTTCCATGTAGTTGAGTGGTTTTGAGTGAGTTTCTTAATCCTGAGTTCTAGTTTGATTGCACTGTGGTCTGAGAGACAGTTTGTTATAATTTCTGTTCTTTTACATTTGCTGAGGAGTGCTTTACTTCCAACTATGTGGTCAATTTTGGAATAGGTGTGGTGTGGTGCTGAAAAGAATGTATATTCTGTTGATTTGGGGTGGAGAGTTCTGTAGATGTCTGTTAGGTCCGCTTGGTGCAGAGCTGAGTTCAATTCCTGGGTGTCCTTGTTAACTTTCTGTCTCGTTGATCTGTCTAATGTTGATGGTGGGGTGTTAAAGTCTCCCATTATTATTGTGTGGGAGTCTAAGTCTCTTTGTAGGTCACTCAGGACTTGCTTTATGAATCTGGGTGCTCCTGTATTGGGTGCATATATATTTAGGATAGTTAGCTCTTCTTGTTGAATTGATCCCTTTACCATTATGTAATGGCCTTCTTTGTCTCTTTTGATCTTTGTTGGTTTAAAGTCTGTTTTATCAGAGACTAGGACTGCAACCCCTGCTTTTTTTGTTTTCCATTTGCTTGGTAGATCTTCCTCCATCCCTTTATTTTGAGCCTATGTGTGTCTCTGCACATGAGATGGGTCTCCTGAATACAGCACACTGATGGGTCTTGACTCTTTCTCCAATTTGCCAGTCTGTGTCTTTTATTTGGAGCATTTAGTCCATTTACATTTAAAGTTAATATTGTTATGTGTGAATTTGGTCCTGTCATTATGATGTTAGCTGGTTATTTTGCTCGTTAGTTGATGCAGTTTCTTCCTAGCCTTGATGGTCTTTACATTCTGGCATGTTTTTGCAGTGGCTGGTACCGGTTGTTCCTTTCCATGTTTAGTGCTTCCTTCAGGAGCTCTTTTAGGGCAGGCCTGGTGGTGACAAAATCTCTCAGCATTTGCTTGTCTGTAAAGTATTTTATTTCTCCTTCACTTATGAAGCTTAGTTTGGCTGGATATGAAATTCTGGGTTGAAAATTCTTTTCTTTAAGAATGTTGAATGTTGGCCCCCACTCTCTTCTGGCTTGTAGAGTTTCTGCCGAGAGATCCCCTGTTAGTCTGATGGGCTTCCCTTTGTGGGCAACCCGACCTTTCCCTCTGGCTGCCCTTAACATTTTTTCCTTCATTTCAACTTTGGTGAATCTGACAATTATGTGTCTTGGAGTTGTTCTTCTCGAGGAGTATCTTTGTGGCATTCTCTGTATTTCCTGAATCTGAATGTTGGCCTGCCTTGCTAGATTGGGGAAGTTCTCCTGGATAATATCCTGCAGAGTGTTTTCCAACTTGGTTCCATTCTCCCCGTCACTTTCAGGTACACCAATCAGAGGTAGATTTGGTCTTTTCACATAGTCCCATATTTCTTGGAGGCTTTGTTCATTTCTTTTTATTCTTTTTTCTCTAAACTTCCCTTCTCGCTTCATTTCATTCATTTCGTCTTCCATCACTGATACCCTTTCTTCCAGTTGATCGCATCGGCTCCTGAGGCTTCTGCATTCTTCATGTAGTTCTCAAGCCTTGGCTTTCAGCTCCTTCAGCTCCTTTAAGGACTTTTCTGCATTGGTTATTCTAGTTATCCATTTGTCTAATTTTTTTTCAAGGTTTCTAACTTCTTTGACATTGGTTTGAATTTCCTCCTGTAGCTCGGAGTTGTTTGATCATCTGAAGCCTTCTTCTCTCAACTCGTCAAAGTCATTCTCCATCCAGCTTTGTTCCGTTGCTGGTGAGGAGCTGCGTTCCTTTGGAGGAGGAGAGGCGCTCTGCTTTTTAGAGTTTCCAGTTTTTCTGCTCTGTTTTTTCCCCATCTTTGTGGTTTTACCTACTTTTGGTCTTTGATGATGGTGACGTACAGATGGGTTTTGGTGTGGACGTCCTTTCTGTTTGTTAGTTTTCCTTCTAACAGACAGGACCCTCAGCTGCAGGTCTGTTGGAGTTTGCTAGAGGTCCACTCCAGACCCTTTTTGCCTGGGTGTCAGCAGCAGTGGCTGCAGAACAGCAGTGGCTGTAGAACAGCGGATTTTGGTGACCCACAAATGCTGCTGCCGGATCGTTCCTCTGGAAGTTTTGTCTCAGAGGAGTACCTGGCCATGTGAGGTGTCAGTCTGCCCCTACTGGGGGGTGCCTCCCAGTTAGGCTGCTCAGGGGTCAGGGACCCACTTGAGGAGGCAGTCTGCCCGTTCTCAGATCTCCAGCTGCGTGCTGGGAGAACCACTACTCTCTTCAAAGCCGTCAGACAGGGACATTTAAGTCTGCAGAGGTTACTGCTGTCTTTTTGTTTGTCTGTGCCCTGCCCCCAGAGGTGGAGCCTACAGAGGCAAGCAGACCTCCTTGAGCTGTGGTGGGCTCCACCCAGTTCGAGCTTCCCGGCTGCTTTGTTTACCTAATCAAGCCTGGGCAATGGCAGGTGCCCCTCCCCCAGCCTCGCTGCCGCCTTGCAGTTTGAACTCAGACTGCTGTGCTAGCAATCAGTGAGACTCCGTGGGCGTAGGAACCTCCGAGCCATGTGCGGGATATAATCTCCTGGTGTGCCGTTTTTTAAGCCCGTTGGAAAAGCGCAGTATTAGGGTGGGAGTGACCCGATTTTCCAGGTGCTGTCTGTCACCCCTTTCTTTGACTAGAAAAGGGAACTCCCTGACCCCTTGTGCTTCCCAAGTGAGGCAGTGCCTCGCCCAGCTTTGGCTCGCGCACGGTGCGCTGCACCCACTGTCCTGCACCCACTGTCTGGTACTCCCTAGTGAGATGAACCTGGTACCTCAGATGGAAATGCAGAAATCACCCGTCTTCTGTGTCGCTCACCCATTCCTTTTTATTGTCAAACAATATTCCACTGCATGTGGATACTATAATACCACCTTTGGTTTATCTATCAGTTGATGGACATCTGTGTTGTTTCCCACTTTTTGGCTATTATGAGTAATGCTGCTATGAATATTCATGTACAAGTTTTCGTGTGGACAGATAGTTTCAATTCTCTTGGGTATATACTAGGAAGGATCTGGTGAGTCCCAGATAACTACGTTTAACATTTCGAGGCACTGCCAAACTATTCTCCTCAGTGGCCATGCCATTTTATGTTCCCACCAGCAACGTATGCTAAGAACCCCTGATTCCTTGTTGGGCATACTGAGCCTGGAAGAAGGCCAACTTTCCAGCTTCCCTTGTAGTTGCGTGTGGCAATGTGACTAAGCTCTGGCTTATGGAATGGGATGTAAGCAGAAGTTCTGTGTGCAATTTCTGCTGGAAATGTGTCCTTCTTTGTTGCTTTCTCCAACCTGCTGATTGAAATTTGACTAGATGACTGGAAAGCCAACAGCCATCCTGGGCCATGGAGTGACTTTGGTTAGGGAAGCCAGAGAGGACAGGAGAAGGCATCTGTCTCTGACACTGTGACGGGCCACACTAGCCCTGGGCTGATCACCTCTGGACTTCTTGAATACAGGAGAGAAATAAAATCTTACCATGTTTTAGACACTATTATTATTTTTTCTTATTAGATACAGCCAAATCTAACCCTAATTGAAACAGTTACCGAATTCCTTTACTCACTGAGTAAATTTTTACTGAAAGTCAATTAACAGCCAGGTTCTAGGCAACCTACAGAATGGGTGAGAATTTTTGCAATCTATCCATCTGACAGAGGGCTAATATCCAGAATCTACAAGGCACTTAAACAAATTTACAAGAAAAAGCAAACAACCCCATCAAAAAGTGGGCAAAGGATATGAACAGACAGTTCTCAAAAGAAGACATTTATGTGGCCAACAAACATATGAAAAAAAGCTCATCATCACTGGTGATTACAGAAATGCAAATCAAAACCACAATGAGATACCATCCCCTGCCAGTTAGAATGGCAATTATTAAAAAGTCAGGAAACAACAGATGCTGGCAAGTCTGTGGAGAAATAGGAACACTTTCACACTGTTGGTAAGAGTGTAAATTAGTTCAACCATTGTGGAAGACAGTGTGGCGATTCCTCAAGGATCTAGAACCAGAAATATCATTTGACCCAGCAATCCCATTACTGGGTATATACCCAAAAGATTATAAATCATTCTACTGTAAAGACACATGCACACTTATGTTTATTGCAGCACTATTTACAATAGCGAAGACTTGGAACCAATCCAAATGCCCATTAATGATAGACTGGATTAAAAAAATGTGGCACATATACACCATGGAATACTATGCAGCCATAAAAAAGAATGAGTTCATGTCCTTTGCAGGGACATGGATAAAGCTGGAAGCCATCATTCTCAGCAAACTAACACAGGAACAGAAAAACCAAACACCGCATGTTCTCACTCATCAGTGGGAGTTGAACAATGAGAACACATGGACACAGGGAGGGGAACATCACACACCGGGGCCTGTTGGAGGGTGAGGGACAAGGGAAGGGAGAGCATCAGGACAAATACCTAATGCATGCGGGGCTTAAAACCTAGATGACAGGTTGACAGGTGCAGCAAACCACCATGGCACATGTATACCTATGTAACAAACCTGCACGTTCTGCACATGTATCCCAGAACTTAAAGTAAAATAAAAAAAAAAAAAGTCAGGTTTTGAGGTTGGTGCTAAAGAAATAAAGATACATGAGATAAGGGCCTTATAATATAAGGGCTCACTGTTCAGTCCAGAAAGATAAGCACATTAGATAAATAAGATAATGGCATAAGTGCTAATAAGAGCATGTACCAAGTCCCATATGTGGATGGAGGAAAGACAGATGAAATCAATTTTAAGCAACCTAGAGAAGGTCTTAGTTTAGCCTATGTGCCCCCACTAGGAGTTTCTAAATTCCCAACAGATATCATTCTTTGGGATTTGGGAATAAGAAATCAGATTTCCTGGAAAATCTGAGGAATTCTTAAATCATAAGCTATTCTTAATACAATTCTAATATCATATACTATTTACTTGTTACTATGAATATAGGCAAACTCATAAATAAAAACTAATAAATTTAGTAGTATTTATGAAGAACTGTTGCCTGTACTGAACATTCAAACACTGGGAAATGATAGTGAACATTATTGGGTGGCATTTGAAATACATTTCTCCTAGCACAGTAGAAGCACTACACAGATTCTTTTTTTTTTTTTTTTTTCTTGAGACAGAGTCTCACTCTGTTGCCCAGGCTGGAGGGCAGTAGCATCAACTCAGCTCACTGAGACCTCCACCTCCCAAGTTCAAGCGATTCTCCTGCTTCAGCCTCCTGAGTAGATGGGATTACAGGTGCCCACTACTATGCCCAGCTAATTATTGTGTTTTTAGTAGAGACAGGGTTTCACCACGTTGGCCAGGGTGGTCTCGAACTCCTGACCTCAAATGATCCGCCCTCCTCAACCTCCCAAAGTGCTGGGATGACAGGTGTGAGCCGCCATGCCCGGCCAAGGATGCATTTTTCTTCAAGAGCTTGTTACTTCTTGGAACGCTTCTCAAAATATTTACATAAGGTATAACATATATATAAACCTACTAATATGTATTTTATTTACTTTTGCAATAACTCACCATAGGCAGCAGACAGGGACACAAACACACAAACATGGCAACAGTTACAGGCAAGATTGACTGATTAGATCGTGGTTACCTTTCTCCTACACACTCCTGTCCTGTGCATCGTCCCCTGTCAGGACACTCATTCCAGAAATGTTGACCTTAGCCTATGACTCCTTTACATGTGCTCCCTGTGTCATGTGGATTGTCCTCTACTGGAACACTCCTGTTTTTAATCGTCTGCCATTAGTAGATGGGAATCTCCCTTGAAGGGCAGCAAGTCCATGTTTCTTTTACGTTATTAAACCTGCAGTGCCTACCTCGGTGCTTGGAACAAAGTACATGCTTCATTAATATGCATAGAACTGAATTTCATTGACCACAGAAGCGATATTTAAGCACAGCTTTAGAAGATGAATTTGTTAAGAGACCCATGGAGGAAGGGGATTTGAGGCTGATGGAAACAATCTCTGCAAAGACACAGGCATGGGAAACTACATTTTCAAGGACTACAGGGAACTTTGTAAGGCACGTGTACAAAAGGTCATGGCAGAAGATGATGGCAGCACAGTAATCAAGCAGGGGTTTGTGAATCCTGCTAAGGAATGCAGACATTATACTGTAGGCAATAAGGAGCACTGAAGGAAGCCTTGGAAGAGGCTGGAGTTAGAAACATATTCCACAGGTTTGAATCCCACCTCTGAAATTAGCTAACTGTGGGCAAGTTCTTTAAGCTTTCCAGGCCTCAATTTCCTCATCTTTAAACTGGGGATTATAACAGCAAATAACCAATGAGGTTTTGAATAATTTTAGGAGATAATGCAGGTAAAATCCTTAGTATAGTACCTGGCACATAGTAATAGTTCAATAAGTAAGTGTCTGTTTGCAATTATTGTTATTCCTCTTATTATCACCAAAGATTTTAAATAGCGGAGTGGCAGGATCAAATTTGTATCCTGAGTGAAAGTCAAAGGCCAGTCGCCACCATGAGATGAATACTTGAGAACTGACGAGCTTTTTTCTCCCCTTCATTGTTTTCCATGGTGATCTCTCAGGCGTGAAGGACTCCAAACCTCCTTGGAGGTCATGAATTTCCTCTCTGTTTCCATGGACTGGCTACAGGGAGCAATGAGAGGACAAATGAGAGGACAGTCTCATTTGTCTCATAAAGCAAATGAGAGGACAGTCGGTGATACAGAACCTGAGTCACAAGTTTTGGGTGGAGAGAACAGGATTGAATGCTGCCATTCAACAAGCATTTGAAAAGCATTATGGGAGGCCGAGATGGGTGGATCATGAGGTCAGGAGTTCAAGACCAGCGTGGCCAAGATGCTGAAACCCCGTCTCTACTAAAAATACAAAAATTAGCTGGGCGTGGTGGTGGGCGCCTGTAATCCCAGCTATTCAGGAGGCTGAGGCAGGAGAATTGCTTGAACCCTAGGTGGCAGAGGTTGCAGTGAGCTGAGATGGCACCACTGCACTGCAGCCTGGGCGACAGAGTAAGACTCCATCTCAAAAATAAATAAATAAATAAATAAATATTAAAAAAAATTTAAAAAAAAAGAAAGAAAAGGAAAGGAAAGCATTTGTTGTGAGTCAGACACTATGTAGGCACCTGGGAGGTAAAAGGACAGGAATCCTAGGTTTGGGTAGTCTGAAGCTTCCTACTGAGCAGGCTTCCTTCTTCTCTTTGGGTACAGTGGGCAGAGCCCTGGCATTTAGAATTTGGGCCCTGTCACATCATTTGTTTGAGCCTCAGTTGTAACGTTTATCAAATGAGGATACTAATACTTATGCCTCACCTTCCTGTGCTCCAAGATGACTATTTTATGCCATCTCCTCTCTCCTCAAACCTTCAATACCATCTGACCATTATTGCTTTGAGCCGATGGCCTTGCTTCTTATCTCACTGAGAAAAATAAAAGCAATCAGAATAGAACGCCTTCATTCCTCCCATTTAATCTACCAACCTACTGTTCTTGTATCACTATGAACGTACTGTCCTTGCTTCTATCTAAGGCCATCCCTATCCCTTGTGATTTGTTTTTTGCATTTTTTTTTAAAGAGTCTCACTCTGTCACCCAGGCTGGAGTGCAGTGGTGCAATCTTGGCTTACTGCAACCTCTGCCTCCTGGGTTCAAGCGATTATCTTGCCTCAGCCTCCTAAGTAGCTGGGACTACAGGTGCTCACACGCATGCTCGACTAATTTTTGTATTTTCAGGAGAGACAGGGTTTCACCATGGTGGTCTTGAACTCCTGGCCTCAAGTGATCGACTTGCCTCAGCCTCCCAAGCCTATCACTTGTGATTTGGATTCTACTCCTTTTTGTCTGTTCAAGGACTTTGTTCTTGCAATTGTCACCTCTCTCTCATATCTTTAGCTTTTCCCCCACTCTACTGGATCATTCTCATCAGCATATAAATAATCTAAGAAATCCAATCTCTTTCAGACTTTTATGTTTTCTTTAAGCCAGTTGGAGTTAGGTTTCTGTGATTTGCCACTTAAAAAGTCTTGACTAATACAGGACATAGAGACAGGTGTGTATGGAAACAACTTGTGATTGGTAATGCCATTCTCATATCATAGGGAAGTAAACTGAAGCTCAGAAAGATTAAATACCTTGCCTAAAGTCTACAACTTTTCTATTTTAAAACAAGCAAACAAACCAAAAACCTCCCTTTTTTTAAATCATCCCCTGCAGTCACTTCCCCTTCAACCACTTCCCTTTATTGAAAAACCTCTTGAAAGAATTGTCTTTGTATTCCCACCATTGCTCTTGAACAGACACCATCTTGCTTTCAAATAAAATTGCTCTTATCAAAGTCTCTTACCAAATTCACCGAATGACCTTCCTATTGGCAAATTTAAAGGTCAATTTCTGGTCTTTATTCTTACTTGATCTCTTAGCTGCATTTGACATTGTGGATCAATTCATTTTTGAAACCTTTTGTCCCCTGGCTTTTAGTATAGTAGTGCCTCCAAGTTTCCCATTCATAGGGCTTCTAGGGTGGTCTATTAGTCTCCTGATATTCCTCCTACACCATTAGCTGCTGGATCTTGCTTGGGCCTCAATCCACCAAGCTTTCCTCTTTCCTTTCTGTATTAGATTCCTAAGAAATCTCATCTACTCTTTTGGTTTAAATAACGTCCCCATGTTGGTGAACTCATGGATTTATACCTTCAGCCCCAGTCTCCTCCTAAACTTGAGTGGTATATACAAGTACCCACATGAAACCTCCACTTGATTGCCTAACGGGCATCTCAATCACAACAGCCTGAACAGCACTATTGATGCGCCACCACCAACAACCTGCTTCTCCCCAGGGTTTTCTGTCTCAGTAAATCACAGGACCATTTGCCCAATGGCTTTCCCACTTTCTCTCACATACTACATCCAGCATATCCTGTCAGTTCTACTTTCAAAATATGTTCAGACTTCAACTACCTCCCAACATTTCCATACCCTCGACTTTGACCTATATCTCTCAAATCTCTTGCTTGAAGGATTGCAAAAGCCTCTTCAGAACCCAGAGATAGTCTTTAAAAATGTAAATCAGACCCTGTCATTCAGTTGCTCATATTTACAGTGGCTTCCTGCCATATCAAGAGCAACACCCAAAGTCCTTCCCCATGGACTCAGCGTCCTCTGTGAGCCAGTGATTGGCATCTCTTCAACCTCATCTCCTCCCACTCTTTCCCGCCTCGCTGTCCTTAGCCACATTGGCCTTTCTGCTCCTCCTCAAAGAGGAGCAAGCCTCAGGGCCCTCACACTTGTTCTTTCCTTCGGGCTGGGCTTCCCTGATTCAATTCTCAGCTCAACAGTTGCACACCTCAAAGAATCCTTTCCACTTCCCATGATCCTCTATTCCTTTACTAAAGGTTATCATACACTTATCAACTTGTATTTGTTTCTTATTATTTCCTCCATTAGAATATAAACTCCATTAGGGCAAGGACTACTTTTTGCTTCAGCCTATATCCTCAGCTTCTAGAGAAGAGTCTAACACACAGTCGGTGCTACCTAGTGAATGATTAACGGCAAAAGCAGCATTGTGCTATCAAATGAAATGAGATTCATGAAAACATTTTTTAAACTCTGGAGTATCAATCATGTATAAGTTATAATAACACATTATAGTTTAGTAAGTATTTATCAAGCAACTGCTTTTGTGCTAGGTAATGTACTAGGCACTCTAATTACAGAAATAAATAAGACCAAGTTCCTACCCATTCTAGCTGGAAGGTTGGAGGTGGAAACAAAGAGAGGTAAGTGTTATTCTAGAATTATCTCGGCAAGTGCTACTGAAGCACACTCAAGGAAAGGAAAATGTATTCTGCTTGGGGGGACAGGAGTAAATGAAGACTTCATCAAAAAAGTCACATTAAACTGGGATTTGATGATTGTGGTTGGGTTTGTCAGACAAGAGGCAGGAGAAAGGGCTTGACTGGCAGAGGAAAGAATCTCAATGCGTGTGCCCTATCATGCAGTTTGCTAAGCATCTCCCAAAACAGCTGCCTTCTTCACTCCTGCCTTTCTCTCTTACTCCTGAAGCCCCAGGCCTTCTCTGACCTGGCCATCCTGGGTCCTTTTTTTGTGTCTCACTGTGTCCTTTTCCCCACTGGCCTTCAATGGGTCACAGGTTACACCTCCATATAATTCATCCTCTCTCTCTTCAGACATCACGACAACTCCAGACTGTCCATCTTTATACTTCCTGTCACCAACTTCACAGCTGACCAGGGATTTCAGAGACAGTGGGGTGGATTTCTAAAATCCACCTGCATAATAGTTTAATAGGAACAGATATATACTCTTTAATGAAACATTTTTAAATGTTCATGTTGACATAAAAATTCCTCTTATGTAGTTTCTCACAGATTATCAAAGGAGAGGATATTTGCCTTCAGAATTTAAATGAGAATCAAACAAGTGGGAGACAGTGCTTAACACTGAGCAGTCTATATTTAATACATGAATGAATGATTGGATGAATTAACAAATGAGATAAATTAAAACCATTTATGCATGTGTTGTATTTCCAGATCTACTTTTGTAACTTAGTTGTTTTGAATTTGGGATAGATTTTCCCATAGAAACAATGTTGTAAACAGTTCTTAAGTTCCAAGAAATCCCACTAAGGCTGTTTAGCCCATAATGTAGCAAGAAAATGCAGAAAAGTAATGGGATAGCTTAAACAATTTTTGAATGTTGAATACTAGTATTTGAAGAAAAGTAACTTTAATTAGAAGATGAGGTGGTACATGAAAAATGCTGTGATTCCCAAGGGGCTGTCTGAGCCCTTTCAAGGGTTCTGAGGGCACTAACTTCTTGTAATGCATATTTTCAAATTAAAATGTGCACATTTATTTCCCTGGGTATAATACTATCCTTGTACTGTTCTCGCAATCAGGATGAAGGAAGAGCATGAGTCTGGCCGTGAGGAATTAGATTTCAGTGAGAAGAGAGTCTGGGACACTGGATGAGGTAAAATGAACTGAATGGCAGGCGGTATAAAATAGAGGAAAGGGAAGAAATATGGTGTGAGCATGATTCCACCTATAGGGAAGACAAGAGTATGGTGGAGGCAAGAAAGAATAGGGAAGAAAGAATACTGTGGAGGAAAATATGGTAGATGGAGGCCATAAAATGGTTCAGGTCAGGTTGGCGCTGGCCAGACCAAGGGAATAATGGCCTTGGAGTTTTCAAGTGATCAGGCAGCATGCTACTATACTAGACTGTCAGAGGTGTCAGCAATGCAGATTGGGTCTTGATATACCTAAGAGGTCTCTGCAGAATGCAGAATTTATATATTACCATATCCCCTCTGTTGATTTTGGTGACACACATACTGCATGATTTTTTTTTTTTTTTTTGAGACGGAGTCTTGCTCTGTTGCCCAGGCTGGAGTGCAGTGGTGCCCTCTCGGCTCACTGAAACCTCTGCCTCCCGGGTTCAAGTGATTCTTCTGCCTCAGCCTCCCGAGTAGCTGGGATTACAGGCGCATGCCACCACGCCCGGCTAATTTTTGTATTTTTAGTAGAGACGGGGTTTCAGCATCTTGGCCAGACTGGTCTTGAACTCCTGACCTCGTGATCCACCCATCTCGGCCTCCCAAAGTGCTGGGATTACAGGCGTGAACCACCACGCCCGGCCAGTCTTATTAACTTCTAAAGAAGGAACTTCAGAAACCCTTGCCTTCCGTGTAAAAAGGTGTCACGTTCCACTTGCCAGTCTTCTTCCATCCCTCTCCCTTCCTTCTTTTCTTCCTCTGGCGTTTACTAACTGACCCTGGGCAGACCACTTATTTCTCTGGGTCCCATTTTCTCATCTCTAAATGACAACACTGGAACCTAGATTATCTAGCCCTTCCAATTCTAAACATTTGATTATGAAATTCTCCAAAATCACAAAACATAAACCAGGAGGACGAGACCTAATTATGACCACATCAAATAGCTGTGGTTTCCAAAGTGGTTATTTCTGATTATCACAGACGAGTCAGTTATCCAGCTTTTCTCCTCTTTTCTTTGTTCCCATAGCATAGGCGACCTCTTTGCTCTCAGAGCTGTTTCAGGGGCGTCGAAATTTATCTAGAAAAAGTGGTGTGGGAAGTGTGGGTTTTTCCTTCCATTAAAAGAAAAAATCTGTTCGCTCCTTCAACTCAAAAGGCTTTCTGGGTAGCCATAAGCAGATAAAACCTTATCTTTCTACCCTCGAGTTCCTCTTTTGGACTTCATATGCATTGACTTGACGGACCTTCAGCACAGAGAACAAACACCCGAAGGGTTCCCTCAGCAACGGGACTGGCACCCAGAGCCCCCCGCTCCCCGCGAGCCGGCGAGCGCAGGCGGAAGCGCGGGCGCCACATTTCCGGTGTCGGGACCGGAGCTCACCACACTTCCGGTTTCCCTGCCGGGCGCGCCACACTTCCTGTTGATCCGGCTCGGCCGGGGGCTGGGCCGGCGGGCAGGCGGCGGCGGCCACTGGCCAGGCGTGGACGCGCGCGGGGCCGCCGCGGGCACGGAGTGGCCGCCGCGTCGCCTGAGCCCAGAGCCGGGGAGTGCTCTCGGCCGCCGCGTCTCCTGCCCTCTGTCCTTCCAACCCAGCCCTCGGCTGAGCCGCGCCGCACCATGCCCGCCGTGGACAAGCTCCTGCTAGAGGAGGCGTTGCAGGACAGCCCCCAGGTACCTCCCGCCGCTCCGGTGCCCCTCGCCCGCAGGGGTGAGGCCGAGGAGGCCCCTCCAGCCCCGGAGTGGAGGCCGCGCCCCCGGCCGGGCAGCCGCGGGAGTGCGCCCGGCCCCCTCGCGGCGCCTCCCACCGGGTTCTCTCGGGCTGAGGAGGGGGCGGGCCGGGCCCTGAGTCCTGAGCCGGGGCAGAGCTGTGGAACAGGGGAGAGAGCCCCGCGGCCGGAGTCTTGATGTCGTGACCCCCCTGCAAGCTCAGCTGCAACTGAGTCTGCGAGATCTAAACTTTGATTCCATGTAGTAGCTGAGTGCCTCAGGAAAACCACCTTATTGTGCCTTAGTTTTGTCGTCTGTAAAATAGGAATAATAATTGTGCCTGCTTCATAGGGTTGTTAGGAGAAGTCAATGAGAAATACCTGTAAAGTTGTCAGCAGACAATGTCCGGTACAGATAATGAGTCAGTCTTATTACTGCTACTCCTAATGATGTGATGAGACTTGTGCCAGCCAGAATGAGAGGCAGAGGGCCTGGATCTCTTTTCCGGCGGTACCAGGCCTCCTTTTGGCACCGTTTTCCCATTAGTGAAGAGAAAAATACAGTACCTGCCCCATTTGTCGCACAAGGGAACTTCATTAGCACACTCGAGATGAGAGTCAAGTCCTTTGAGCTCTGCAGATGAAAACTGGTGTGTAAATATAGCAAATGAGTGCAGGATGACATTAGTTCATAATTCAGCACATCTTTCCCCAGGGGTCTTTTGTTCTCCTTTGTTTAACATTTCTCCAGCTTCGTACCTACACTCCTGGTTCAGCATCCCGGGTTTATTTAAATAAGTGCCTTTATTTCCTAGTGTCTCAACTCTTGAAAACTTAGAATAAGATTAACCTATTTTCGTTTCACACTTTCCCCTCTCTTTTGGGGTTCCTTCCCTTTTTCTTCTAAGTGAATAATACTTCCCAGGATGATCCTTGTATGGATTTACCTACATCGACAGTTCAGAATAAGTCCGAAGGGCTGTATGCATAGGTGTCTTTTGTTCATTTTTTGTGATCCTCCTAGTGTAGATAAGTAAGGAACTGGAAGCAAGCTGTGTGTGTGTTTTTTGTTTGTTTGTTTTGTTTTTTGGTAAGTTTGCATCCTCTGGACGACTTTTTCAAGGCCTCCCTTTTTTATATGGCTGTAGACTCCTGGCATTTTAATCAGACTAAAGCCCTTGGTAGAAGGCATTTTGTCCATGTTCATATCTGTTGTGTGGAATCTGAAGATAGCAATGTGAGATTTTAAATGATCACTTTGAACAAGGATCTCTGTTTGCCTTGCACTTATGGAAACTGAGGTGCACAGAAATATCCTGCTTTTCTAACCTACATGGTGATGCCTAAGCCAGGTTACAGTGATTATACTAACTGATTCTTGATGTTGTCCTCACAAACAGATCATATTCTTAATTTCCAGCTCTAACATAAAGGAATATACACTGTTTGTGAGTGGCTTAAAGGATTTGCCCAGCTGTGAGGAAGTAGACAGGACTGTAGAGCAAGTCAGGAGACCTGGGTTCTAATTCTGGCTCTCACGCTCACTTAGGATGTGATGTGGGTGAGTCTCTTCATCTCCACCCTGTAGCTGGCTCAGTTTCCTAATCTACAGAACATCTACAGAATGAGAGACAGGGAGGGAGCAGGTGATCTTCAAGGTGCTTTAGAGTTAACATTGTCATATCTACATGGTGTATAACTTTGAACTTGTATGTGGCAGAGGAGGTTTAGAGATATTATCATTCTTATTTAATATGTTCCTTTTAATATAGGAAGTTTATTTGTCATTGCTTTTGAGACTTGGCCATCACCCTTAAGAGGGCTCTTGATGGTGCTGTTGTGCAGAATGGAAGCTGACTTTAAGAAGGTCTTTAATGATCATCAGAGCATATTTATATACTACTCTCTTGTATGTGACCTGTGCCTAATGTAGCTTTACTCCCAAGGTGACTCCTAGACTTGGAACTGGAAGGAATCTAATCCATCCCCTTCATTTTATGTGCAAAGCATAAAAACAATAGCAAATGCCTGTTTCATGGATTTTATGTGCCAGGGACTCTTCTAAATGCTTTACATATATTAACTCACTCAATCCTCCCAATAGTCTTGAAGTACATTCTCTATTTAAATAACTAAGGAGCAGAGAAGTAATTTGCTTAGAATTATACACCATAAAGTGACAGAGCCAGGACTGGAACCCAGGCAACTTGCCTGTACTAGGGATATGGTTCAAGTTAGCCCAGCTATCTAGCACCGGGCTTTTCTGTCATCAGTGACCTAAAATGTTTCACTAAAAGGAAAAGATCCTAATAAACCATCTATTGTGTGTTTCTTCTAGTTTTATGAAGAGTAATTTTGAGAGTTGCTTCAGTAATGTGATTGCACAGGATGAATTAAATGAACACCAAAGCTTTTGTAATTGAACTGAGTGACCCAGGAAGAGCTGAATAGCAGTTAACTGACCTTAGACACATCTATTCATGGACTCCTTTTTAGTTTGCAGTGCTGCACGATGCATTGTAAAACTAGTCTGTGTGCATACACATGCGTTATTTCTGCTTACCTCTCATATGTGGGAAGCTGAACATTTTAGGGATTAAGAAATCTGCCTCCATTGTTGTTTAGAAGCCTCTGCTCCTTGCCTGGCACTACTGGCTGTTGGGAATGTGAAGATAAATAAGAGTGACTACCCTTGACTGGTTCACAGTTTGTTCCAGAGACAGATAATGAGGCAACAGTTCCAGTACAGTGTGAATCCTGCTGCGATAGGAACACAAATGCAGCTTTGAGCTCCTGCAGCTTGTACTTCTTCAGGGGCTTATTCTCTTGTCCTGTAAGTAGTACACTTTTGAGGTAAGGTGAAGACAACAGCACTGTTGCTTGCTCGGTTTGTGTTTTGTTTGTTTCTTTTGCGATTGGCATAACGGAACAAAGAAATAAAAGATGTAGTTCTGAGGTTATGCAGTTGAGTGGCCCGGCTGGGAGCAGCCCTCTCCAACCAAATCAGGCCTTTCTTTCCTCAAACAAGATAATCTCAAAACATAACCTGGTGGTTTTATATGTCTTCACTGTGGAGATGTTTTGTGCTGTTCCTCTTTTTGTTTATAACCTATTTTTCCTTTCAATAGACTTGGTTCTTTTTTTTTTTTTTTTTTTTTTTGAGACAGGGTCTCGCTTTGTTGCCCAGACTGGGGTGCAGTGGCATGAACACGGCTCACTGCAGCCTCAGCCTCCTGGGCTCAAGCGATCCTCCCACCTCAGCCTTCTGAGTAGCTAGGACTACAGGCATGCATCACCACGCATGGCTAATTTTTTAATTTTTGTAGAGACAGAGTCTTGCTGTGTTGCCCAGGGTGGTCTTGAACTCCTGGGCTCAACCAATCTTCCTGTCTTGGCCTCCCAAAGTCTTGGTTCTTTTCACTAGGACATTCTCTTCCTCCACCAAATTATGGAGATAAGAACTTTGTTTATAACCTTAAAATTTTCTCAGTAGTCAGTGGTGTTAACATTGGGCCACTACACAATTACACACACTATTCTTGAGAATGTCTAGGAGTGTTTTATTAGGTAATACCCAGTTTCTTTAAGGTAAAGGAGTGATAGGGAGCTGAGGCTGTGTGCATAGGGTGCTTGGATTTGTTTCTCTGGCCGAGCATACCCTTAAAAGTGTCGGGCAGTAGAAAATGGATGGAATTCCACTCCTGAATCTGCTACTGTTACTTTTGGCAAGTTACTCAATCTCTCTGAGGTTGTGTTTGGAGGTATGTAAAATAAAAATAAAAATAGCTATTTAGTTGAGTTGTTAGGAAGAACAAGTAACATATGTAAAGTGTCTCCATGCTGGCATGCCATAGTAACCCCATAAATGATTGCTGTTGTTATCTTTGTAAGTGAGATATACCAGTGTCTTTCTGACCGTGTCTTTCTGACCGTGGGATTTTGAGCTACTGGTGTGCCTTTGCTTTATTCTTGGTCTCATTCCTTCTTTATGTCTCAGAATATCTCTGTTGTTCCAAACCAAAGTTTGAGCAGACACAGTATAGTAAATGAGGATAGCCAGTGTCCAAGGTAGCTGGTTATATTTTTTCCAGAGGTGATCACTGCCAAGTTAAATTAAAAAGGGAAGACCAGAGTTTCCCTGTCAGTTCTAATGGGCATCACAGTTGCATTTCCACGATATAAGGAAAAAGGACACTTGTGATGTAGTTCTCTGGCAGGTATTGTGGGCGGGAACATGGTAGTAGCATCCAGCTCCAGTCTGCCCCTGTCCTGCCTCCAGTCAGGGCTGTACGCTGTGGACCAAAGATCATGCTCGCTGATGAGAGCCACCCTGCTGGTGACCTCAGTGCTGCCGACCCATTTACATCCCAGCCCTGCCACATTCCTACAGTGGGAGGTTGAACACATTTCTTAACCTTGATGAGCCTCAGTTTCATCATCAGTAAAATGAAGTTAATGGAACCATGGAATCTACCTTGGAGAGTTGCTAGAAGAATTAAATGAAGTCACATATGTTTAGTGCCCAGCACAGCGTCCAGCACATAGGTGGTACAGAGTAAGTGGTAATTTTAGTTTTCTTTCTACCCTCTTTGTGGAGGACATTCATGCAAACCCTCTCTTTCCCTTTTTACCTCTTTTCTTCCAGTCTGTTTTTATCCCTTAGAGTATTAAATGCAATAAACAGGATTTGGCTAAATGGACATAGTAGTATTTTTGAAAAAACTAGCCACAATCCAGTTATATCACTTCTCATTCTCCTGAATCAGTGTGTTTAACCTACTGGTTGACATCCATTAGTAGATTATGAAATCCAGTGGGTCACAACCACAATTTTTGTTTATAAATGGAATAGACTAAAATAGGAAAAAGCCACAATGTGTATGCATATTATCGATAAATATTGTTTGGGAAAACCTTTGTTCAGGTCCTGATGTATTTCATACTGTGATTATGAATTTTTGAAAGTTCAGAGAGCTCTTCTAACACAAATTATACACTGTACAAATTCTGTGTTGTTTTTCTTTCACTGAGAGCTTTTTTAAACATGATGTTACAATTTCCTTATTCATTATTGCACAGTGGCTCTTCTATGGATAAGCATTGGTACTGAAGACAGTACATTAGTCCTGGTGTTTTTAGCCCGGAAGACTGGGCAAAGCGGGATAAGCATGCATTGCTGTGAAGCGCATCAGAGTTTTGGAGCAGAGTCTGGGTAGAGCATGTGTGGTGGGAGGTAATGATCCCAATGCATAGGTTCTTATTCTAGTTTTTTGAGGGTGCTTTGGGGTCAGTTACTGTTCCTTTACCTGAAATAAGTTAGAAAAAGAAAAGGAGGAATTGCAATTTATTTGCAGGGAAATAATGAGCCTTAGTGAGTTGTATTTGGTAAAGTGCTTTGATATCACCTCAAAGGCATTCCTGAAATTATTCTTCATTCTATGCCTAATGGGTTATATTTTGAAGTTGTGATCCAATTATTGCTAACATAGTACTTTAAATTCCCACTGTGCTGGGCACATTAACGAAAATCCCTTGAGTAGATCTGCCTCTGTGCACCTTAATTCTTGTTCGTACACCATCCAGTATGTAAATATTTCTCTAGTGCTTTTTGTGTTCTGAGCACCGTGGATGAAAATGATAGGAAATGCCTTTCAGCTTATGACTTTGCTCAGCTGCTCTCTGAGCACTGAGGAGTTTGTCTTCCTAAAAACGGTAAACTAGCATTCTTATTAAGTTGCTATTTGAGTTTTATGTCCAGAGCTGCTGCTGGTGGGCCCAGGGGTTGTGAAATTTCTTGGCCGTGAGTTTGAAAATGGTTGAATAAAATATAATTAAAAACAAGCAGGCCAGGTGCGGTGGCTCACACCTGTAATCCTAGCATTTTGGGAGGCCATGGTGGGTGGATCACCTGAGGTCAAGAGTTTGAGACCAGCCTAGCCAACATGGTGAAACCCTGTCTCTACTAAAAATACAAAAAATTAGCCAGGTGTGGTGGTGGGTGCCTGTAATCCCAGCTACTCAGGAGGCTGAGGCAAGAGAATCCCTTGAGCCCGGGAAGCAGAGGTTGCAGTGAGCCGAGATCGCACCATTGCACTCCAGCCTGGGCAACAAGAGCGAAACTCCATCTCAAAAAAAGAAAGAAAGAAAGAAAAAGAAACAAGGAAATCGTAGTACCATAAGAGGAAAGAATGACACACTCCTACACTCCTGCAAGACATCCAAGATTACAAAAAACCAGACTGCTGGTTCCTGCTGGGATGATCACACTACAGCTGTGCTAGATGACCACACCCCAGGTACACAGATAGGCCTGACCTGTGTTTATCTTATGGACTTGAGAGGAGAGGCTGCCCTTTTAAACACTTTTTTTATTGGATAGACTTTACTGGTGCTTAGGTAGGGGCTAAAGTCAGAACAGATAATAGCCCTTCAGTCATAATCTTTTAAAAACTGGCTTTTCTGGCTCCAATTCTGAAATTGCCCTGACACTGTAGTCTAAAGGATTAGAAAGCGAGCTCTAAACCAGAGCTCCAGGAATCAAATGGTACTGGTACTATCAATAAAAGAAGCCAGGGAACCAACAGGTACCTTTCTTTCCTCGCATTCTGGTTTCTGCATGTGCGGGTGTGTGGATCTTCCTCCTCCTCTGTAACTTTTCCACTTAGAAATGAAATTGACCTTTTTTCTTCTTTTCTTCCAGACTCGCTCTTTACTGAGCGTGTTTGAAGAAGATGCTGGCACCCTCACAGACTATACCAACCAGCTGCTCCAGGCAATGCAGCGCGTCTATGGAGCCCAGGTATGCTGCCACCCCTCACCTGGATACCGCAGAGTGGGCATTCTCTCCCCTCATCCTGAACTTCCCTCAGAGGTTGAGAAATTGGAATCCGAAAAACATCATTTAAGATTTTGAAACAAAATCAGAACTGTTTTCTCACTACTTTTCACCTCAAAAACCTAAGGACAGTCTGTTCTCATTGCTTAAGAGTGATTTGTCTTTAATTAGAACCATTAGAGATGGGCCACATAACTGCTCCTAATTTTTTTTTTTAAATTCAACCCAGTGGGAAACATTTGAGTCTCCTCTTCCTACTTGTGAATAAGTGGGTCCAGTATTTTGACACATACTCTTTGTCTTTTTCATAAATGGGCAGAGTCTTAGATGTCAGTGTGGGAGGGCAGAGATGTTTTTTCAACTGCTTCCTCTGAAAAGACTTGAGTCACAGTTCTGAAACTATCGGGTGGCTTCTTTGTTTGTGGAACAAATATCTCTGGCTTGCAAAAGCATGCAAAAGAAATTGCTGAGTAGCAAAAGTGAATCTTTTTAATGTCAAGAAGTGCCCATGTATGTTGCTTTCTAAGAGAAGATTTATGAGTTACTTAAAAATAAAATGCTTTATGTTACAAAGCATTGAACACATCACAATATTATGGTAACTGATCATTTTCATTGTTGATTCCTTGCTGACTTAAATCTTATGTGTTGATATTTTTCTCATTAATAATCTCTTAAGGAATATAGATTGGGCATCCCAAATTTGAAAATCCAAAATCCGAAATGCTCCAAAATCTGTAACTTTTTGAGTGCTGACACGACACATAAACGAAATGCTCATTGGAGCATTTTGGAGTTTTGGATTTGGGAAGCTCGACTGATACAGCAAATACTTCAAAATCTGAAAAAATCCTAAATCCTTCTGGTCCCAAGCATTTCAGATGCAGGGTACTTAACCTATACCACATTCAGTAGTATATAGCTCTTACTAATATATATAGTCATTTCTTATTACATAGGTTCACCACTCTATTACTGCTCATTGTTTTATTAGTCATTTCCCATCATATGGGAATAAGACTCAGTCCTTGCCGTTGGGGAGCTGACAGTTGGGTTGGGAGGCAGACAAAGCAATCACCAGAGAGCCTTAGAGGGGCCAGGAGAGGAGAGCCACCTAACCTAGTGGGGTTGTGCTGGGCACGCAAAAGGAGGGTGATTGTAAGAGTTGAGATTTATTGAATACTTAATAGCATCCAGGAACTTCCAGGGGCTTTTATGTTGATTATTTTATTTAAATTCCCCTAACAACTCTGAGGTGGGTATTGTTATTGTTATTATGCCTATGGTATTGGTTGGGAGACTTAAGGATTCTGATGGTGAGAAACTTGTCCAGGTGCACCCATTTAATTCATGGCAGAGCAAATCAGCTGGAGCCAAGCTGAGACTCTTCACTCCTAAGCATAGGGGAGGTGGCAGTAGAAGTGGAAAGAAGCAGCTGTACTTGAGAGGTATTTAGGAGGTGGATTGGTGATTGATTGGGTATGAAGGGGTCAGGTGGTAAAGGATGAATCAAGAATGATGTTCAGGTATTCATCTGGAACGGCAGGGTGGATACATGGGAGAACACAGGAAGAGGCGCAGGGTGCGTATGAGTGTGTGTGCGTGCCTGTGAGTGCATATCTGTCATGGGGATGCCCAACTGTAATTCTCTCTGGAAACACTGATTTTGAGGAGTTCATGGGACATCAAAGTGGATAAAGAGATCTTGTTGAAAGTTCAGATCCAGAGTACAGGGCTGGAGATATAGATAGGCAAACTATGCAGTAAGGTATAAGTGTAACTTATTAATTAGAACTAGCTTTGGGCTGGCCTGTAATCCCAGCACTTGGGAGACCAAGACGGGAGGATTGCTTGAGGCCAGGAGTTTGAGACCAGCCTAGTCAATATAGTGAGGACCTGTATCTACACAAAATTTTTGTAAATATTAAAAAAAGGACTAGAGTCTTTTTTTTTTATTTTTAATTTTCAGAGACAGGGTCTTACTCTGTCACCCAGGATGGAGTACAGTGGCATGATTATACCTCACTGTAGCCTCTAACTCCACGGCTCAAGTAATCCTCCTGCCTCAGCCTCCTAAGTAGCTAGGACTACAGGTGCACACCACCACACCCAGCTAATTTTTTTTCTTTTTGATTTTTGGTAGAGATAAGGTCCTACTATGTTGCCCAGGCTGGTCTGAAACTCCTGGCCTCAAGTGATCTGTCTTAGCCTTCTGAGTAGCTAGAACTAGTTTTAATGACCAAAAGAATTATGTGTTCACCTGTGATTTTATGTGTTTTGTTAAGACATTCAGAATTTAGAGAAATGAGAACTTCGTCAATTTTTGTTTTTGTATTTTTCCCTAAATATTCTAGATTTAAGAAAACAGGAATGTTCTTACTGGGCTTATACCTGAAATTGCTTGCTATTCAGCAATTTGTATTTCGTCACTAAGTGATTTGTCTCTTATTTAAGGCTTAAAAACCCAAGACGTGAGAGACTGTGTCTCTGTCACTCTGAGGAGTCTCTGTTCTGCCTTTCGGTGTCTGTCAGAATCATCTACTTGGGGTTATCCAAACGCTGTCTCATGCATTTTTTTCTGTTGAGGCAGAAAACGACATTTTGCCAAAATTAAGTGGGTCTTTCCTTCCTAGAGGCTGTAACCCAGCTTTTAATGCGCAGCATATGATCATCACGTGGGTTCTCCTGCTGGCCAGAAACCCTTCCTCCTGCCTCAGCGTTTCCTGCAGCACAGGCTGGTGAGAATGTCTGGTTAGTGCTGCCAGATTCAAAGACAGAGTCAAGCAGTGATCAGCTGTGTTCAGATTGGCTGGGCCAAGGACACTTGGTTTTTCAGGTTTCTTTGAAAGCTTAGGTGTTTCGTTTTGTTTTTAATTGAAGAAAGAAATCTTTTCTGATTCCTGTTTTGATCTGTTTGTTTTCATATATATATTTTAAGATAGTATATTTCTCAGTGTTTTCATTCAAGTTTTTTCCCCTAAAGTTATGTTTTCTTGGTTTCATTGCACGTTATTCCATAAATATTTTATACCTAGGCATGTTGAATTTGATTGATAGTTTTATAATTTCCTTTGTAAAAACAGACTCTCCGCAAGATACAGTTTTTCATTATCATATTTTCAAAAGCAGGCTTACGCTGCTGATAAATGATAAGTGTTCATAAAAGATATTTTAATCAGACTACACGGTATATTTCTGGATGCTGATATTGCGAATGCCCTTCAGAGACCTTAGTTTTAGAAAGAGGAAGAACAAGAAAAACTAGAGGAAAACTTCTATGAGCAGTTTTGCTGATTGTGGCTAGTTTGGGGAAATTTTAAATTTTGTTTGTCTTAACCTCTAGAATGAAACTATAGGCTCTAAGCTGTTTTCAGCATCTTACAGTAGTCCCTGGAGTCACGTCTGGCAATAGTCCATTGTGGGTCCTTTGAATGAAAGTAGTAGTGTACCTTTCCAGTGCATTAACAGAGAAGAGCCTGGTTACTTAGAACAGTCTATTTTTCAAACTATTGGCTAAATAAGTTAAAAACTTCAGTTATGTCTAAATAGATGCATATGCATATATATTCAGTTAATTCTCAAATTTTGCATTCAACACATTTAATATTTATTTTCATTCTGCATCTCGGCCATAATATTCTTCTTTCCTAAAGAGGTTTAAAATTTTCTAATCTTTTAAAATGGATTTGTTAGGGGCTTACAGTGAAATTTATTTAGGTCATCTTGCTTCTCCTCTCAGCTGTTGTACTGAGAAAGTGGGGCCAGGGGTAATAATGTTCCTGGCAGGCAGGACAGGAAGGCTATCCCCAGCGGTATTCACGAAACCTGGCAACCCTTGTAACCTGGCATTCTCTTCCACCAGATGACAAACCTCTGTAGTTGCTACCTTCAGTTTGTATGAGATTTTTTGGTTTTGTTTTTGCTTTTTTTTTTTTAAGTAAATTTGGGATGGAATTTTTTTGAAATGAGAACCGTGATTAAGACTCTCACTTTCCTTCAGCAAAGCAGGTTTAATTTAACAGTTACATGTCTGCAGTCGTTCTTAACCAAAGCTTTCAGAATACAGAACTACTGATCCTGAAAGTTGATCTTAAAACTCCTGATCCTAGAAGCCCGAATTGGAGGTGGAAGTAGTATTTTCTCAAATTGGGGTAAAGACAGTGGGAGGGAATAGGAGTAAAGTATGCATAATTTGGTATATAAAGAAAAAAGTACTTTTCTTTAGAATGATGATATAGATAGCAAGCTAAACAAGTGAATGTACCGAGTGGGAAACCAGATGACAGTAGTGAGCATCCAGGAGTGTGAGTTTGTCATGGGGGAGGGAGAAGCACCTAGGAGGCAGATCAGGGTCACAGCTGCATGTTTTAAGAGTGAAAATAGTGGCCTTTCTTAGGCACATAAAAGTGCCACGCACTAGGCTGGCCACTCAGCTTTCACAACAGAGGGGAGGTATTTGTATAGTATGTGCTTACAGATGAGGAAGCTAAGACTCAGAGAAGTTAAGTAGCTTGCCTAAGGTCACACAGCTGATGAGTGGCAGAATTTTAAACCCAGATCTTTGACTGCAAAGCCTGCGTTCGCTCTTAACCACTATGCTTGCTCTCCTGACACGCTAGCCACCATTAATGGCAGCAGAGGCCAAAGAAGTGTAAGCTTTTAGAGGCTCCTCTTGTCATCATGGAAGAACCACCCTTGTTTATCAGCCCACAGCTTTGTAATACGCTAGAGGCAGGACCCAGTTCCTTTTTGTATCCCAGAATAACTTTCTTGGTTTCATTAGTTTTTATCCATAAATGTTCTAATCAGTGTGTTTTAGCAGCCCTGAAAACCAGTCACATTGAGGCTTATCTGACAGGGACTGAGAGGAGGTGCATATGTAGCTTAAGGTCGGAGGGAGCAGAGGGCGTGAATGGCTCTTGGTAATGACTTCTTAGACCTGGGTTCTGCACTTGGTCTGCAGCTTTCCCTCATGCTGGCATTGGTAGCTTTCAGATAGCAATCTAAAAGCTGTTGATTGCTTTTAGATTATTCTGGGTGAGGCTCACTCACTCAGGTACAGGAGTTAAGTGTGTGACCTTGGACTTCACAGATCTGAGTTCCAGTCTTGGCTCAGCCGCTTGCTGTGTAACCTTGGGCAGGTCGAGCCATCATCAGTTGATTGCCTGAGTTTCCTTATCAGCTAAACAAAGGCCATAAGAATACCCACCTCAGAGGGTTCTTGTGAGTTAATCATGTTAATACCTGTAAAATGCTAAGATCAGTCTCTGCTCACAGAGTGCTCTCAGTGTGAACAGAACCGTCTTCTGTTTTATGATAATAATAGTTGCAATAGCACTGTACACTGGCACTGCTATTTGGGTTAAATAGAAGTTTAGTCCTCTCATCCTTTCTTGAAGGAACAGCAGTATGTGCCATCTTTGGCTCCTCGCCAAACATCTGATATTTGTTCCTCAAGCCACCTCAGTCTGGTCTTGGCCTCCACTTTGCATGGGAGGCTGCTTAGTGCCTGGCTCACAGCCTCTCTCCACTCTGCCCATGGGCAACATCTGATTCTGTTAATAACACCCCCCTCGAAACTGTCTTCCATTGGCTCCTCTGACAGGCTGTCTCCTGGCCCCCTCCTGGGCTCTGCCCCTTGTTCTTGGTGGTTCCCTGAAGTCTTGGGGTCCTGCAGAATTCCTTTGGAATCCTTCTCTGGCGAGTCTGTGTTCACTCCCTGGGCAAGATCACTTTAGCAACTACCTGGCCATTTCTGAATCCTTTTCTGGCCCTTGCCACTTTCCAGACTCTGGGTCTTTATTCGAAACAACGTTTGCCTGTTGTTACTGTGCAGAGTTAGCTTTAGCTCTTCCCTGGGCGATTGCAGTTCCTGTCGTCAGGAAGACGTCTTCCCCTTTTCATTCTTCCTCCACACCGCAGCTGGATTACTTAAAACCTTCCCGTCACCTCCTCATCTTCAGACGCCTCCGTGGCTCTCTGTAACCACAAGGAAAAGGCATAAAGTCCTCAGCAAGGCATGCTAAATCCTTCATGAGCTGCATCTCAGCCTGCTCCTCTTGTCTTGTTGCTGGCTGTCCCAGAACATGCCAGACCTTTTGCACACCCTCCACTCTTGCTCTGCCACTCCTGCTGCCTGTTTCTTTATTAACCTGTTGCCCTGGCAGATGTCTTTCCTGGCCTCTGAGACTGACCGCAAGCCTGACAAAGTTTCTCTGACACCTTTTCTTCCTTCCTCCTCTCCCTTCCTGGCCGAAGTGCCATTGCCCTTCGCCAGTGTGCCCAAATGCCTTGTACACTTGTTGGTCAGAGCACTTAAGACATAATGACGGGGTTTCCTTGTCCCTTCATGGACTCTCAGCTCCCAGAGCTCAGAGTTAGATGTTGCCAGTGCCCTACACCATGTCTGGCCCCATTCAGTGTTTGGTAGGTAGCAGTCTGGCCCCATAGGTGTTGAATGAAGGACTGAATTTGGGACAGCTCCACCTAAAAGCAAGGACATCTCAACGGCACACTTTGTTGTCATTTCCAAATTCATATCCCCTCCTCAGTTCCTTGGCTGAAGGCACCGTTCTCCATCTGGCCTTCCACATGGGCAGCACAGTTCTTTCTGACTCCCCCGCCTTCCTCACTCACCACACCCTGCTGTTTCTGCCTCAGGAATACCTCCATGCCCCGCTCTGCACTGTCTGCCTCAGGCTCAGACACTTGTTTATCTCAGCTTCTCCAAGTGGCCTCCTGATCAGTCCCCCTCATCTATTCTCTCTCCCACTTCAGTGTTTTCTTCCCACCACCACCACTCCTGGTTTTCTTCCACCCGTGCCTGAGCTTCTCATACTCCTGCCTGAGTTCCTTGGTGCTTCCCCACTGCCGCTGGAATAAAGTCCAGGTCCAGCAGGCATCCCCCCGTGGCCTGCCTCGCATGAGACGCTCCAGCCGCGTTCTTGCCACACCCCTCACTACTCCCTGTGTGCATCCTGTCTCGAGGGGCTCCTGAACTAGTGCGACCCGTGACCGCCAGCTTTGTGATAAACACTGGGTACTGAATGTGACTAGGCAACATCTCCAGCCAAATAGTTGGTATAGATCGATGTGGATTTCCTCCACCCCACTCTCTAGCCTCTCCATTCATATTCACCGTGGATGCTGCTGCGCACAGAGGCCCTTGGGGGTTTCAGGTGACAGTTGCATTTAGTTAGCGTTCTGTGCTACAGAAAGATAAACATTCCTTTGCCAAATGCCCAGTTTTCCTTTCAGGCTTGCTAGCCACTTGATTTTCTGCCTTGGCAACAGCCCCGGGAGGTTCTGTTGAGCATGGGAGATGCTGTCAGCAAACCCTCCTCAGGGTGTCCTTTCAGGGCTTCTCACAAAGCGGTGCATAGTGTAGATGGCAGCCAGAGCGGCCCAGAGTGCCCAAAACAATGCTGCTCATGGAACTCCATTGAGAATTCCCACTTTAGCCCACGTCTTTTGCTCTTCTACCACTAGAAAAGTGTGGGACTTAGGTTCATATCTATGGGCCCTACAGGTCCTGCCCACCTGAGTATTGAGTAGGTGCAATTTTGGACTTTAGATTGGAATAGCATAATAGTCAGAACATGAGCTTTTGATTTCGAGTCCTGCATTAAGTTGTTGCCTGCCAGTCACTAGTCATGTGGCTTTAGAAAGTTATTTATCCTTTCTGAAGCTTAGTCTCCACGTTTACAAAATGGAAATAATAATAGTATCTACTTCATGGGTGCACTGTGAGGATTAAATGTGATAATATATGAAAAACATTTAACAGCAACATCAAGCACTTAGGGCAGACTCAGGGTTAGCAGCTATCTTTATTGATGTTATTGCTAATATTTACTCCTCACTCGGGCTCCAGTTTTGCAAGTCCTGTTGTAGAGATATTTTTGCAGGCCTACCTCACAGGGCACAGGGCGTGGATTAATTAGCTGATGTTGGTAAAGCATTTCTTACAACCTTTGTGTACAGTAGCTTAAGTATGAGTAAGATTAAAGTTGATCTCTTTTGAAAGACTTTTCACACAATGTGCTCTGTTCAGGGCAGGTGACAGGCTGTGTTGTAAGCATGTTGGTTTCCGATGAACTCATACTGGCTGCACAGAATCATAGTTGGTCTTGCACCCTGAAATATTACACATAGGAAAACACGCAGCATTTTCAAATGGTATTCCTAGGAGAGACCCAGAGAGTCTGGTTGTTCGAAGTCGTTTTGGAAGGCAGCTGTTGTGTGTTGCACGCTGTGCCCCTTCTTCCCTGAGCGGAGGTGGAGCTGTGTGGCTGTGTGAGTGGCACATGAGTGCTCTCCCCTTGAGCTTTGGGTACAGCCTGATGCTGGCAGTTCCCTGGCAGGTCTTTCCATTACATTCGGAGCATTTGCCAGTAAGCTCTGAGGAAGAACTTGAGTGGCCCATGGTCCCTGCTTGTTTGGAAGGCCTGGAGGGTGGTTATATGTGTTGACCAGTCTCTGAAGGAGGCATATATGGGGAAGTAACATATTAGAGTTGACTAAAATAAAGAAAAGAATGAATTAGAAGAGTAGAAGCTCCTGGGATCTGAAATGGTGTAGCTTAAGAGAGCCTCCTGCAGAGGGTGTGGCAAAAGAATGGGTCTTTGAGACATCTGATGACAAAGCAGGATCAGTAATCCATGGCTCTTGGGCCAGCATCTTATTTTTGTAAATAAAGTTATATCAGAATGAAGCCACATTTACTTGTTTATATGTTATTTCTGGCTTCTTTTGTGCTACAAAGCAGAGTTGAATAGTTGTGGCAAAGACCATATATGGCCCACAAGCCTAAAATATTTACTCTCTGGCTCCTTACAGAAAAAGTTTGCCCACCCTAGTGTAAAGCAGAGGCCTTCTCCTCTCCTGCCTTGTGGTAGAACTTGGGATCTCAGTAGCATTTAGGAGTGTGGATTTTAGAATCGGACAGCTCCAGGTTCACATCCCAGCCCTGCCACTCATCAGCCGTGTATCCTTGCACAGGTGGCTTAATCTCTCAGTGCTTCAGTTTCTTCATCTATAAAATAGAGTTATTAATTAGAACCTGCTTTTACAGGGTCATTGGAATTAGATGAGGTCGTGCACAGAATGCATTTAGCATAGGGTCTGGCATGAATGAAGCCCTCTGTAAATGTTAGCTGCTGTTACAATGATTCTGTGGGTCTGCAAATCATGTTCCACATGGTGCTGCCCTCAGGAACATGCCAAGATAGCTTGAATGAATCCATCTGCTGCTAACTCAGAAAGAAGGAGCACGAGATTTTCAGTCATAGCTGAGTATCAGCCCAGTGAGTGAGATAAGACCTTTGTTTCCATGCACTCTGATCTTCAAAACAACACTGCTAAAGATGGTTGACAGGTAGTAGTCTCTGGCCAATTGCTTTGTATTTTATTTCATTTGTGATGTTTCCTTGTACAGTTAGGAAGGATTTTAAAACCCTTACACCATGATTTCAGGTATTGTTTTAAACTTGGAATTTAGATGAATCTTCTAATCTTGTTCATTCATTCATTCATCAAACATTTGTTGAGGGCTTGCTGTGTGCTAAGAATTGTTGGACGTTCCTATCTGAATGAAGGACATTGTGCTTGTGGCTTTGTCCACTTGCTGACTTCCTGACTATGTGGCTAGAAGTCACATTTCTGGTTAGTTTTGAAAGGGGTTGAATACCAGTAGGATGTCAGAGCCAGGCACTTTTGTTGTATTTGTCTGACTTTCTTCTGAGGAAAAAGAGCCACGTTTCCTGGTCTATTAATGCCTATTCCTTAGGGCAGAGCAGGAAGTCAGGGAACAGGTTGGCCAGTTGTCTGCGAAGAGGGTCAAAAAAAGGTAGGACTTGGCTCTACTGTATTCTGCCAAATAGGACTGGGAAAAATAAAATAAGCTCCTGCAGAGCTCAGGACTTAGCCTTAAAGGAACAACAACCCCAGGAGAAATAGCCAGTGGAGGCCAAGGCCAAGGAGGTAGGCCAGTGTCCTCCCATCATCTGTGCCATGTCAGACCCAGTGGCTCTGCTCCTTAGGAATAAACCCTGAATCTTAAGCTTTAACTGAGCTTTAGAAATGTAAGGCAAGTTTTCTAGGCTGCCCACATCAGTGGTAGGAGGATAGTGGTAGAAAACCGCTGTGTAGCCAGAGATTAGAGGAATAAACAAGAGGAGAGGAAAATGAGCAGTACGGGCTGGTGAAAATGGCACAAAACAGGCCTCCCAGGGCATCGCAGCTCTTGAAGAGCAGTGTTTCCTCTGGTTTTCTGGGATACTTGGGTTTAGCTGTGCTTCTGTTACCATCCATCATTGCCAGCGAGTGTTCTAAGCCTGGTGGAATCTGACCTTGTCATATGCTGCTTCAGTCCCCACTGTGCTTCCAGTATGTGTGAGCCTGGGCCCCGGGGGCCTGCACACCTTCCCACTGCCTCATTCCCAGCCTGATATCACCTCCAAGCGCACAGCTCTTGCCCCAGCCACGCTCCACTTCAGAGCTGTTCAGACAGGCAGTGCATTTCTTCCACGTGTTGGCGCCTCCTGGAAAGCTCGTCCCCATGGCTGACTCCTAGTTTGTCTTCAGAACATCTGTTCCCTGGAGACTGTCTGTCAGAGCCTCCCAACACAGCCAGTATTTTTCTTTTGCAGTTCTCATCACACTTGTAACTATTTTTTTGATGCGTGCTTCCCTGAAAAGCCCCATGAGGACAGGGACTGTGCCCTTGTTGAATGTCTGGCACATTATAATTGCTCACTACATTTCTTTATGGACTGACTGACCAGAAGGAGCAGTCATTTGTAAAGGGTTAAAAAATAAAATAGCAAGCTTTAACCTTTTGATTTGTTTTGGTATTGTTTTCCAAATGTCTGAACAAAACATTTTATTATTTGACAGGCACACACATATGCTTTCTTCTTCTTTTTTCTTTTAGCTCCATATGGTGGAAAGGGATTTTTTTTTCTTTTATAATTTTTTTTTAGAGACAAGGTCTCACTCTGTCACCCAGGCTAGAATGCAGTGGCACAATGATGGCTTACTGCAGCCTCAACCTCCTGGGCTTAAGGGGTCCTCCCATCTTAGCCTCCTGAATAGCTGGGACTACAGGTGCATGCCATCCTGCCTGGATAATTAAAAATGTTTTTATTTTGCAGAGATGGAGTTTTGCTGTGTTGCCTAGTCTGGTCTCAAACTCCTGGTCTCAAGTGATCTTCCTGCCTCAATCTCCCAAAGTACTAGGATTATAGGTGTGCACCACTGGACCCAGCCAATATTACTTTTTAAGGGATTCTCAGAGATGGCATTTTTCAGTGACTATGTATACATTGGACTAATCTTACTTGCTTTTTCTCTTCTCTCCACAGAATGAGATGTGCCTGGCCACACAACAGCTTTCTAAGCAACTGCTGGCATATGAAAAACAGGTAACTTGGTATTTATGTGGCCTGTGATGCTGCTGTGTTCAGGACTTTCTTAAGTGGAATTATCCAGAGGCATCCTTAGAGACCTAAATTATTTGTTTCATTTTCTTCATAGTTTTTTTGTCCTGTCTTTTCCCTTCCACTGATGTATTGAAATCAGTGATTATCCCAAAGTCTTTATGAGGTATTCTAATTAGCCTCTAGAAGTAATTAACTGCCATTGAGGGTTCCAAGTCTCCAAGGAACTACAAGTGAATCAACATTAGCAATTCCAGGAAATAAACACTCAAATAAAGTCAAAAAATATGTTTGACAGAAAGGAATGGCCAGGGAGGGTCAGATGAGTGCACCCTGGGGGCAGGACAAAGGGGATAGCTGTGACTCCCTCTTCAGGTAGACACTTCTGATAGGACGTGCTCTTGGAGAAGAAAGGACGTCGGTGTGGAGGGTCGTGTTCTGCAGGTGATGCTTCGTGCTGAATTCCCCAGTATTCACTTAACACCTGCTTCTTTTATTCTTTGGTCTTAGAACTTTGCTCTTGGCAAAGGTGATGAAGAAGTAATTTCAACACTCCACTATTTTTCCAAAGTGGTGGATGAGGTAAGATAGCAACATAGAAAATTTGTATTTGATTCTTTCTCGAACTTTCTTTTGTTGTTATTTTGGCCCACTTTCCATTTTTAAATTTCTACTTAAATATCTGAGAAGGTATCTCAACTTCTTGATCTTACAAAGCTCCTTTCCTAGGAGAGGTTATACACTAACTATTAATGTTTGTTTCTGGTTTGAGGGGAATGGCTTCGATATATATGAAGAATAGACCAAAAGAAAGATTTCTGAGAATTCGGTTTCTAAAGGAGAGTATATTAGTTTCTCAGATTGCCATAGTAAATTACCATGAATATGTAGCTTCAAACAACAGAACTTTATTCCCTCCCAGTGTGCTGTAGGCCAGAAGGCTGAAGTCAAGGTGCTGGCAGGGCCACACTGCTTCCGTTGGCTCCGGGGAGAATCCTCGTGCATCTTTTGGTGGCTCCAGGTGTTCCTTGGCTGTGGCAGCATCACTCCAGTCTGGCTTTACATCCCCTCTACCCCCCATGTTTTTCCTCTTCTGTGTCTTCTCTTTTTATACAGGCACTTGGCATTGGATTTAGTGACAATCCAGGATGATCTCATTTCAGGATCCTTCATTACATCTGCAAAGACTCTTTTTTTCAAATATTCACATGTTCTGGGTGGTCATATCTTTTAGGGGAGGGTCACAGTTCAACCCACTACAAAGGGTTTATTTTTATATTTTTTTCTCATTTTTTAATTTTGTAGGGATGGCCTCTTGCTTTGTTGCCCAGGCTGGCCTCAAACTGTGGCCTCAAAGGATCCTCCTGTCTAAGCCTCCCAAAGTGCTGGGGTTACAGACATGGGCCACCATGCCTAGCTTACTACAAAGGGTTTAATACAACTGTTCTTATAGCTATATTTTACAGTACATTTGGAATATTTGTAAAAAACGAAACCAGGTATTATAGGAAAAGTGCATAAATTCTAATTGTAAAAAACATAAGAGCTCAGATGCTACTAGTGCTGGACAGAACTCTGCAAAATTAGGTAGATATAAATAGTTCCATCTTTTTTTGTTGTTTATAAGACGGAGTCTCGCTCTGTTTCCCAGGCTGGAGTGCAGTGGCGCAATCTCGGCTCACTGCAAGCTCCACCTCCCGGGTTCACACCATTCTCCTGGCTCAGCCTCCCGAGTAGCTGGGACTACGCCCGGCTAATTTTTTGTATTTTTAGTAGGGTTTCACCCTACTAAAAATCTTGGCCAGGATGGTCTCGGTCTTCTGACCTTGTGATCCGCCCACCTCGGCATCCCAAAGTGCTGAGATTACAGGCATGAGCCACCGCGCCTGGCCAAATAGTTCCATCTTTTAAGGAGTTTGAATACTCAAAAAATCATGATAAAGAATAAACATAAAGGAGTGTGCAGATGCCATTTAACTGACCAGTTATTGATCTGCAGTAGATACTGTCTTCAGTTTACAAAATGAGAAACTAACATTCATATAAAACTGTACTGATTGCATTTTCGTTTATTCAACAAACCAGTTCAACAAGCCATTATTTATTCAACAAACATTTATTGATGACCTCCTATTTAGCAGACGCTGTTCTAGGCACGGGGGATGTAAAAGTGAACACGTCATATGATTTTTATTGGGCTTTGTCCTCTACCCTACTAAACAGTAGGAAAAAGACAAACTCATTCTCTTTCTATACTTTCAGCACTCAGCACACTTTGGTCACCAAAATGTGTGGGTTTTCCCCACATCAAGCAATTCTGTGACACTAACTGGCTGTCCTACAATTTAACTCAATTCTGACATATCTACCTGGAGATAGCCTCAGATCCCACAAGTTAAGGGCATGATCCCGCCAGACTACCCCCTCCCCCACACTTCAGATGCCAATTGCAAGTCTAGGCCTCTGGTACTTCTGACAAACGAGCTATAAACTAGGGGTTCCTGCAACATCCCCCTGGGATTTGATTATTTTCTAGAATGGCCCACAAATCAGGGAAACACTTAAATTTACCTTTATTATAAAGGATATTACAGAGGACACAGATGAACAGCCAGATTAAGTGATACATAGGGCAAGGTACAGGGGAGGCGGCGTGGAACTTCCGTGCCCTCTCTGGGGACGTCACCCCTCTGGGCTCTGCCAGGTGTTTTAATGACCTGGAAGCTCTCCAAACCCTGCAGTTCAGGTATTTTTATTGGCAGCTTCATCACATAGATGTGATCAACCTCCAGCTCTCTCCCGTTCCTGGAAGATGGGGGCGGGGCTAAAAGCTCCAAGCTCATAATCGTGGTTTGGTGTTTCTGGTGACCAGCCCCTATCCTGGAGGCCACCAGGAGTTGCCTCATCAGAACAAAAGACACTCCCATCATCCAGGAAATTCCAAAGGATTAGGATCTCTGTGTCAGAAACTGGGGTCAAAGACCAAGTATTATAACAAAATATGCTCCTAGCACTTCTATTGATGAGGAAATTACAAGGGTTTTCAGAGCTCTATGCCAAGAACTGGGGGCAAAGACCAAATACATATTTTTTATTATATCATGATATCACATGCACTGCGTGGCTCTCTCTCAGATGTGTTGAAATGGATAAAAGATACATAGAAGATGTGATTATAGAGGAGCAAAAGTGATTTTTGGAAGGTTGGGGAAGAGTTTTCCTTAATGAACAGTAGAAAGATAACCCAGGGCGAGAAGCAATAGACTACACTCCTGAGTCACATGTTTGCTTGAGAAGAGAGTTGCTAAGGAAACGCGGTTAGTTGTCGAAACCCCAGAAGCAAGATTTCCAGTTTAAAATATTTACTTACAACCACGTTGTCATGGGCAGGAATGATGATTGTTTTAGTAGGGAGTGAATAGTTCCCAAAGGATGGAAGTATGGTTTTTATTTTTTTATTTTTTGAGACAGAGTTTTGCTCTTATTGCCCAGGCTGGAGTGCAATGGCACGATCTTGGCTCACCGCAACCTCTGCCTCCCGGGTTTAAGCAACTCTCCTGCCTCAGCCTTTCCAAGCAGCTGGGATTACAGGCATGCACCACCACGCCCGGCCAATTTTGTATTTTTAGTAGAGACGGGGTTTCTCCATGTTGGTCAGGCTGGTCTTGAACTCCTGACGTCAGTGATCTGCCCGCCTCAGCCTCCCAAAGTGCTGAGATTACAGGTGTGAGCCACCACGCCCAGCCAGAAGTGTGGTTGTTACAGGTAGTATCATGGCACCCTGGAAGAGTTAGCTCTGCAAGGAGTTTTCAAACAAACCTTTTGATGTAAAGACCCAGAAAGTGATAGCAGTTAGCCCAGGTGGGGCCTAAATCTGGGAAGAGGGGAGTAGCTGTTCTCTCTACCTGGGCCTAAACCAGGTTGAAAAAATTTTAAGGCAAGTTATTTGACTCAGAAATTACAGGAAAGTTCAACAAAAAGTAGAAATTTATGTGGCTTACACCTGATAGAATGCGTTGGAATGAGATCTTCCATGTTATAAGTCACACAGAGATTTCCACGCATGGTGATTTCCCTAAAAGCAGAGTTTCTGGACCACTTCTTTTGAGTGCACCTGAGACAGGATGTCATTGTCATTAGAGTCCACTGATTGAAGACCGAGCATATATGCCAGGCACTCTGCTCTGAGTGTGTCCTGTTCATGTCACTGTCTTGTCCTCACATGCCTTAGCCATGCAAGGAAGATGCTGTTGTCCCCATTTTCTATATGGTGATGCTAAAGTTGTGAGAGGTGATGCATTCCCCTTCCATTCTCCTGAGTGAAGGTGCTCTGGTTAGCAGTGATTATCCTGTACAACTCACAGCTCAAAAGCCCCATGTTAAAAGCTGATGACATAACCCCCTTAATTCTTGGGGAGAAAATGAGTAGCTGGGAAATGTACCATTTCTGTAGTGCATAACCATTGGAAAGACACTTAATCTTTCTGAGTTTTGGTTTCTCCATCTTATATGGCATCAGCAAGGCCCACTTAATTGGGCTATTATATTGATTGAATTAAATAATGTCTCTCAAAGCGTCAAGCACAGAGCCTGTTAACTGTTAATGAAAAACAGTACCTTTCTTATAGAAGTTATTCTGGAAAAGTAGTCATCACATTCTGTTCTGAAGGCATTTACTGGCATGGCTGTCTTCCTGTGTTACCCTCAAATACAGCTGCCATGCTTTGACTTGGTTGAGCGATAGGGAAAGTGTTAGCAGTTTGCCCCGGTGCTTCCTTGCCTGGCAAATGGTTGACCTTAGGCAAGTCTTTAAGCTTGTAAGAGTGGCCTCTGAAGCCACAGCCTCGAAGGACCAGATCTGTTGGGAGATGCGTGTGCAGAAGGTTGATGAATATGCGTGACTGCCAGCACTGCTAAAAGAAACTTTGCCACATGTTGAATCCAAAAGTGATTGCTGGGTGATTTCCCCTTAGTCACCCAGCAGGAATCCCAAAATATCTGGAAGTCTGTGGTCTAGTGGGAAGATCCCTTCCACTGTATTCATTGCCAACGTCTAGATTCCCAAACGTGAGCATAAAGGACAAATTCTGTATCCCAGGCTATGTAGTGGAAAGTAAACGAATCTTAGATCTCACCAGCCCCAGATTAAAAGCCCAGCTATGCTGTTTATTTGCCCTCTGGATTTGGAGAGCTATTTGCATGTCTGTAAAGTGGTGATGATAAATAATACCTAACTCACAGAATGGGTGAGAACTACTTAGTATTGAGCGTATAAAGCTGGCATGCAAAAAGTACTCAAAAATGCACTGATAGGGATAATTTTTATTTCTCCTAGATAATTTACAAAGATAGAATTTACTCAGTCCTTGAGGTAGAAGGGGAGAAAGAGTCAAGGGCTGTTAAAATCATCTGGTGAGGAGCATCACATCCAAATGCAGTTATCTTATTCTCAGGTCCTTTTCTAGACTAAAGGTCTGAAATCTGGCAGAGTTGTTTTGGTAGGAAGTATTCTTTTTTTTTTTTTTTTTTTTTGAGATGGAGTCTCGCTCTGTCACCCAGGCTGAACTGCAGTGGTGCGATCTCGGCTCACTGCAAGCTCCACCTCCCGGGTTCACACCATTCTCCTGCCTCAGCCTCCCACATAGCTGGGACTACAGGTGCCCGCCACCATGCTGGCTAATTTTTTGTATTTTTAGTAGAGACAGGATTTCACTGTGCTAGCAAGGATGGTCTCGATCTCCTGACCTCATGATCCGCCTGCCTCAGCCTCCCAAAGTGCTGGGATTACAGGCGTGAGCTACCACGCCTAGCCGTTAGGGAGTATTCTTTCTCCAGAGTCACTTCCAGGCCCATAGCTGGCCGTGGTTTTCAGGCGAGTAGGTTTCCAGCAGGCCCATCTTTCAGGCGTGGCTTCAGCCTCCCTGGAGAGTGAGAGAGTCGAGCAGCCTGGCGAGGTCCTGAGCCATGACAGCACTGACAGCTGGCTGTGTTCTCTGCAGGCACATCCAGGCATTAGGATTCTCCAGTGGGGTGGGGCCCAGAGTGGGAACACAGAAGAAGCAGAGTCTGCCCAGTGAACAGGGTAACTGTGGGCCCAGACACTCTGTTAGCAAGCTTCATTGGTGCCCTGGTCAGTTAGAACCTTGCATTTCATTTTTCATGCTTCTAGGCCAATATCATTTACTGCTTTATGAAGGGTACTTACTTGCTGAGGAAGTCTGCCTGAGCTCTGTGACCACACGGAAGTGTTCAGTGTGATTCCTTGGTGAAATGAGACTATGTCAATAATAATAATGTATTTAATTTACTTGAATACCATTCTCTTTCTTTCAGCTTAATCTTCTCCATACAGAGCTGGCTAAACAGTTGGCAGACACAATGGTTCTACCTATCATACAATTCCGAGAAAAGGATCTCACAGGTAAAGTAACTGAGTTCAATGCCAGTTACCTTCAAAATATTGTGTAATGCATTTCATAATAATTCTTACTGCATTTCTTTCAATGTGTGGATCGCTGAGAAATGCCTTTCTTTTTGAGCAGTTCAATTCAGTGAACTTTTACTGACTTCCCACTGTGTTCCCGGCTCACCTAAAGGAGATCACAGGCCAGTGAGAAGACAGGTGTGGAAACAGATCGTTGTAATGTCATTTGCTGAGGGTAGCAGGACAGAGACGCACAGGAGTAGAAACAGCACACAGAAAGGCGTGCTAGGGACGGCTTCCTGAAGAAGGTGATCTCTGAGCTGGGTTTTGAAAAATGACATTAAGGCTGTGTTCCAGATTAGGGGACATTTGTAAAGTCATGCTGTTCTTGGGGGAACCGTGAATGCTTTGGAATGGAAAGCGGGGTTTGGAGAAAGGGGAAGACGGGATAGGAACCATGCATTCTCTGTGCTAGACTCTGGGGATGCAGCTGTGAACGATGGATGGGGACTGCTCTTATGGAACTACCAGTTAGTGAGTAAGGGAATCTGTGAGTCAGTCAGAAAACTTAGTTGTCCTTTTGGACTAATTTTGGTTCTTCAACTAAAATAAAGCGTTAGGACAATTTTATATTTCTTAGAAATCAAAGTAGTCACAAAATGCACATAAAAAAGCGTGAATAATCTTGAAAAAACTTCGCTGATGTTAGAAAAGGGACTCCACATTTTCTAGTCCTATTGTCTCTTCATTGGAAGTATTTATTACTTAGAGTTTAAGAATTACATTTTCTAGAACACTGATATAAACAAGTTGCTGGCCCCAAAAAAGCCTAAACCTGAATGCTAAAAGATCTGGTCAGTATATTACTTACTCTTTAAAAATATATCACTTTAAGCTTTTTTTGCGGCGGGGGTTGGGGCGGAGAAGGTTGCAGT
This sequence comes from Homo sapiens, assembly GCF_000001405.40. Taxonomy (NCBI): domain Eukaryota; kingdom Metazoa; phylum Chordata; class Mammalia; order Primates; family Hominidae; genus Homo; species Homo sapiens. The sequence goes on along the minus strand of NC_000012.12, from coordinate 105,210,291 downwards.
AAATCTAAAGACAAGTCTTAAAGGTAAAGATTGGCCGGGCACAGTGGCTCACGCCTGTAATCCCAGCACTTTGGGAGGCTGAGGCGGGCGGATCACTAGGTCAGGAGATCGAGACCATCCTGGCTAACACGGCGAAACCTCGTCTCTACTAAAACTATAAAAAATTAGCCGGGCATGGTGGCGCATGCCTGTAGTCCCAGCTACTCGGGAGGCTGAGGCAGGAGAATCGCTTGAACCCGGGAGGTGGAGGTTGCAGTGAGCCGAGATCGCGCCACTGCATTTCAGCCCAGGCGACAGAGCGAGACTCCGTCTCAAAAAAAAAAAAGGGTGAAGATTTTCCTCCCTTGCTTTGAGATCCCCTGTGTTGGTGTCACCTGAGGCTAAGGAACAAGGATAGAACTGGCATAAACTCTACCTAAGGTCAGTTTGGCAGCACTAAAACTTAATAAATAAAAAATAACAAGTAATGCCTCCATTTGCTTGCATAAAGGGAAACCTTGATTAAACAAAGCAGGAATTTTAGTGCTTTTTAGTGTTGCTCATCTGTCATTGCATAGGAAGCTAAAACATGCTTGCCTCAGTCATCTGCTGATGATTGTGTCCTCACTGAATGCCTTAGTGGGTGCATTTTTTTGAAGGGTTTTCTCTAAATAAAATCATTAGAAGTGAACGGGATGTCATTTTAAAAACAAACTCCAAGTCTGTTTGAAAGAAAATAATCATCTCCTAAGACCTATGTTGTCAGATTTATGTCTTTCAGGTTTGCTTATGGGAGGCAGAACTAGAATTGAGAGTGCCCAGCAGCATTAATGACAGTGGCCTCCATTAATCCAGAGTGACCCCAAATGTGGATGAGTAGTATTTGCCCAGGATGGTGATTTTTTTTAAGTGGAATAAAACTGCTCGTTAGTAGTAAGAAGGAATCTTCTTAGTATCTTTGAAAAAGGTTAAACATCCTTTTCTGATGCCATCAGGACCTCACTTTGAAGTATTTGGCCCCAGGTCATACCTGAGTCAACATCAGACCAAATTAGAATCTGATCTCCCCTCTGCCTAGACAGTGGTGTTTTATCTTACATTTCTCGGCCTTTATTCACTCACCAACACAAGTACATAATCTGAATGAAGAGAACGCAAGAGATATTAAGGAAACTACTTAAAATTGATAAGTAAAGAAACCTAAAACTTGACTCCAACAGGAAATAAAAGATGGGAGAGAAAGAAAGAAAAATGCAAGCAGGAAAGGGCAGAAAGTAGCCTGATACCAAAAGAGTATGAATAACGCGAAGAGCATTTAAAAGCTGGAGGCAGTTTGGAGGCAAATTGAAAACTAGTATAACCAACATAGATGTGAATGGCTTTGCTTTGTTTGATAAAATGAAAATGGATTGTTGTAGAATTGTAGAAAGTGTCACTTTCTTTTAGGTATCAATCGTTGGGTTTTTAAGTTTCTAACCTTGGACGGTCACTGCTCTCAATGATCTTTTTGGATTTTTGGTCTTGGGCTTGGTTCAGCCATCTCTGTGCATGATGGGTGTGGCACTCACTCGGAGTAATAGTTATTGGTGTTGGCTTGTCGCAACTACAGTATGCTAGATCGTGTCACGTTTTTCATTAGTACAAGCACCGCGTATTCCTTTGTCCAGGGATGACTCCAGTAAGTCAGATATTAAAATGGCAACACAGGAAGCTTTTAGGTTCTGGGTGTAGAAAGATGTATTAAGACACTCTATCTGGGGGCTGAGGCATCAGAACTTAAGTTTATACTCCAGGTCTCCATGAAAAGTACCTGTCCACCACACTGTCCAGCCCACCTCCCCGGCGTGCCCTCTCCCTCACAGACCCTCAGCGCTATGTGGAGAGGCAGGGCTGCTCAGGCCATCAGGGTCACTGGGTGTGGGGCATGGTTGAAGCCGTATGTTCCAGTGAGCCCAGGTCCCAGCCTCTGGGCCAGCCTGTGAGAGCCAGGGACTGAGGGTGCAGGGGCTTCCCTTGCACGCATATTCTCTTATTTTCAGGGGAAAGTGCAGAGCTCTGGGTTGGCATGTTTTATTTTTCATTGCTCTAAGACGGTCCCTTTTCTCCTTTTCAGAAGTAAGCACTTTAAAGGATCTATTTGGACTCGCTAGCAATGGTAGGCACCTTCTCCATTCCTGGTGTGTGGGTGTGTGGGCTTACTGTGGCGGGGAGGAGACCCCCAATGAATGTTCTTCCCTTTCGACCCTGACCCTCCTGGGTGTTCAGATGTCTGTTTATTTTTAGAGCATGACCTCTCAATGGCAAAATACAGCAGGCTGCCTAAGAAAAAGGAGAATGAGAAGGTAAGAATACTTTACATGTTGTTTTTCACTTCATTTACATAAAGGCCTTTCATGCCTTCCTCTTGTGAATTTATGGCATGAAAGGGTGCGTGGTTATTTTTTTTTTTAACTATACATGGACTTTTAAAATTGTTCATTCCAAATCTCATAAGTAGACCTCCACTTCTCTATTCTATCTTTTCAAACTGGTTTATTAAACACCAGCTTAGAGCCACTGTAAGATTATGATCACACAGGGGTTTTAACTTCAGCTTGCTGCCTCGTCTGACTCATTTATCACCCAGGTCACTTGAACTCCTTGCCCCAAGTGTTGACTCTGATTCTTTAACCCATGCTTTCTAGGACCTTCGCTACTCTAGATAATATTGACTATTTTCATGCATATAACTTTTTACTTCTGTTACATGATTTCCTTGGGCTAAATTATTTCCTTGGCATACAGTCTTATGAGTGAACTAGAATGTCTGCAGCCTTCTTCAGTACATGCTGCCATATTGTTATCCTGAAGGACTGTAGGACTTTGCACTGCTCCCAGGAGGGTACAGGCTTCACCTCACCGCGGCCTCACAAGCACTGAGATGCTGTTTCTTGCATATTTTTAATTTGGATTTTTTAGAAAGTTGAAGTGCAGCCTTATCTGTGTTTTGTTATATTTGTCACAAAAATGGTTATAATGCATAAACACACATTTTGAAGCACACGCTTTTACAGAATTGTCACGTACAGTAGACAACTTGAAGTTTTCCTTTCACCTTTTAACCAGGTGAAGACCGAAGTCGGAAAAGAGGTGGCCGCGGCCCGGCGGAAGCAGCACCTCTCCTCCCTTCAGTACTACTGTGCCCTCAACGCGCTGCAGTACAGAAAGCAAATGGCCATGATGGAGCCCATGATAGGCTTTGCCCATGGACAGGTAGGGGAGTCCCTCCCTGAGGGCTGAAACCTAAGCTAGCTGTGGCGTTCTGCTGAGAGGGCACGCAGGAGACACTGAAGCATCGTCGTAGAAAGAAACATAAATGCACAATCTCCCTGGCTACTTTGTGGGATTCAGCACTTGGACAGCTTCCAGTTGAGCTGGGTCATCTTCAGCTGGACATGCATTGGCCTCAAGTTAGGCCATATGTTCAGGAAATGAGGCCTGGGTCCCAAGCCTCTCTTGGGGAAGAGCCTGTGTGGCCCTTTTTTTCTAATCCGAATGAAAGCCAGCTGGGTGCAGTTCTCCTAGAAGCAGCTACCACTGGGGTTGGGATAGCTTGCCTGTCACCCAGGATTCCCGGCACTCCTTGCTGCCTGTAGTAAGGCCCCCGCTCTGCTGGCTCCTCAGGTGCACCTCTCCTAGATGATCCCAGCACCTTAACATCTGGGCATGGGGAAACGTTGCCAGTGCTTTATGAGGTCTCCTTTACTTATTGGGTTTCTATCCTCCTATTTAATGGTTGGCTGAATATTTGTCTTAAGAGAGGCTCTACTTTGAGGATGGGGAGTTGACTGTAGTGGCACCAGTGCGGCGGAGACGAGTGACCGTGAGTGTGAGGCTGATGGCACCACCCCCTCACTTTCCACCCCATCCTGCGTTTGCCCCACTCACGTTGTCTCCAAAGCCATCCTTTGGCCCGTGAGAAAGGCACCCAGGAATCTTCTCTCAGTTGACAATCTAGGAACAGAAGGGGATGCGAGGAAGCAAAATGTTATTAAGAAAAAGTCACCAACTTAAAAATACCTGATATATGAACATCTAATACTTCTATAATACATTTTTAAGGCACATATATTAAAAAACAAAAACTTCACGTCAGTGTCATTCAACAAAAAGGGGAATGAGAGAGGAGCTTTAACCCATTTCCTGTTTAGAGAAAAAAAGTGCAGCTCACTGCCAGAACAGTACTCTCAGGGCAAATGGGAAATGGGTTCGGAAGATATCCAAGCTCAGTTGTCTTCCTTGTTAATCTAGTTGTTAGGCTGTTGAATGGTGAGTTCACTGAAGTCAGCCTGTGCCTTTGGAAGTGATACTTAAATAGAGCGATAAAGTCTTTCTGTGTCTTCTGAGTGAAGTAGCACCACCCAGCTGTGGGCGGCATCAGTCCTCAGCAGATCTTGGGAGCTGTCCAGGTGCTTATGATGGGCACTTGTGCACACAGGTGTGCAGTAACTCATACTGTTGCCCTCCCCTCTCCTGCAGGCAGTATCACAGCTGGCAGATGGCCTTGCCATATTAGAGAATGCCGGGGCTCTCTTTGTTCTCTTTAGTTAACCCCTCCTGGATTGACGCCATCCCTCTGGGGCCGTAGCCTTGCTCAGTCAGAGGCCTAGGGTCGGGAAGGGTCTCAGATCTAGCATCTTGGAAGGATGATCAGCTCTGGTCCTGATCGGTCAGTGCTGTAGAACTTGCTTGATAAGAGGGTGTCCTGCAAGGCCTACAGGACAAGCTTGACACCAGCTGGTTTCATTCTCATTCATGGCCAAGGACTACCTCACTGCTCCCAGCCTGGACTCTCTTAAGTGAGTGCTCTGGCCACAGAGGGAGAAGAGGAGCTGTGGGTACCGTAGCACACATGTAGCCCCAGTTCTGGGGGAACAGCAGAGCACACCGTCATTATTCAGTGGCAGGAGCATCATTGTTGAGAGCTGAGAATGGCATCTTTCATTTTTCGTATCCAGATTTCAAGACACAAGACCAAGTAGGCCCTTTCCCTATGCATTATTTTTAAATGCAGATGGAAACAATAGCTCCTTCAATAGCCAGACAAGTTTGTTGCCTGGCACCGTGGAGTGATCTTCTGGATGATTCAGAAGCATTAGCTGTCCTCCTGCCTCATCCGACCTTGGCAATCAGGGTTTATTGAGCCCCAGCCTCTGTGAGCTGATTTTTCCATGAACATAGCACTTCCTGCTGCTCACTAAGGCAGTTGTGGTGGAGACTCATCAGGCTTCTCGGCACCACCCACCTTTGTGGAGGTGTGGGGACTCCATTCCTGCCTTCTCCAGCCCTTGAAGTCATGTTCGGTCCTCATGCCTGCAAACTGAGGCTCTGTAATCAGTGCGCAGGTTTTTGAGAACGGAACAGTGACCTCCAGTGTTACATTGACGGGACAGGCTGTGATGCGGCTGTAGAGCCAGTGTCTTACCTGCCTTCCGTTCATCCATTCGCCCACTTTTCTTAGGGATTATGTGAGCCCCTGCCCTAAGGAGATTACAGAATAGCAGAGGAGCTAAGACATGGCCTAGGAGTGTAAATTCCAAAGGAGTTCAGGGAGGGGAAGGAGAGGGAGGCCACCATGACATTGTGCCATTAGAAATGCAGAGTGCTGATTTAACAAATTAATGATATTAAATGATTAATACTCATTTTGATATTTAACACTTCAGAAGTTCCAAATGGCATTTCCAGTGGTGATCTCTGTATGATTTAAAGATCATGGGGCCAGAACAGTCCCCTGCATGTATCACCTGTGTTAGGATGACCACAATCATCCGTTTTTAACCTGTGATAACTAAGCACATTAGAATACATGCTTTCCCAGGGTATCTGGGGAATAGATGCAAAGCCGTCAGAACTATGCTGAGAATACCTGCTAGCCTCTTCAGGGTCAGAGGTCGATTTTGGTGCCCGCCATGCCAGGAAAGGGAGGCTTCCAGGTCAGACAGACGAGCCGGGTTAATGTGTGAGAGAATACCCTTGCTCACACGGAACGTTTTCTCTCTTTTTTCATCATCTAGGCTTGCAACTGTTACTGTTACCTCCCAACCAGCAGACATAGAAAATGGAGCAGTTCATACCTAATGGGCAGATTTGTAAAAGTCATGGCTGTAGAAGAATGCAAACTGGAGCTGCTCAGGGTGGGATGGTGCAGATGCCACTAATACACAGAAATGTTCTTCTTCCCCTCTCCCATACCCCTGCCCTCCAGGGTTTGTCAGGGGACCCAGACTTTCTGGGAAGTGAATATTAGACAGGAGTTACAGGAAGTAAGGAATCCCTTCCATTGGCACCCAAAAGCCAGCAACTGTGGTTTCAGTTTCAAAGTGCATAGTGCTCAGGTGTAGACTCAGTAGAGATGCTGCCAGTGCCGCGTGCGAGGCGGGCCAGCCAGCTGTGATGGCTGCCCTCACGCTGCCTGTCTCACCTTCAGTGAGTTCACTGATCACTTCCCTGGATGATTTTCAGAATATTATAATTATATCTTTCAGATTAACTTTTTTAAGAAGGGAGCAGAGATGTTTTCCAAACGTATGGACAGCTTTTTATCCTCCGTTGCAGACATGGTTCAAAGGTAATGCTGCACTCCGGCCGGGTCTTGTGTGCCCCTTGCCTTTCATGCTGATCTGACATCTCTGGGAGGTCACGGGGAGGGTTCTAACTGTGGAGGGTCGCACAGAGCCTCTGTCCACCCCAGAAATGCTCGCTAACAGTGCCCTTGCCTTAGCTGCCAATATTCATAAATATCTGGGGCACATTGGCAGAGTTTTCTCCAGATCTCTTGTTGTGAATATTGGAGTTTCACATGTCACAAGCCTGGGAACCCAGCTTAGCTTTGCTGTGGTTTTAGAAGAGCTCTTGACTTTCTTTGAGAGTACGTGGCAGTAGCAGATGGAAGTGCTGTCACTTTTCAGGAAACTCTGACCAGTGCATTAATTTATAATAGGTAAAGGAGGGATAGAGCCTTTTTGGAATTAATTTTAAAAACTGTATTTGCTTATTTTAAGAAATACAACATCACTGTCTTCAGTAGTTGAGTAACTGCCACACTAACTGGAGGCTGTGGGCGCCCTGCCACCCGCCCCTCCCCAGCTTCCATGACAGAGCTCTGAGGGGGGCCCCGGCCCCTGCAGCCTCAGGCTTGGTCCATCCGGAGCACAGCATGGGCTTCCCAAGCGCTTGCGACGAGTTCTGGAGTACAGAAATAGGTCCGTGTGTGTGTGTGTGTGTGTGTGTGTGTGTGTGTGTGTGTGTGTGTGTGTGTGTAGTTGACAAATAGACAAAATGGAAATAATGAATAGGAATTTTATTTCATGTGGATACACGAAGAGAAAGTTGCTCATTTTCTTGAAGATGTTGCATTTCACCACACCTCATGAAGGCTAAACAAGGGAATTGATCTAGGTAGAAGTCTATCTGAAATGCTCCAAAAATAATCAGTCCCAAGAAAAACCAGTGCTGAGCATTGAGACAGATGCAAAGCAAGTTGAGAGCATATACCCCTACCTGAAAGTCACTGAGCTGTTTAGCTCTGAATAATTGGCAGCAGTGAGTGATGTAGCTTTTATTTATAATTATGCTAGAAACCAACTTGTGAAATCTGATTGCAGTTTCTTGCCTTTTAATTTATTTGGTTCTTAGCCCCTGGGAATGTTAGGAGGAGGTAGAAGATGAGAGGCTATTAAATGGTCACTTTGTAAAAGTATCCTCTGTCCCTCATCTTTCACTGTCTCTTCCTCATCCTGCTTTAACTCTCAGAATTCCTCGCACTTCTGTGTTTCTGGAAGAACCATCTATGCCTCAATTTTTTTCACACACCTGATTATTTTCTGAATGGGTAGCAGGACATTTGTGCCCATGCGTGTGAGTTGCCATGGTTTCCTCTTTCTGCAGATCCTAGAGCCTCTGTCTTCCCTTCTTGTCAGCATTTCCATTAACCATTATTAGGCCAACCCAAGTATAGCACCAGCCATCCTGAGAGAACCACAACCCGGGCATTAACGTCAGGGTCTGCGCCCGGGCTACATGGCCTTCTCTGTGCAGGCTGGGGCTGGTTCTGTGAGTTACCCCCTCTGTCTGACAAGCTGTATTTAGTTATGGGGTGACAGGCAGCTGATGGGGTTTCCAAACTGAACCTTGCAGCACTTGATTCAGATAGCTAAAGTACTGTTTTGAATGCTATTTTTCCTGTAATTTTAAATTTCATGTTGGTGAGTAAATATGACCACTTTTCTCCAAACCAAGGGATGGTTTTGCTGCAGCATTGCCATGCATGAGCAGCCAGCCCACCCAGGGAGGCCTCAGAGCAGGATCTGGTGGTGGCCCTGAAGCTGTGCAGCCCTTCCCCGGGGGATGATGCCACAGGTGCTCTGTGCTTTCCAGGTGGGGGTGGATTCAGAACCCAGTGGTGGGAATCCAGACAGCGTGGCATGGTTTCCAGCCACCCTGCAGAGCTTTCTTTATTCCCTAACCCTATAGTGATACAGTTCTACCTTTCTGCGGCTCATATCTATATATCAACAGATATATATAATTTTATATATATGTGTGTGTGTATATATATACATGCTTTTTTTTGTTGTTTTATCTGTGAAGAGAACCAGTTGAAAGCAGTTAATTTTGACCCTGTTCCTTTGGTTCCTGGGAACCTTGGATGAGCTCCCAGTGTTTGAGCCTGAGTCTGTGTGGGGTGGGGGAGGGGAAGGCAGGGCAGCTACTAAAAATCTCCTGGAGTTGTACGCAAGAAGCCACGTTGGTGCCCGTGTCTTTCTGGGGACAGGATCCTTCTCTTGTATCACATCTTCAAAGAGGTTTCTCACCCATAAAAGCTGACCCTGAGCTCTTGACAGGCTCTTGGTCCCTCCTTCCCCTTCTCTCCTCCCCCGTTCTATGTGCTGAGCTTGGTCTTCCACGTTCCATTCTCTCAGCCGGGGCAGTGACAAGCAGGCGAAGCTAATGAGGTTTGTCCTCTAGCTTACCTGTCTTAAGGCCACCAATGGTAGAGTCCCTCATCATCCCAGTCAAATGTCAGAAAAGCCAAAATCGAGCTGCATTAAAGAAGAGGGGCTGACCAGGAGCAGTGGCTCACACCTGTAATCCCAGTACTTTGGGAGGCCAAGATGGGTGGGTCACTTGAGGCCAGGAGTTCAAGACCAGCCTGGCCAACATGGTGAAACCCCTTCTCTACTAAAAATACAAAAATGAGCTGGGTGTGGTGGTGCATGCCTGTAATCCCAGCTGTTTGGGAGGCTGAGGCATGGGAATCGCTTGAACCCAGGAGGCGGAGGTTGTAGTGAGCGAAGATCATGCCACTGCACTCCAGCCTGGGTGGCGGAGCAAGACTCTCTCAAAATGAATAGATTAGATAGATAGGATAGATAGATAGATAGATAGATAGATAGATAGATAGATACATACATACATACATACATACATACATACATACGTAGAGAGTGGGGGAATATGGAATGTCCAAGCCCAACGTTCCTTACCTCCAGAAGAGAGAGAATCCTGAGGTGCTCATGTGGAGAAACACTGGCCCCCTGTTTGCTTCTGATTTTAACCTTGTGGTTGCCGTGTCTCCTGTAACACAGTGCAGAGGAACACCTCCTCTAAATTGTGATTTCTCAGATGGATGGGCCCCGTTGGGCAGATTGTGTTTAGGACTTTGTAACCAAGACTGTCACTAGTGGGTGGGGTGGCCTGGTGCGGTCTAGCTCAGTAGGGGAAAAGGGCAGCCACCATTTCCACACCTCAGCACACACCTCCATGAAAGCCAGGGGCTAATGTCCCAGAGCCAGGCCATCCGCCCACTTACCCCTGTGTGGGCAGCCCTTGGCCTGCTAGCCTATGAAGCCTCAGGGCAGAACTATGGCTGTTAAAAAAGGAAAAGCATTGCCTTTGGCTTTGTTGTTGCACCTTAGTACCACTTCCTGGTCATTTTCCTGTCACCACCACTCCTGCCTAAACCAAGAGCAGGGGAGGCATGACTACCATTTCATTCCTTCCTTTATGGAACTTGCTTAGGCTGCCTGTGTGAGCAGCCCTGGAGGATGGGCTTCTCAAAGCTTTTCTCCAAAAATTTCCATCAACGGTGCTGAGCATGGATACCTCTGTCAGCAGCAAAACTGTTTAGCTGGGTTCAGCCGGGCGCGGTGGCTCACGCCTGTAATCCCAGCACTTTGGGAGGCCGAGGCAGGCGGATCACAAGGTCAGGAGATCGAGACCGTCCTGGCGAACACGGTGAAACCCCGTCTCTACTAAAAATACAAAAAAAAAAAAAAAAACAAAATTAGCCGGGCATGGTGGCGAGCGCCGGTAGTCCCAGCTACTCGAGAGGCTGAGGCAGGAGAATGGCATGAACCTGAGGGGCGGAGCTTGCAGTGAGAGGAGATCGCGCCACTGTACTCCAGCCTGGGCGACAGAGCGAGATTCCATCTCAAAAAAAAAATAAAAACAACAAAAAAAAAGACTGTGTAGCTGGGTTCAAGCATAGTTCAATGGCATTCCTTAGGTTCTGTTTTAAAACAGCAGTCATATAAACACATTTACTACTGCAAAATTGAGTCCCTGTGATTCATAGTTTTCAGGGCCTAAGGGTAGAGGGTTGTGGCCCTGTAGGAGGCTGGCAGCTCCATCTGTAAGGCCGGAAGCTTTGCGGGGGTGGAGTGATGGCTGCCAGTGGCTTCTTAGTAGTGCTGGGTTGGCCAGCAGTGAGTAACTGACCCAACACCTTCTGTCTTAAGCATTCAGGTAGAACTGGAAGCCGAGGCGGAAAAGATGCGGGTGTCCCAGCAAGAATTACTTTCTGTTGATGAATCTGTTTACACTCCAGACTCTGATGTGGCCGCACCACAGATCAACAGGAACCTCATCCAGAAGGCTGGTTACCTTAATCTTAGAAAGTGAGAACGCCACCGTCTGCCTCTTTTTCTGAAATCCGTTTTCCCTAAGAGGTGGCTGAAAAGCAATCTTACGTGCCTCATTAAAGTCAGAGGGAGGTGGGTGGGTGAGACTGGGAAGAACTCCCATCACAGCAGCCCTCCCACTTGCAACACAGGAAACCTCTGGGGCCCAGGCGCCAAACTGCACTAAGAGATGGGGCTGGAAACGAGTCCTCTAAGAGCCTGGTGCTGTGGACTCTGGTCACTGTGGCCATGTGCAAACAGACCACTCTTAACTGTTGCCGTCCTGGACCACTGACAGTTTTTATCCCCTCATGCCACTTCCCCCACACCAGCTGGCAGATGAGAGCCATGTGCTGGAGACCTACCTGCAAGGCCAGAGGCAAGGTCAGGAGGCTTTTAGAGTCAGTTCGATTCATACTGATTGAGTCACACATTTACCACTCAGGTCTTTAAGTGTCCGTTTTGAATGGAAGGGATGATCAGGTTTAAGTATTTCTGTGAGCAGAGAGGATATTGTCATGGTGTGGTGTGAAAAGCACTGACTTTGGAATCAGACATCCCAGCTGGGCTGAGCCTTGATCTCTTCATCTGTAAAATGGAGCTGATAACTGCACCTGCTTTACGAAGTTAGATTGAATGTGGTCATCCCTCCCAGGCAGTGAGCACTCAGATGTCAGCCGTTGCCATTTGGGGAAATTATTGGGGCAGGAAACCCAGTGCCTTTGGACATAGTTGCTACTCAGTAAATACTGAGCCAAGTAAATGTGTTTGATAACCCCCAGTGGAGGGTCCATGGAGAGGAACTGCCAGCTGTTACCAGGCTGGAGTACCTCTAAGGTCTGTGAACTTGCAGCGATCACAAGCTAAATGTCCCCTGTAGTTCTGCAGATGTAGAAAACCTACCGGGTTCTGTCGTTATTTGCCAGGAACTAGATTTTCCTTTTGTAAGCTGCCCACAAAACAAGAATGACCTTCAATTACAGCAAAATCCAGTCTGTTGAGAGCCTCCTAGGACTATGGGGTGGGTGCTGTGGGCTAAGGCAACCCTGACTAGATTCAGAGCAGCTCAGCTCCAGGTGTCAGAGAAATGATTCTCCAGGTGTTCAGTCCTTAATGGTGTCGGACTCATTCTAGTTGCATCTCCTGGTTTAGTAGTCAGCATGTGGCTGTGGTGCGGGGAGTCGGCCCTGGGACTGGTGTCTCCCTTGGAAGCAGAGCCCATGATCTCCCAGATCATTCCAGCTAAATTGTACCCTTCTGCTGCTCTTTCCACTTGAATGGGCAGTTTTGCTTTAACGATATAAAGAAACACATTATTTCTAAAATGCCACCAGTACCCATAACGAGGTAGCAAGACTTGGAGGTGGCCGCTGGTGCTTTCTGGTACTAATGGGCTTTTTAAAACACAACTCACAGCAAAACAGGGCTGGTCACCACCACCTGGGAGAGGCTTTATTTCTTCACCCAAGGCGGGAATCTCATGTGTCAGCCCAGGGGAGCCGTGGCTGGAGGTTTGATCCAGGACCTGGACAACTGCTCAGTGATGGCCGTGGATTGCGAAGACCGGCGCTACTGCTTCCAGATCACCACGCCCAATGGAAAATCGTATGTTTCACGCGTTTTATTTGGGAGGAGAATGAGTATAGTGGTTCCACCCGTTCCAAGGGCCTCCTAGTTCATTCCTATGTGCCAGCCCTCTGTGGGAGAGGCCCCAATCTGGGTATTGTTGACCTTTCAGGAGGATGATTTTCTGCTCTCTTTAAACAAGCCCGCATGACCCATAAGGGATCCAGCCTGCCTTATCCCATATGGAGATAAGTGAGGGTTTGTCTGTGGCTTTGGAGAAGAGATGACCTACGTGTGTGAGACAGCAACAGAAGTCGTGCTTGTTAGCATAGATTCTCAGAGAGAGAAGGCTGTGGCTACTCCTAGCCTGTTGTAAAGAAGCATTTGTGTTTGGATTGCAGCAGGGGAGAGTAACTATTTTGGTAAGGACGACCTTCCTGAGAAGGCCATTTTTCCAGCAGAAGCAGGAGTTGTGAGAAGTGTACTCCACTGCAGCAGCATCGTCGGCTGCCAGGCTGTTCCCACATGTCCTGTGTACCTGAGGGGCCCCAAAGAGGTGGTACTTTACCAATCCGCAGGCTGTGGCCATTCACAGTAGATCCCATCCCAGTGGGATCCCCTCTCAGAGTGGTGGTTTTTAAACTGCTCCAAGGAGTTCAGGGTCCCATGGAGGGGCTTCAGGGTCCCATGGAGGGGCTTCAGGGTTCACCTGCCTGGGGAGAGGAGTGGCCCTGCCCGTCATCAGAGCCGCTCTTCTCACACTGCATTCTATTAAGATTTGACCTGAACAGCAGGGGTAGGGGTGGGGACGGCATTGGGATGATGTCTCTCCTCCCAGCTTGGCAGAGCAGCTTTAGACCTCATCCTTCCTGCTTTGGTGATGGGAAATGACCTGGGAATGGAGATTCCTGGATGCTCATCATGGTCCTTTGCAGTTACCTCCTCTGGGCCTCACTTTCCTCAGATATAAAATAGGGATAAGATCTATGTTACTCCATCTGCCACAGATGAGAGGAACAAGGGAACTGGCAGATGTGGGGTCTCTTTAAAAAGTTAAAGCCTCGGCTGGGTACAGTGGCTCACGCCTATAATCCCAGCACTTTGGGAGGCCGAGGCAGGTGGATCCCCTGAGGTTGGGAGTTTGAGATCAGCATGACCAACATGGAGAAACCCCGTCTCTACTGGAAATACAAAATTGGCCGGGCACGTTAGTGGTGGCGCATGCCTGTAATCCCAGCTACTCAGGAGGCTGAGGCAGGAGAATCGCTTGAACCTGGGAGGCGGAGGTTGTGGTGAGCCGAGATCACACCATTGCACTCCAGCCTGGTGCAACAAGAGCAAAACTCCATCAAAAAAAAAAAAAAAAAAAAAAAAAAAAGAGTTAACGCCTCCACAAAGGTAGGGCAGTATTACTGTTACCTTATTCCCGGGCCTCCATACGCAGCAGACTTTTCAGTTCTGGGAAAGGAGTGAATGGGCTGCCAAGTCCTTCTTTGGGCATGGTTTGAGGAGTGGCTGGGCTTGGAGTCCTGGTCATCTTGGATCATTAGAGGAGGTCAACAGGTGGATCTCACTGTACAAACACAGATTTGGGCTAGAAGATCCGAGTCCCGCCTTCTCATTTCATAGATGAACATGCTGAGGCCCAGGGAAACGGCCATGTTTGTCCAAGATCACATAGTGAATCAGGGCAGAGCCAGACCTACAAGCCCATTTTCTTTTTTCTTTTTCTTTTTTTTTTTTTTGTTTGAGATAGGGCCTTGCCCTATCACCCAGGCTGGAGTGCAGTGGCACAGTCACCACTCACTGCAGCCTCAGCCTCCTGGGCTCGATCGATCCTCCCACTTCAGCCTCTCTAGTAGCTAGGACTACAGGCACACGCCACCACGCCCAGCTAATTTTTGTATTTTTTGTAGAGAGGGGGTTTCACCATGTTGCCCAGGCTGGTCTCGAACTCCTGGGCTCAAGCCATCCTCCTGCCTCACCTTCCCAAAATGCTGGGACTGCAGGCATGAGCCACTGCACCTGGCCCTGGAACCCCATTTTCTTTCCCTCTCATCATGCTGCCTTCATGGCACTTTTCCTCCCACACCCCAGCTAAGTTCAGTTTATGTAGAGAAATTCCCAGTCACTGAGATCAGGGAAGCACTTAATTACTTAGACACTTTTGTTTCAGGGGAATAATCCTCCAGGCTGAGAGCAGAAAGGAAAATGAAGAGGTAAAAATTTTGTTTGTCATATTTCTTTCCTAACGTGGTGGGTGACTTTGGGATTCAGTGTTCTTTTTTAATGTCCTCTACAGTGGATATGTGCAATAAACAACATCTCCAGACAGATCTACCTGACCGACAACCCTGAGGTAATTATCAGCCACCGGCATCTCAGCCCTTTTCTCAACCTGGAAGGTAAGCGTCCACCTCCTGGGACTGAGTGTGTCTTCCTGTGGATTTTTAGGCAGTCGCGATCAAGTTGAATCAGACCGCTCTGCAAGCAGTGACTCCCATTACAAGTTTTGGAAAAAAACAAGAAAGCTCATGCCCCAGGTAACTAAAGGACAAAGAAAAACTAGCTTTTGTGGAGCCAAATTATTGATTAGGAATACGAAATGAGTTGTTGCTTAATCCACACAAACCAAGGCATGTTTTTCAGCCTGTTTAACAGAAGCAGTAACGATGGCTGGGAAAGGTTAAATACCTGCCTGTGTTCACACCACATTGTGAGTGGTAGAGCCAGGATTCAAGCCTGTCTGATGTCAGCATCCCTGTCCTTTCCACTGGACCATGCTGCTGCAGTCCAAGCAAACAGGACGTGCATGGAGGGTCCTCCTAGTCAGGAGTTCTCCCCACATTTTCTATCAGTGTCAACAAAGTAAGGGAACGAAAGCAAAAATGTTTTTAAAAAATAAGGAAAAAAAAATCGCCTTTTATGTATCCCATGTTAATGTCCACGCCTTATCTGAACATACAGTGATAGTTTTATATGTACATTTATTTTGTATTTGCACATACTTTTTTTTTTTTTAACTATTTCTACATTTTTCAGAATTGTTCCTTTTAGTAACTACACCCTATTCCATCATTTATTTTTTTACTTACTTATTTTTTAATTTTTTCGAGACGGAGTCTCACTCTGTCACCTGGGCTGGAGTGCAGTGGAGTAATCCCGGCTCACTGCAACCGCCACTTCCCAGATTCAAGTGATTCTCCTGCCTCAGCCTCCCGAGTAGCTGGGATTACAGGCGCCCACCACCACACCTGGCTAATTTTTGTATTTTTAATAGAGATGGGGTTTCACTATGTTAGCCAGGCTGGTCTTGAACTCCTGACCTCAAGTGATCCACCCGCCTCAGCTTCCCAAAGTGCTGGGATTACAGGCATGAGCCACTGCGCCTGGCCCATTCTACCATTTATTAACCATTGAATATTTAGGTTATCTCCCTGGCGTTTACTGTTATCATTTAGAGCAAACATTTTCATGCATACAGCTTTCCTCATTTTGAATAGTGCTTTAGGATTTATTCCAGGAATCCTACCTTTTGTCTTAATGGGAGTTTCCATCTGGTTAAATAGTAGAGGATTGTATTTTCATACTAATGAAAGCCTGGCATTAAAGGGTAAATTAAAATTACGACTATATTTGGTGTTCATCTTTTAGTGGCATGGTAGAAAGAACCCCATTACATTTTTTACAAATATCTAATGACCCCAGAAGGAAGTCATTAGAAAACTCAGTGGTTAAGTAACTTCCCAGAATCTGTGCAGTGTGGAGCCAGCGTTCACATGCCGGGCACGGGGTATCTGAGAAGGAATGGGAGAAGGTAAGGCCAGAAAATAGGTTTGAGTCTAACTGGAAAGACCTGGGTGCCCTGCTTAGGAGTTACAGGCAATGGAGCAAAATGGAAGGTTTTGAGAAAATGGGCGATGGTCAGAACCAGGGTTAGGGAAGACTATTCTGTACCTGAGTAGGATAAATTTTAGGATACAGGTTGTGGGAAGAAGGGGAGAGTGCAAGACCCAGTAGGATGTTGATGTAGTAGTAGCTGTGAAGCAGAACATGAGAACGTAAACAAATGTTTTTAAAAAAGAGGAGAAAGAGGCAACAAGTCCGAGAAACATTTCAGCACCGTAACTTAAGGATTTAACAGTTGATACAAGTAGCATGCTTTATGAAATGGAACTCTAAGGAAGACACTATATGAAAGGAAGTGGAACTAAAGATCCAGTCAGCGAGGGTTAATCCCGTAGCCTTCTCCTGGGTAAATGTATGTCTTCTCTTTGTAAAGTTACAAAAATGTTTGATGTGCACAATGGAGGGAATACCAGACCTGCAGTTGAGAGACATGGGTTCTAACGATATCTCTGCCTTGTGTTATACACAGCTAGATGTCCCTGAGTAAGTCAGTAAATGCTCTGGGCCTTTGTCTTCTCAGCCTTGTGACATACAGGGAACTAGCTAACCTCCTAGGACCCTTCTAGCTCTGATATGCCATCTCTCAAGGGTGTTGATGGATAGTTTAGGGGGGTTTGGAATTAGAAGGTGTGATACGTTTCCTAAAAAGACAATTTGCAGCCTATATTTAATTATTCAGTAACTGACTTTTCCCCCTATTCTAGAATAAGCAAGTCACATTCTTAGACCAAAAGGACCCCACAGAAGGGACACAGAAGACTCCCTGGGGGGAAAAAAAATGACTCTAGCCAGCCAGCTGAATTAGCCCAGTGATTGGATGGGTGACAGATGTGGCTGCCAGATGGCCCCAGAGCTGTGGGGAGAGGGATACTATCTCTTTTAGGGTCAGCCCACTGAGAATAAAGCAATGTTTTGATGACAGTGGGGGGGGAAAGAATCAGAGAAATTGTGTTCTTGGGAACAAACTGCTATTTACTTCTAAGCAAGTACCATGTGTGGACTTCCCTCATTCTGCAGTTACTATATATCTGCTGTTCATTCATTTATCTAGCTACTCAACAAATATTTGAGTATCTACTATTTGCCCAGGCCTGGCCTAGGTAAGAAAACGCAGGGATTACTGGGGAGAACAGGCAAAAGGTAAGCACAGGCTGAGTTAAAATGAGGGAAGCACCCCAATGTTAAGGAGATGAGGTGCTGTCATGGAGGGTGAAGAGGAGACCTGTGCAGGGCCTGGCTGTGAAGATAATATTCAAGCTGCAAAGTGAAAGACAAGACGCAGCCACTCTTGCAAAGAGCCAGAAGTAGTGTATTCTTGGTAGCAGTTGTGGAGGTAACAGGACAGAGAAGATCTTAGTATATCTGAGGAACTGAAAAAAGGCAGTGTAACGGGACAGTGGAGATCATGGGACAGGATGAGGGCGGGTGGGGAGGGAGGCAGGGGTCGATCAAGAAGGAAGCATGTGGGGAGCTGTGGAAGGGCTCTGAGAGGTGCGTGTTTGTGATGGAGACAGAGATACCCACTCTCCATTTTCCAAAGTTAGTTAGCTCTGGCTGCTCTGGAGAGCACAGAACAGAGCAAGTCTGTAGCCAGTGAGGAGGCGTCCCAACAGCCCAAGAGAAGATGATGGTGGTTTAGACCAGGATCACGGCAGAGATGAAAAGTAGATGGATGTGGACTTATTCTGGAGGTAAAACCTGTGGGACTTTTGATGGATAAGCGTAGACGGAAAAGGACAGATCAAAGGATGACTTCAGTTGGAGCTGAACACCTGGGCAGATGGTGTTTTTTAAAAAAAAGAAGAGTTCATGTTTTGGACATGTTAAGCATGAGAGGCCTGTGAAACATCCCAAATGAGTTGTCAAGCAGTCAACGGATGATACAGGTCTGGAGTGCAAAGAAAACGTCTGGTCTGGGTGTATGAATCGGGGACTCATAGCACTGAACAGCAGTGGATGAGGTCCTCTATGGGAGAAAGGAGAGGGAGGGGAAAGCAGAGCCTGCAACAGAATCCTAAAGAACTCCAGCATTTAGGGTAGAAAAGGAGCCTGCCAAAGACATTGAGAAGGAACATCAAGAAAGGTAGAAGGAAACTCTGTAAAATGTGGCACCAGCCGAAACCGAGAGGAGAGTTCAAGGAGAGATCAGCTGTGTTAGATGCTTTAAGTCAATTATGATGACTGCGAAGTGTCCATTAGAGCTGATGACATGGAGATCCTGTACAGGTGAAACTTAACATCATGTCACTCCTATGTTCAGAGTCTTTGGTGGCTCCCTATACTGTTGTGTCAAGTTCAGACCCCACCTGACGGTATAAGGGCCCTCTACAACCTGGCCTCACCCTATCTTGATTGTTATCTATCTCCCCCCTTTGACTCTCTGGGGAGCCAAAATCTTAGACTCACTTTCTCCCCTTGAAGCTTCTACTCATAGCTTTCTTCAGTGCTTACCACTTATTATATCACAGCCCTCTCTTAAAGACAGGATCAAACAGATGTGACTGTCCCATTTAGGGTTATTGAAGCAGTATGACATCCTGGAGATGCACTCTCCTGGCAGTGAGGAGACCCCTGTTTATAATCTGGCTCGCCCACCAGGTAACTGAGTGCCTTCAAAACTGCTCAATTTCTCCAGAGGCCTCAGTTTCCTTTTCTGTTAACAATGGAGGTCAGACCAAGTGGTCTCCAAGGGCTTGCCTTGCAGTGACCATCTACAAGCCTATGTACTGTTTCATCCACATTCCAGTCATTATGATCATTTGTCAAATGCCTGTTGTAAAGTAGTTTGATACACTACATTCAGTTATTGACATGTTTGAGAAATAGGAAAATATTGACATATCAAATGAACAGAAAGATCACTGAGAGCTTTTTAAGGTCCAGGCAATGAAAGAAATCAAAATACATTGATATTCTTTGCCCTTCAAAGGAGTTTATAGTCTGGCTGAGGAGAAAAGATTTTTAAAACGTTGAAAAGTTAAATTACAGTATTCTGAGACTGGAGGAGAAGAACATGTTGGTTCCTGATTAGTCTGTCCACAGAGAGCACAGTATTTGATGGGCCACAATGTCAGCAATGAGTGTGGGCACAATGCGAAGCTCAGGAGGCACACAGGGCCGCAAGACTGTGCCTGTGACTTACTGAGAAGAATCACAGGAGTTCAGAGGAGGGAGGCGGGGTGCCGGCTGGCCTAGTGGATAAGGAAGAATTTGAGCTGGGTTGGGAGAGTTGGGTGAGCAGCAGAATTGGGATAAAGATGGAAATAAGGAAAAGCATGTGGTATGTGTGGTACAGCTCTCGTAGAGGGTGCATTAAAGGAGTGGAAAGGGAGGCTTTTGGGGAAATTAGAGCCAGATGGTGATTAAATGCCAAGCCAGGACCTTTGGTTCATTCAGCTAACATTTTTTAGTGCCTACTATGTTCCAAGAATACATATGACTTAGCTATAGCATAGGCCCTCCAAAACCTGCCTCACAGAGAAGGATACAGACAGAAAACTAGTAACACAGTGCAGGATGCTGTGCAGCAGAGAGAACTGCAGGAAATGGGGCAGACTGAAGGTTTTTAGCCAAGGATATGAAGGAAGTTTGAAGAAGGTTTATTTGTAGAATGGATTAAGGGATTGAGGTCAATCTTTCCCCTTGTATTTTCATTCATAAAAGTCACCTCAGCCTTCAACAAGTATTCACTTGATTATAAAAGCGTAAGGTTAAGGGAATTGATTTTTTTCCCCTTCAGCCAGAACCTGAAAAATTCAGAGATGGAAAATGAAAATGACAAGATTGTTCCCAAAGCAACAGCCAGTCTACCTGAAGCAGAGGAGCTGATCGCGCCTGGAACGCCGATTCAATTCGATATTGTGCTTCCTGCTACAGAATTCCTTGATCAGAACAGAGGGAGCAGGTATGGGCTGAGAGAGGTTATCTCTGGGAGAACTGAAAGTAAATTTGAGGTATCTTGTGTCCCCCTCCACCACCAAAGACTGTTGCCATTCTGATTTCCAGTTCAAGTGTTAAGTGCCCTTCTAGCTGCAGCTGTCGTGTTTGTTCAACTCTGGCTATTCCCCTAGGCGTACCAACCCTTTTGGTGAAACTGAGGATGAATCATTTCCAGAAGCAGAAGGTAAGTGACTAGTTTGGTGTCCTTATTCTTTCCTCTGCACAAAATGACAACGGCCATTGAAATAAGATGTGAAATCATGTTTTAGAGAGCTATGATTAGGAGTATGAATTAAGATTTGTTGTTCTGAAAGTTTAGTAAGATATCTGCAGTGGAGGCAAGTCTTGGATAAAAACTGAGGGGTAGCTGAAAGACCACCTACAGCTATTTCACCATTAGCCATAGCGTTTTTGTAGCATAGCATAGAAATGTTGTGAAATCTGAATCTGTTATCACATTCAAATGCAGTCTTGGTGAACTGGAAATACGCTGTGTCATTTTAGAAAACCAAAAGCACAAATAACTTGTTCTTGAATTTGAAGATGACACAAATGATATTTAAGTCTTTCAAATTCAAATTTTTGGTTTTTTACATTCTTATAATGTACTTAAGAACGTATCTGATGGCCGGCACGCTGGCTCACGCCTGTAATCCCAGCACTTTTGGAGGCCGAGGCAGGTGAATCACGTGAGCTTAGGAGTTCAAGACCAGCATGGGCAACACAGTGAGAACCCTGTCTCTACAAAAATATATATATATATACAAAAATTAGCCAGGTGTAGTGACAGGTGCCTGTAATCCTAGCTACTCAGGAGGCTGAGACATGAGAATCACTTGAACCTGGGAGGCGGAGGTTGCAGTGAGCTGAAATCATGCCATTGCACTCCAGCCTGGGCTACAGAGTGAGACCCTGTCTCAAAAAAGAAAAAAAAGAAAAAACCTTCTTTGGTCTTCTAGTTATGGTTGCTGGGAGTCAGTTTTGTCAAGTTATGCGCCACTGTCAGCAGCCAGGACTGACTTCCTTTAGGCTATGAAACATCATCACTGCCTTTCCGTAATACACATGAAGTATGAATTGCATGAGACCCAACATGAGATCTTATATCCTGCAAATAAAATTTCTTTTCTAAGAGGACTTTATCAGTGGGCCAAAGTAATGAATTTTCTATTGTCTAGTGAACTCACTCTTTTCAGAGAAAAGGTACAATGTAGTCACCTAGAGTTTCAGCATTAGAAGGATGTTCATCTGGTACCACCATCATTTCATTTTATAGATGAAGAAAAGCCTTTCTAGTCTAATGAAGTAGTTCCAAACAAACTGACAAGATGTAGACAAATGGAAGACGCAGAGCTTTGGCAATATTGGGCTTATAAAAGTGGTATTGAGAAATTTTGGTAGAAAGTCCTCCACAGAAAGCAGGCAAAACTAGCACATCTGACCCTGGTATGCAGATCAACAGCAGCAGGAAGTAAATGAGATCCTGAGTGGAAAATGCTGTCTTCCAGATTCTCTTTTGCAGCAGATGTTTATAGTTCGGTTTTTGGGATCAATGGCAGTTAAAACAGACAGCACTACTGAAGTGATTTATGAAGCGATGAGACAAGTATTGGCTGCTCGGGCTATTCATAACATCTTCCGCATGACAGAATCCCATCTGATGGTCACCAGTCAATCTTTGAGGTACGTTCAGTTTTATTTTCAGACTTTCTTATGGCTTCAGCTAATTCCCCTTTTAAGGCTAATGCACCCATCTGAAATGTTAGTACTGGAATGAAGAGACTACTCTTGCTTTTGCCCCCACTACTTTTTACATAAGATAGATAGCCTAGAAAGTGCTCCCTTAGAGACAAGAACTGGTATCTTCAAAAATCCAGTGGTGAGTGAATACTGTTGTTCACAAAGATGCCATCACACTAGACTTATTCTCTATATTATAGCTCAGAGCTTGAAAATGGAAGTTTTTTGGTTTTGCTTTTTTTTTTTCATTTCTGAGAGTACTATTTATAAAAAATAATGGAAAAAAACTTAAAAATCTGCCTAAATAACTTGGCCATCACAGAGAGAGCAGGCCATATTAACTACATGATTTAGTGTTTCAGGTAATACGATCTGGGTTTCAGATATGACCAAAATCCTGGTTATGAACATGGGTGTATGATACTGTAGCCACAGGTAGCATCTGCAGCAAAACTAGCCTGAACTGAGATGTGTTTTCAGTGTTAAATACATACCAAATTTCTAAGATTTAGGATGTAAAACATCTCACTAATTTTTTAGGTTAATCACATGTCTGGTAATATTTTAGATATACTGGATTAAGTAAAATTAATTTTATCTGTTACTTTTCACTTAATGTGGCCGCTGGAAAAACTTCGATGACATATAAGGCTTCCATTACATTTCTAAGGGACAGCACTGCTTTAGAGCCAGAATGTCTCAGTTTATTCCTGGCTTCGGCATTTCTTAGTTATGTGACCTTAAGCAAATTTTTGAGCCTCTGTACCTCAGTTTTTTCAGCTGTAAAATGAAAGTAACTATTCACACCCTCCACTGTTGTCATGAGGAATAAATGTCATGAGGAATAAATGTGCTAATATATGTAAGACATTTACAACTCACTGGCACATGAAAAGTGCTCAATGAACGTTAGCTTCAAAAAAGGTAACTAGGACTATAGCAAAAATTAGGATATAGCTTCTTCCATTCATTAAGCCCATCCTTTTCATTTATTATGAACCTTATCTGAGAATTAAGTTCTTATTAATAAAACCTGTTCTTTCACTATGTCCTGGACCTTTTACAGAAATGGGCTCATGGTTCTTATAATCCTATTGGTCCTGGAATAATTTCCACCAAAAAGATCAAAGGAAAATATATGTAAAAGTACTGTGAAAAACCACAGCACATCAAAGTGAAAAGAAAAACTACAGAATGGGAAAAAAGTATTCACAAATTCTATCTAATATGGATGTAGTACACAAAATATACAAAGAACTCTTATAAAACTCAACAGAAAGACAACCCAATTAAAAAATGGACCAAGGACTTGAAATAGACATTTTTCCAAAGATCATATACAAATGGCCAATGAGGACATGAAAAGATGCTATGTGTTACTAGGGAAATGCAAAACAAATCCACAATGAGATATGTCACTCCATATTAAGATGGCGTGCGCACGCATGCACACTGTCTCACAGATGTTTATATATATATGATATATATGATATATATATGATATGATATATGATATGATATATGATATATATATGATATATCATATATATGATATATATGATATCGATATCATATATATGATATATATGATATATATATGATATATATATTTAATGGAAAATAAGCGTTTAGCAAGGATGTGAAGAAACTGGAACCCATTGCTGGTGGGAATATAAAATGGTTCAGCTGCTGTGAAAAAATAGTTTGGCGGGCTCCTGGGTAGTTACCCAAAAGAATTAAATACAGGTGTTCAAACAAAAACTTATACGCAAATGTTCATAGCAGTCCTTTTCGTGATATCCAAATGGTGGAAATAATACAAATGCCCAACATCAAATGAATGGATCAACAAAATGTGGTAGAGTTGAGCATTCCAAATCTGGAAATCTCAAATGCTCCAAAATCTGAAACTTTTTGAGTGCCAACTTGATGCTCAAAAGAGATGCTCATTGGAGCATTTTGGATTTTGGGATGCTCATCCTGGTAAATATAATGCAAGTATTCTAAAATCTGAAAAAAAAGCTGAAATCCAAAACAATTTCAGATACAGGATACTCAACCTGTATATATATATGATGGAATACTATTTGGCCTTAAAAAGGAACAAAGGACTGATAAGTGCTACAACATGGATGAATGATGAAATCATTGTGCTAAGTGAAAGAAGCCAGGTACAAAAGGCAACATACTGTAGGGTTCTGTTTATATGAAATATCCAGAGTAGGCAAATCCATAGAGACAGAAGACAGACTAGAGATTGCCAGAGGGTGGGAGGAGGAATGAGTAACTGCTTAATGGGGATGGAGTTTCCTCTGGGATGATAAAAATGTCCTGGGACTAGATAGTGGTAATGGCTGCACAAAGTTATGAAGACACTTAACATCACTAATGATAAATCTGACGTTATGCATACGTCACCACAGTAAACATACCCCTGCAGTGGAATAGGTTCTGAGACCATTTAGAGGTCACACAGAAAATTAGAAGATTTAAAAAGAAAAATTGATTCCCAGACAAGGTGCCTGAATAGGAACAGCTCCAGTCTGCAGCTCCCAGTGAGACCAACACAGAAGGCAGGTGATTTCTGCATTTCCAACTGCGGTACCCAGCTTATCTCACTGGGACTGGTTAGACAGTGGGTACAGCCTATGGAGGGCAAGCAGAAGTAGCGTGCGGCATTGCATTACCCAGGAAGCACAAGGGGTCGGGGAACTCCCTCCCCTAGCCAAGGGAAGCCGTGAGTGAGGGACAGACCTATCCAGCCCAGATACTAGGCTTTTGCCACTGTCTTTGCAGCCCGCAGACCAGGAGATTCCATCGAGTGCCTACACCACCAGGGCCCTAAGTTTCAAGGACAAAACTGGGCGGCCATTTGGGCAGACACTGAGCTAGCTGCAGGAGAATTTTTTTCGCACCCCAGTGGCGTCTGAACCTCAGCGAGTCCCAACTGTTCACTCCCCTGGAAAGGGGGCTGAAGCCAGGGAGCCAAGTGGTCTTGCTCAGTGGATCCCATCACCACGGAGCCCAACACACTGAGATCCACTGGCTTGAAATTCTCACTGGCAGCACAGCAGTCTGAAGTTGACCAGGGATGCTCGAGCTTGGTGGGGGGGAGGGGCATCCGCCATTACTGAGGCTTGAGTAGGTGGTTTTCCCCTTAGAGTGTAAAGAAAGCCATCAGGAAGATCATACTGGGCTGAGCCTGCCGCAGCGCCATAAAACTGCTGTAGCCAGACTGCCTCTCTAGATTCCTCCTCTCTGGGCAGGGCATCTCTGAAAGAAAGGTAGCAGCCCCCAGTCAGGGGCTTACAGATCAAACTCCCATCTCCCTGGGACAGAGCACCTGGGGGAAGGGGTGGCTGTGGGCGCAGTTTCAGCAGACTTAAATGTTCCTGCCTGCCAGCTCTCAAGAGAGCAGCAGGTCTCCCAGCACAACGCTTGAGCTCTGCTAAGGGACAGACTGCCTCCTCAAGTGAGTCCCTGACTCTGGTGGTTCCTGACGGGGAGACACCTCCCAGCAGGAATCGACAGACACCTCATACAGGAGAGTTCCAGCTGGCATCTGGTGGGTGCCCTTCTGGGATGAAGCTTCCAGAGGAAGGAGCAGGCAGCAGTCTTTGCTATTCTGCAGCCTCCACTGGTGATACCCAGGCAAAGAGAGTCCGGAGTGTACCTTCAGCAAACTGCAGCAGACCTGCAGAAGAGGGGCCTGAAGGAAAACTAACAAACAGAAAGCTATAGCATCAACATCAACAAAAAGGATGACTACACAAAAACCCCACCCAAAGGTCACCAGCATCAAAGACCAAAGGTAGATAAATCCACAAAGATGAGGAAAAAGCAGCACAGAAAGGCTGAAAATTCCAAAAACCAGAATGCCTCTCCTCCTCCAAAGGATCACAACTCATTGCCAGCAAGGGAACAAAATTGGACGGAGAATGAGTTTGAAGAATTTACAGAAAGAGGCTTCAGAAGGTGAGTAATAACAAACTCCTCCAAGCTAAAGGAGCATGTTCTAACCCAATGCGAGGAAGCTAAGAATCTGGATAAAAGGTTATAGGAACTGCTAACTGGAATAACCAGTTTAGAGAAGAACATAAATAACCTGATGGAGATGAAAAACACAGCACGAGAACTTCGTGAAGCATACACAAGTATCAATAGTCAAATCGATCAAGTGGAAGAAAGGATACCAGAGATTGAAGATTAACTTAATGAAATAAAGTGTGAAGACAAGATTAGAGAAAAAAGAATGAAAATGAGTGAATAAAGCCTCTAAGAAATATGGGACTATGTGAAAAGACCAAACCTATATTTGATTGGTGTACCTGAAAGTGACAGGGAGAATGGAACCAAGTTAGAAAACACTCTTCAGGATATTATCCAGGAGAACTTCCACAACCTAGCAAGACAAGCCAACATTCAAATTCAGGAAATACAGAGAACACCACAAAGATACTCCTCGAGAAGAGCAACCCCAAGACACATAATCATCAGATTCACCAAGGTTGAAATGAAGGAAAAAATGTTAAGGGCAGCCAGAGAGAAAGGTCACATTACCCACAAAGGGAAACCCATCAGACTAACGGCGGATCTCTCTGCAGAAACGCTACAACCCAGAAAAGAGTGGGGGCACACATTTAACATTCTTAAGGAAAAGAATTTTCAACCCAGAATTTCATATCCAGCCAAACTAAGCTTCATAAGCAAAGGAGAAATAAAATCCTTTACAGACAAGCAAATGCTGAAGGATGTTGTCACCACCACACCTGCTTTACAAGAGCTCCTGAAGGAAGCACTAAATATGGAAAGGAAAAACCAGTACCAGCCACTGCAAAAACATACCAAAATGTAAAAACCATCAGCACTGTGAAGAAACTGCATCAACTAACAGGCAAAATAACCAGCTACCATCATAATGACAGGATCACATTCACACATAACAATATTAACCTTAAATGTAAACAGGCTAAATGCCCCAATTAAAAGACACAGACTGGCACATTGGATAAAGAGTCAAGACCCATCAGTTTGCTGTATTCAGGAGACCCATCTCATGTGCAGAGACACACATAGGCTCAAAATAAAGGGATGGAGGAAGATTTACCAAGCAAATGGAAAGCAAAAAAAAAAAAAAAAAAAAAAGCAGGGGTTGCAATCCTAGTCTCTGATAAAACGGACTTGAAATCAAAAAAGACAAAGAAGGGCATTACATAGTGGTAAAGGGATCAATGCAACAAGAAAAGCTAACTATCCTAAATATATATATACCCAATACAGAAGCACCCAGATTCGTAAAACAAGTTCTTAGAGATCTACAAAGAGACTTAGACTCCCACACAATAATATTGGGAGACTTTAGCACCCCACTGTCAATATTAGATCAACAAGACAGAAAATTAACAAGGATATTCAGGACTTAAACTCAGCTCTGGACCAAGTGGAACTAACACACATCTACAGAATGCTCCATCCCAAATCAACAAAATATACATTCTTCTCAGCACCACGTCACACTTATTCTAAAATTGACCACATAATCGGAAGTAAAATACTCCTCAACAAATGCAAAAGAACAGAAATCACAACAAACTGTCTCTCAGACCACAGTGCAATCAAATTAGAACTCTGGATTAAGAAAGTCATTCAAAACTGCACAACTACATGGAAACTGAACAACCTGTTCCTGAATGACTGCTGGGTAAATAAATAATGAAATTAAGGCAAAAATAAATAAATTACTTGAAATCAATGAGAACAAGGACACAACATACCACAATCTCTGGAACACAGCTAAAGCAATGTTTTTATAGCACTAAATGCACACAGGAAAAAGTGGGAAAGATCTAAAATTGACATCCTAACATCACAATTAAAAGAACTAGAAGGTTGGGCACCATGGCTCATGCCTGTAATCCCACCACTTTGGGAGGCCAAGGCAGGTGGATCACCTGAGGTCAGGAGTTTGAGACCAGCCTGGCCAACATGATGAAACCCTGTCTCTACTAAAAATACAAAAAATTTGCTAGGTGTGGTGGCAGGCACCTATGTAATCCCAGCTACTGGAGAGGCTGGAGCAGGAGAATCACTTGAACCCAGGGAGGTGGAGGTTGCAGTGAGCCGAGATCATGCCATTGCACTCCAGCCTGGGCAACAAGAGCAAAACTCCATCTCAAAAAAACTGGAGAAGCAAGAGTAAACAAATTCAAAAGCTAGCAGAAGACAAGAAATAACTAAGATGAGAGCAGAACTGAAGGAGATAGAGACACGAAAAACCCTTCAAAAATCAATGAATCCAGGAGCTGGTTTTTTGAAAAGATTAACAAAATTGATAGACTGCTAGCCAGACTAATAAAGAAGAAAAGAGAGAAGAATCAAACAGACACAATAAAAAATGATAAAGGGGATTATCACCACTGATCCCAGAGAAATACAAACTACCAACAGAGAATACTATAAACACCTGTATGCAAATAAACTAGAAAATCTAGAAGAAATGGATAAATTCCTGGACACATACACCCTCCCAAGATTAAACCAGGAAGAAGTTGAATCCCTGAATAGACCGATAACAAGTTCTGAAATTGAGGCAATAATTAATAGCCTACCAACCAAAAAAAAGCCCAGGACCAGATGGATTCACAGCCACATTCTACCAGAGTTACAAAGAGGAGCTGGTACCATTCCTTCTAAAACTATTCCAAACAATAGAAAAAGAGGGACTCCTCCCTAACTCATTTTATGAAGCCAGCATCATCCTGATACCAAAACCTGGCAGAGACACAATAAAAAAACACAATTTCAGGGCAATACCCCTGATGAACATCAATGCAAAAATCCTCAATAAAATACCAGCAAACTGAATCCAGCAGCACATTAAAAAGCTTATCCACCATGATCAAGTTGGCTTCATCCCTGGGATGCAAGGCTGGTTCGACATACGCAAATCAGTAAATGTAATCCATCACGTAAACAGAACCAATGACAAAAACCACATGATTATCTCAATAGATGCAGAAAAGGCCTTCGATAAAATTCAACACCCCTTCATGCTAAAAACACTCAATAAACTAGGTATTGATGGAACATATCTCAAAATAATGAGCTATTTATGACAAACTCACAGCCAGTATCATACTGAATGGGCAAAAACTGGAAGCATTCCCTTTGAAAATTAGCACAAGACAAGGATGCCCTCTCTCACCACTCCTATTCAACATAATATTGGAAGTTCTGGCCAGGGCAGTCAGGCAAGAGAAAGCAATGAGGGTATTCAAATAGGAAGAGAGGAAGTCAGATTATCTCTGTTTAAAGATGACATGATTGTATGTTTAGAAAACTCCATCGTCTCAGCCCAAAAACTCCTTAAGCTGATAAGCAACGTCAGCAAAGTCTCAGGATACAAAATTAATGTGCAAAAATCACAAGCATTCCTATACACCAATAATACACAAACAGCCAAATCATGAGTGAACTCCCATTCACAATTGCTACTAAGAGAATAAAATACCTAGGAATACAACTTACAAGGGATGTGAAGGACCTCTTCAAGGAGAACTACAAACCACTGCTCAAGGAAATAAGAGAGGACACAAACAAATGGAAAAACATGCCATGCTCATGGATAGGAAGAATCAATATCGTGAAAATGGCCATACTGCCCAAAGTAATAGTGCTATTCCCATCAAGCTACCACTGACTTTCTTAACAGAGTTAGAAAAAACTACTTTAAATTTCATATGGAACCAAAAAAGAGCCCGCATAGCCCAGATAATCCTAAGCAAAAGGAACAAAGCTGGAGGTATCATGCTACCTGACTTCAAACTATACTACAAGGCTACAGTAACCAAAACAGCATGGTACTGGTACCAAAACAGATATATAGACCAATGGAACAGAACAGAGGCCTCAGAAATAACACCAAACATCTACAACCATCTGATCTTTGACAAACCTGACAAAAACAAGAAATGAGGAAAGGACTCCCTATTTAATAAATGATGTTGGGAAAACTGGCTAGCCATATGCAGAAAACTGAAACTGGACCCCTTCCTCTTAACACCTTATACAAAAATTAAGTCAAGATGGATTAAAGATTTAAATGTAAGACCTAAAACCATAAAAACCCTAGAAGAAAACCTAGGCAATACCATTCAGGACAGAGGCATGGGCAAAGAGTTCATGATGAAAACACCAGAAGCAATGGCAACAAAAGCCAAAATTGACAAATGGGGTCTAATTAAACTAAAGAGCTTCTGCACAGCAAAAGAAACTATCATCAGAGTGAACAGGCAACCTACAGAATGGGAGAAAATTTTTTCAATCTATCCATCTGACAGAGGGCTAATATCCAGAATCTACAAAGAACTTAAACACATTTACAAGAATAAAACAACCCCGTCAAAAAGTGGGTGAAGGATATGAACAGACATTTTTCAAAAGAAGACATGCGGCTGACAAACGTGAAAAAAAGCTCATCATCACTGGTCGTTAGAGAAATGCAAATCAAAACCACAATGAGATACCATCTCACACCAGTTAGAATGGCGATCATTAAAAAGTCAGGAAACAACAGATGCTGGAGAGGATGTGGAGAAATAGGAACGCTTTTATACTGCTGGGAATGTAAATTAGTTCAACTATTGTGGAAGACAGTGTGGCGATTCCTCAAGGATCTAGAACCAGAAATAACCATTTGACCCAGCAATCCCATTACTGGGTACATACCCAAAGGACTATAATCATTTTCTATAAAAACACATGCACACTATGTGTATTGCACCACTATTCACAATAGCTAAGACTTGGAACCAACCCAAATGCCCATCAATGATAGACTGGATAAAGAAAATGTGGCACATATACACCAAGGAATACTATGCAGCCATAAAAAAGAATGACTTCATGTCCTTTGCAGGGACATGGATGAAGCTGGAAACCATCATTCTCAGCAAACTAACACAGGAACAGAAAACCAAACACCGCATGTTCTCACTCATAAGTGGGAGCTGAACAATGAGAACATATAGGCACAGGAAGGGGAACATCACACACTGGGGCCTGTTGGTGGGTGGGTGTCAAGGGGAGGGATAGCATTAGGAGAAATACCTAATGTAGATAACGGGTTGATGGGCGCAGCAAACCACCACAGCAACATGTATACCTATGTAACAAACCTGCACGTTCTGCACATGTATCTCAGAACTTAAAGTATAATAATAAAAAAAGAGAAATCTAGGTTACCTGATTTAAACAGCAAACTTCTGAAAGTGACCCACAAAATATGCATGTGTTAAGTTTTCACTTATAAGGGAATTTTACAAAATACCTATGAAAGTTATTCCAACTTGAGGAAAACTGTTTATGATCTATATTCAAAAAATTAAATTCATGCCCATTAATAGGGACGTAAAAGTAACTTTTCTTAAGCTTTGTCTACTTAAATTCCCATACACACTTCTCATTAACTGTCATAACCACCTCTTGGAAGTGGGGGTTCTTACCACAGTTTTACAGATGAACCAGTTGTAAGAAGTCCGGGTGACTTGCACAAGATCAGGTGAGTAGCCAGGGTAGAACTCAATCTCGAGTTCTCTGATTATAAGTCTTACGGTTTAATAAGTGTAACTGCACGTATTTCCAACTGTAGCCTTTTGTTGGGGGCATGGGGGTGTAACAGTTTTACTGAGATATAATTCACATACAATTTAAATGTACAATTCAGTGGTTTCTAGTATATTCAGAGTTGTACAACCATCATCACAATCAATTTTACAACATTTTCATCACCTCAGAAAGAATACCCATTAGCCCCTGGCAACCCACCCAGCCCTAGGAAGCCACTAACCACTAAAATTGCCATCTCTATAGATCTGGACATTTAACATATAAATGGAATCATAACCATTTTTTCCACAAACTATATTTTTGCTTTCACCTATAAAATGTATAGTAATAATTTACATAATAGCATGTTAATTATTCCAACACGAGTACAATACAGTAGAAATTTATAACCACTTATCTAAGATAGCAATAAATTCTCTCATATAGTTTATTTTCTAGGATATGTCAACCTGATTATTAGATGATGCTTAAAATACTGTTGAAGAAATATATTCTGAAGGCCTGGCGCGGTGGTTCATGCCTGTAATCCCAGCACTTTGGGAGACTGAAGCAGGCAGATCCCCTGAGGTCAGGAGTTCGACACCAGCCTGGTCAACATGGTGAAACCCCACTTCTACTAAAAATACAAAAATTAGCCAGGCATTTTGGCTGACACCTGTAATCCCAGCTACTCAGGAGGCTGAGGCAGGAGAATCGCTTGAACCCGGGAGGTGGAGGTTGCAGTGAGCCAAGACTGGGCTGCTGCACTCCAGCCTGTGTGACAGCAAGACTCTTCTCAGAATAAATAAATAGTAAATAATTAAAACAAGGAAATATATTTTGGAATACTTTCTTAAACATTATTCCTCTTTTACCCAAATTGATAAGAGTTTTGTCAAAATCCCTTCACTATTTTGTCACCGCTACCTCATCTTTTTCAATAATGTTAAATTTAGACTAAGTTGATCTTGCACTTCAGGGACATTAAAGTTGCCAATGGATGTTTGTTGAGAGGGAGGCTGTACAGAATATAATCCATCCATATTATATAGCAGATCTGTTGAGGATTATAATGCTGTCTGTTTGGGTAAGTTGCAGAATCCTGTGAAGTTAAATCTTCTACTTGCTATATAATCTTCCATTATAGGTACCCTGAGCTTTAGCTACACAGGTTCCTTAAAGGCAGAAAGCAGGACACGTGGTCACACACAGCTATCTCGCCTCACCCTCTAACAGGCTTTATCTCTATTTCGGGGAATTTGTATTTATTCTGGACTTCTACAAACTCTTCTAGGAATATTAAATTTATCCAACATTTGTGACATAATGTATCTTTTAAAATTTCAGGTTGATAGATCCACAGACTCAAGTATCAAGGGCCAATGTAAGTACCGCATACAGGTTCATGTTAGTGATTACTCCTTAATTCACCTTTGTATCTACCTTAAACACAGCCTAGGCACTTTATTAATAAAGATCTGCCACTAATAGGACTAATAGGATACTTTTTCTCATGACTTTTCCAGAGAGTAGCCTTGTCAGTTTTTAATTCTAGTAGTTGTATGATCTGTTGCCTTTTTTTCCACCCCCCAGTTTGAACTTACCAGTGTCACACAATTTGCTGCTCATCAAGAAAACAAGAGACTGGTTGGTTTTGTCATCCGTGTTCCTGAATCCACTGGAGAAGAATCTCTGAGTACATACATTTTTGAAAGCAACTCAGAAGGCGAAAAGGTCTCTTTTTCATGTGAAGATCCCATAATATCCCAGTCCAAACAAGTCCATTTTAAAAGAGTTTTCTGGCATTACTTCCTTGGATATTTAGTTGATTATTCTGCATGTCTCCATCCAGGAGTTCAGATAATACCTCCTAAGAAGGCCTCACTGAAAGAAAACTCGATTTAAATTTCTCTGTGGAAAATACCTATCAACCAGAATAGGGTGAATGAGGAAGAAATTTCATGGCAAGACATATTATTTAGTCGGGATATAAGGAAATGTTGAAAGCAGTTCCCCTCAAATTTGTTCTTTAAAAAAAATTAAGGCAAAAGCTACAATAGAGAATAATTTAGTCTCAGAGAGAAAACCAAGGAAGATATTAGAAAAGTTACACACAAGCTGTTGGTTTAGTATGAAAAACTTTTGACTCTATCTGCTACTTAGAATTTATCACAATTAACCAATCCTTTCAGTAAATTATCTGTTTGCCACTGTGTATATGGACATATCGTGGCTAAATACATTTAAGAGAGAGAAGAAAAATTCCTATTAAGAACTTTTAACACTGGAATTACCTGAGTTTCACTTACCTGGAATATTTTTTGTGTGGCATAAATTGGCAACAGAGGTCAGGACAGTTGGACGCAAATGCCCCGGGCCCTATGTGATGAGTCTCCTGCAGCCAGGTCCTGTGTTCCCAAGTGGGAACAGTGAGAACAGTGACCTCACTGTACTCCCAAATCACATTTGTTCTAAAATTTTATCCTTCTCTACTTTTGCCAATCACTACTTTTCTTGTCTTTTGCAGATATGTTATGCTATTAATTTGGGAAAAGAAATTATTGAGGTTCAGAAGGTAAGATGCATTCTAGCGCTGGTTTAGTAGCTACTCAAAACACATCTGTGTACACATACCAAGAGTCTTTTCAAAAAGAAAAGTGATGTTCACTGGAAAGTGTGGCCAAGTTTGGGATTTCCTTTTAAAAGTATTCTAACCACCAGAGGTTTTTGATCAGCTAGTTCCATGTTCACTGTTAACACATGAGGACTTCTTATCACTGCTGGAGCTCCTGCTTATCTGTTTTCTTGCTTGCATACTAGTTGGCTAGATTTCCTCTTTCAGATTAAGATGATAGATAAGTACCCACCGTGTGCTGCTCTAAGGCCTTGCTCCTCAGAGTATGATCACATGCCCCACAGCATTGACAGACGTCACCTGGGAGCTTTTAAGAAATGAGGATTCTGAGACCTCCCTGTCTTTCAGCAGCTTTTAATCTTTTGTTCATTCAGCAAATTTTTGAGAGCCTAGTTTGTGTAATTGAACAAGACAGATATAGTCCCTGCCCCCAGGGGGCTTCTAGTTCAGCAATGTACAGAACTTTCTGCAATAATGGAAATGATTTATATCTGCACAATTTAATATGCAGATTGAATATGGCAAGTGTGACTGAGGAACTGGATTTTTAAATTTAACTCAAATTTACATAGTAACATGTAGCCAGTGGCTACCATATTAGTGCAGTTCAGTCTTGGAGAGGTCAGAAAGACCAAGGACTAAGGCCACATACATGAAATAGTGGCAAGCACTGTAAGCTAGTATTTAATGGTATTGGTCAAAAGTTGGCAAACTTTTTCTATAAAGGGTCTTTATGTTTTTGGCTATCTCCCTTGCAACAGATTCAACTCTGCTATCATAAGACAAAAGCAGGCCAGGCATGGTGGCTTATGCCTGTAATCCCAGCACTTTGGGAGGCAGAGGCAGGAGGATCACCTGAGGTCAGGAGTTCAAGACCAGCCTGGCCAACATGGTGAAACCCCATCTCTACTAAAAATACAAAAATTAGCCGGGTGTGGTGGTGCACACCTGTAGTCCCAGCTACTCGGGAGACTGAGGCACAAGAATCGTTTGAACCGGGGAGGCGAAGGTTGCAGTGAGCTGAGATCATACCACTGCTCTCCAGCCTGGGCGATAGAGCGAGACTCTGTCTCCAACCGCCGCACCACCCCCCCCCCCACCAAAAAAAAGCAGCAGCAGCATGGACAGTATGTAAATAAATGGCCGCAGCTGTTTTCCAATAAAAATCAAATGGTTAGCCAAATGACCATAGTTTGCCAACTTCTGGTATAGATTAAACGTGAGAAAAGAAGGAGTTTAAAGATAGAGAAGACAAAAGTTCTGTGAAGGAAGTTCCTCTGTGGAATCTTTGGGAAGATGATACGAATTGACTACGTAAACAATATTTTGGCTCAGAGGAAAACAGTCTAGATTCTAGAAGTGACATGCCTGAGTTTGAGAAGCAAGGAGACTCAGCGGAAGGCACATATACACAAGAGTCAGGAGAAACAAGACTAGATTACAGAACATATTGAAAGCCAGGCCAAAGGGGTTTAAATGCATCTTAAGCCTTTTCTTTTTTCCCTTTTAAACTCTCCTAACTTCAGGATCCAGAAGCACTGGCTCAATTAATGCTGTCCATACCACTAACCAATGACGGAAAATATGTACTGTTAAACGATCAACCAGATGACGATGATGGAAATCCAAACGAACATAGAGGCGCAGAATCCGAAGCATAACTCACTTGCGCCTGTGGGGGAAGAGCAAACAGGAAGGAGAGCTACCTCCTAAGGGTTTTAACGTCTCTGACATACAGGCACACTGACCTGATTTCCGAAGGCTGACAATCGTTTGTGGAATGTAATCTTGATGCCTTGATACTGAGACTTGGGAGGGAAACTAAGAAATGGTTGACAGCGTTCCCACCCATCTACAATGTTATTTTAGGTGCTTTGTGGTAAGTCTTTTTTCTTAGATTGCGCTAAAATTTCTTAGATTGTTCAGCGCTCAGAACAAAAGTTTGAAAAATGCATTGTTCATATGAATGTCATCTCTTTTCAGTTTCCAGTATCCTTTTTAAAAAATGGCAAAAGCCTAGATTTACAATTTGATGAACACTAAATATTTCTTATTAATATAATCTATTTTTGTATTTTACTTAATGAGCTTTAAGTGCCTGTCGTTCTGAAAATTGTGTATTTATAATTCAGCTTATCTCATAATTGGACCTAATAGCATTTCTTTGTGCAGTTAGGTGATGAGCACTGCTTTGAGGCCCAAGCACTAGTAGAGATGCGCGATACAGGTCTAGTTTCGGTAACTGTTCCAGACATCAAGCAATAAAAAAATGAATACCACAAAAGATGTTTGATTTTACAGTGGAGCCTTACTGAACCAGCATTCAGAAGTTTAAGGTCCTCCTAGGTATGAGTATTTTTAGTAGTGGATCACTGTGGACAGGGTGCAGCTCTAC
Organism: Homo sapiens; assembly: GCF_000001405.40. Lineage (NCBI taxonomy): Eukaryota > Metazoa > Chordata > Mammalia > Primates > Hominidae > Homo > Homo sapiens. Next base: position 105,173,579 of record NC_000012.12, on the reverse strand, counting down.
CAGTTCCTGTTTCTTCTGAGCCAGACCCTCTTCAGGGAAGGGACCAATTAATTTTAAAACTCACTTGAAGCACAGCTGGTCATGGGGCTTGGTATAAAGTTCCTATTTCCACCCTGATACTTCCAATTCCTGGAACCCCAGCCCACTCCCCCATCCCTCCTCCCTATCAAACTAGTATAATGATTTTGAATCGGTACAGTGTGTTTAACTGTAACTAAGTTCAACAGACTATTATTATCTTTGTAATAAATTAACCTAGCAATAAAAAATATTCTGTTTCTTTCGTTAGATGTGGTTATTTTCTAGAACATCCCTGGAAGAAAACTAAAGTCAGCTCTATAGCTTTAACATTCAATTTCCCAAAAACTAGGGCATAATGAAATCACAGAAGAGGGGATATAGTATCAAAAAATACTTCCAGTCAACATGAGTAGAATATGTGATCCCATTGCTAAAAGTTTTAAAGGTGTTGCTTTTAAAATGGTGGATAAAACAACTTTTGTAATCCAAAATTAGGTTAATATAGGATCCATTTGAAATGTATACACCATAAAAGAAATAGTGAGCCAGTCTAAGCCAGTATGAGATTATGCACTGTAAAATTAATTCATTGTTCACTAATGCCTTACAAATTTGTATGACATAACTGCTTTAGATCAATTGGTTCTCTGACAGACTGCAAGAACCACAGTCCCCTGAACTTTTTTTTTCTTGCTTAGACTTTTTTGGGAGAGGGGTAGAATCTGAAGTCCTAAACAATTATTAGTTTGAAAAGTGAAACACTATACATTTCTTTATACATTTCAAATGGATCCTATGATGTTAACCTAATTTTGTATTACAAAAGTTATTTTATTAATCCACCATTTTAAAAGACTGCATGGCTTAAATAAGACACAAAGCATGCACATCATTAGGGAAACATAAAAAGACTGAAATTCAGTCCATTAAAACTAACTTCATCAAAAACCACCACAGAGAATGAAAACACACAACTAAACCAAAGATACTAGCAAGCACACAAGACCAACAAAAAATTAGCATCCAGAATATATAAAATACTCCTACAGGTAGAAAGATAAATTGAAAAAAAAAGTCATGAAGGCATTTCATACATTAAAAAAGACAAAGTGTTCATAAACAGAAACAGACTCCTTATAGTAATCAGGAAAATGCAAATTAAAACCACAGAAACATTATATTCACCAGACTGCAAAAATTCAGCTGTTTGTAGAAATGGAGCAAAGGGGAATCTCCTCAGCTGCTGGGATGAAACAACAGTTTGGCATTCTGTCCAGTACATTGAAAGGGCACCTGCCGTACTACCTAGCAGTTTTACCTGCAGGTACACAGCCTAGAGAAACTCTAAACACATGGACCCAGGGACACGTTCAATAATGATTACAGCATCATTGTTTACAATATCCCAAAAGTGAAAAACACCCAGATGTCGTCGACAGAAGATAGCTGTATTCATGTAATGAAATGCTAAACTACAGCTATATGCATCAACGTGGATGAATTTTTAAAATAATGAAAAAGTTACAAAAACATATAATAAGATCCCATTTCTATTTAGTTTGAAAACTGAAACATAACCATATTATCAATATTTAGGAAAATACCATCAGTTGTAAAACAAGGGAACAGCAAGAGAATGATTAACACCAAACCCCCATGTGGTTTTCTTGGGCAGAAACTGCAGGAGCTTCTAAAGTGTTCTTAACTGATAACGGTAGCTTCTTTCCAAGTGCTTTATTTTCATTCTTTAAATAGTATAATACATATTGTATACCTTGCATGCACTATTTTTAAATAATTTTAAAACTTAGAACTGTGGGTGATTTGCCCCTTTTCTCCACTTACTGAACTGTGTATTAATACACATTAAAGTGCTCTGAAAGATAACAAGTGCCATGTAAATGAAAGGTGGGAAGGGTGGGAAGAGAGGAAATGGGACCTTTTTAGAAGCCAACTATTCTTACCAATTCCCACTTCCCAGGCTGGTTTAGCCTCACATACCCATCAGACTACCTTTAGGGAAGAACAGGGCCTTCCTTACCTTGTCTGCATCTACCTGAGCCACTTAACAAGGAATAGTTTTTTAGAGACCCACTTAAAGTCAAATACAGACTTTAGTTTCAATCGTTCCACCTAAAAGAATAGTTAACACTTAATGCTTATGTGCCAAGTTTATTCCTACCTATGAGAGTACACATAATACAGTAATAGCTAATGTTTCCAGTAGTTATATACAAGAGCAGCTAATATTTAGTTACTGTTTCCTAATATATAAAGTGCTTTACGCAAATTAAATCCTCAAACAACCTATGAGCTACATACTGTCATTATCATCCCACCTTTTGCACAAGGAAATGAAGCACAGAGATATTAAGGAATCTGTTCCTAAGCAGGAAATCGGGATTCAAATTGTTCTGGCTCCAGAGTCTATGCTTCTAACCACTCTGTGCTATATACAGATGACCTCAAGAGAGAACCAGATACTAAGCAATCTCCAAATATTTCTCAATACATTAAGCTTTGACGATTTATTCAATAGCAGTATCAACCTAAAGCATAATATCCTTAATACTTTGCTACCTTTTGTACAGATTCTGAAAAGAGTAAATACTTTAATACTAATCTGATAAAGACAAGTGCTTCTAGGTATAAAAGTTAACTCCTTCCCCCATCAAATGAGGGCATTATTAAAGAATGCTTGACTCTTACCTACAGAATGTATTTATAGTCCTTAGAGATGATCCAAGAATTATGGTATCAGATCTGCATCGACTGAATAAATTTGATGTACATTCCTGAGTATATCTCCACTAATGGGAAATGGAGGTATCAGGTGAACTGAGTGGTAAAGAGGAGCCAAACTACTGAAAAGAAAATACTTACTTGCCCAACTTTTCTTATACATTATATATATGCTGACCTGTGTTATAAACTGAACTCTAACTTTGCCATCACCATCTCTTGAGTTCACTGCCTTTGCTTAGTCTCTACAGATTTCCACTTATTCTGGATTCCCTTTTTAAACTTCACATCTTTGACAGCCTATTAAAGTATTCCTAACATCTGAAAGCCTTTGTTAAAAAAAAAATGTGGTATTAAAACTTCCCTTAAAAAACGAATACCGTCTTCTGAAACATCTGCAATGTGAAGCTGGAAAGAAAATCCTGTTACAATTATTAAAATCAATTAAAGCCTACCTTTTACATTTAGCAGACTCAGCATAAAATAATAACATGAAGTATCCAATATTTTCTCATCTTTCCCACAATTTTACAAATTTACTGCCTCAGAAGAAAAAAGGAACAGCAACCAGACTTAACTTTACCAAGAATGATTTCTGCAGTGTAGTATTTAACAGGATTGTACCTCGTCTCCAGTGTAATATTTTGAAGGCTCTGTTGTCATTACTGTAGTCCCTGCTTATCTGAGAGGGATACACCAAAACGCCCAGTGCATGCCTGAAACTGCAGATAGTATCTAACCGTATATATACGGTTTTTTCCTATATATACATGCCTATGATAAAGTTTATAAGTTAGGCACAGTAAGAGATTAACAATAACTAATGATGAAACATAACTGTAACAAATACTGTCACCAATGCTGCGGAGAGAAGATTCATTCTTACCACAGATCTTAGCAACCCCACATATGATTTCTTTTCTTTCCTTATTGAGAACTTTCATGTTTTCACTTAAAGGATGCATTTTAAGGCTTCTCTTATAGCATATCTGAATTGCCAGCGTCACTACTCTTGCACTTTGGGGCCATTATTAAGTAAAATAAGGCTTACTTGAAGACAAACACTATTGATTTGACAACCTAGCTACCAAGTGATTCATGGGCAGGTAGCACATACAGCATGAAGATGCTGGGCAAAGGGGTGACTTACGTCCCAGGCGGGATGCAGCATGACAGCACAAGATTTCATCATGCTACCCAGAATAACACACAAGTTGAAACTTATTGTTTCTGGAATTTTCCATGTAATATTTTCAGACCACAGCTGACCACAGGTAACTGAAACTGGAAAGTAAAACACGGATAAGGGGAGACTACTGTATTGTTTTAGTTCAACTCAGGTTTGCAAATAGCACTATAGTTATTACTAACATTAAACAATGCATACTGATAATCCCTTTCCAGGATTAGGATTTAAAGTAACTTCATATTGGTTCTTTTTATTGGAAAAAAGCTCTGGAAAGATCAAGGATGTATAAAGGAAAGAAAACACCTTTCTTTCACCTGGAATACATTGACAGGAGCCAATTTTAAACTTCAAATTTTTACCTATGTGCATGCATTTTATAAAAAAATGATTCCACAGATTTCATTTCATTCAATTAAGGGGGACCCCAAAAAGGTTAATATTAAGAACTACTGGTTTACGACATTCAATTTTGAACATAAACATCCAGGGGAAGGAAATTTTCAAAATTATGTTTATTAATGTTTTAGTATACACATTATATTCTCTTAGAATTGGGGGAAAAGGAAAACCCCACTCAAGTGAGGTAACAAACTTGCCATCTTTTACAAAATTTCATTAGAACTGACAATGTTATGGTGAGTCCTTAATTCCTGAGAATTTGAATTATTAAGTTTTCTGTGAACTTAAAACAAACGCTCACATTAATTTTTAAATTACAGTATGTCTGAAAAAATAAAATTAATGTTAATGTTATCAAGAAAAATCATCATCCAAATGTACATATTAACCTATTAGATGTGAATATACTGAAGCCCTGTTGCTCTGCAGTTTGACACCATTTAAATTCGTTTCCAGGATCTTATTTCAAATATATGAACTTATAATTTATCCAGATAGCAGTGACATTATTTTGACCTAAAGGAAAAATAATTGTCTGTCATTTTCTTCTCAACTGTAGGTATCCAGGGAGTCAGCATGTGAACTCTATCTAGTATTGATAAAATAATTAATTTACATGTGTAGGGATAATGAACACAGAACATGTGATTCTCTTCTAGTAACAATTTCTATCCCTTAATAGGAGATGATTTCAGAGAAGTTAGAGAAGAAAAACAGAGAAAACAATACTGTTGCTATGAAATGACGAATTTGATATAATCAAATGCAAGATCATTAATATAAACACTTATAATAATGAAAATATAAATTATTAATTATGCAGCATGCTTTAGGGCCATTTCTACAGTTATTATGAATTACAAATATTAAATGCCTTTAATCTATCCACTGTTCATAATTCTGTAAGCCATGTTTACATAATAAACAAAAAACATTTCCTACATATTCTGTCTCTTCTGACTTTTAACAATTAAAGTATTTATCTTGGGCTGGCAAGTTACCCTGACCCTAACCAGTAAGTACAAACAGGGCATTGTACACCCATTCTAAAAGCTGGAATCAAAGAATAATGTTAGAAGTATTTGCAGGATTTATCCAAAGAAATGTTTAGCAGACAAATGCAATAGAAAAAAATCAAGCATTTCCCAAAATGGTGTTTGTATTAGAAAGTTTTAAACTTTTGTCTTCATTGTAAAGGTATCACTTTATTTTATTTTTAAAAGGCCATGATTAACCATTTAATAACTTACATACCTTTACAAAAATAAAACTAACAGCTTGCTGGGCACAAAATTTACTCAAAATCTTTCTGTATTTTTAAAATCAGTAAGTGATGTATCTTGCTAGCGCTTTATTCTCACAGTGGTATTTTTTTAAAAGCCTGAACAGTGTAATTATTTAATCTGATGTTTTAAATTATACTTGATATAAAAAAAAAGTCTACCCAAACCATCACCAAAATTTCAATTCAATCTAATGTAGAAGAAACCTGAGTTTGGATGTAGAAATAATTCATTCAATTTTTTTTCTGACATCATACATCATGCCTTCAACCAAAATAGAAGTGAAGCTTCAAACAGGACTCTATGGCTTTATCTGAATTTTCTGAGTATTAAGTAAATCTTAAATTTAAAGCAGCTGTTGGAGGTTAAATGTTCTCAAAGCAATGTAAACTAGTTATAAAATGTCTCATCAAAGACATCAGCAGCTCTTGTGAGTCACATGAAATTAACAATGAAAGAAGGATCATCAGTTATACTGTACACTGAGAGTACATAAAACACTTGTGCCTCACCTCTAGTATCAAAGCCATCTTCATATATTCCTTTTATAAGAATATTGATATGTATTCTTTATGAACTTCAGGCTCATTCCTTTTGTTAAGCATGTATTTACTGGCTGTATATAGTATATGCATTGAATTTCCCATGACTTGAAATAACTATAGATCAAAGATCTATGCAAATACAAATTACAAACATGTAGATTACAAGAAATCCGAGGTGATAGTTTATGAATCTGGATTTGCCCTTTTATAACTTCACTTCAAATAGAAACATCTTGTACCCTCAAGTCCAGGCAAAAATCCAATTTTAAAATCTCATTCTTAACCTTTGAAAGTAGAGCCTTTGGAAACAGAATGAACTTCACTTTAAAGCACTGCCTTTAAGAACTGTAACATCTATTTTCCAGAGATGTGACCCAGGAAACAATTCATCAATAGTTTATCCATTCCACTGGCAAAAGTTTTAACAATTCTGATGATTTCATCATATGTGCAGTGAATACCATCCGTATCATTTCACAACAGGATCAGCAGACACAGTGCTGTCAGACAGGTCTCCATTGCTTGTTTTAGTTTCTTCTGAAAGCATGAGTGAAAATAATAATGGATATTTATGTTCATTTTTAAACAATAAATTAAGAAGTAAAAGAAATTTGAGAAGAGCTGTATTGCCAAACTTCAAATTACAGTTGCATCCATCAAATGTTTCTCTAACATCACAAATTATACCTTGTTTACACTTTAAAATTTTTAAAAATCTAGGCTAAACACTGCAATTGTTTCCACTGGTTTTTAATGAAGGTGGAGTTGAGGGAGCTCAGAACCTGTATTGGGGTGGGGCTTCAAACCACATGGGCTCCTTTGTCCTGAGGAATCTTGATATTCCTGGTCTAAGAAAGGCCCGCTCCCCTCACGCCAGTTCCTCCAGCTGGGCCAAGAAAGAACCATTACAGTACATTGTCATTCCTGGTAGGAACATGGCTGCAAACTCACATATCAAAACTGTCCAGAATGAATAACTTTCCATTTGTATTTATAACTTATTATAATAAATTATACGTAATATATATTATTTCTTAAAATAATTTTAAATGAAACAGCTTTTCACTGTTTTTGACAGAATGAATTCCTGGCTTTTTGTGCAAAATGTCATGTGTGCATATTTCATTAACAGACAAAGACTATTTGAGTAATGTATTCAGAAACTGACTATATCTCTGAGCAATCTTTAGCTGAAATAGTCTTAGAACAGTGATGTGAGTGATAACATAACAACTGCAACTCTGGAGAGTTCCTTAAGAGGAATAGGCCAAAGCAAGGAATCCCACTGCCATGAGACTGAAGGGTTGTTTGTTTTGTTTTAATGCTTTAGCCTGAAAGCAAATGTCCAATCGCCCCGCAGAGTTTTCCCAGTCACCTGGGCTGGGGAAAAGGTTCTGGCATCATGAAACACATGAGCAGAACTGAGGCAATAACTGAGTTTCTTCATAATTTAGATTATATTGATTCAAATTCTTCCAAATGGCTTTGCTAATTTATCCTTGAAAATGAACACAAATGTAGTATGTATAAATTTTCATTTAATATTGAGTGTCTTCCAGATTAATAAGCTGAAACAATTTTTTCAAGCATGTTTATTTAGTCTAGATTCAAAAAACGCCTGGATATGCACCTAATTAATAAGTAATATTAGTAATATTTAATTTATGCAACAATGTCAAGAAATAAGGTAGTTCACGTAAGTGGTCTACCCAATGAGTCACCTCTACTCTATATAAAGAAAAAAGGTGTATTTTAAAAATTAACATAAAATAAGATTAATAAAAACATCTTGTTTTATGAAGAGCTTTATATCTTGATTTATGAAAACTTCATGAAGCACGAGTAAGACAAAAAGGAGACTAGTAAACATGAAAATTATAAGGGTTAACTAGTCGCTGTATCTAGTTTTGATCTTCCAAGCAATGAGAAATGTATGCTATATAATATCCATGACAGAAAAAGGGAAACATCTGTTTCTCAGAGAAGATGATTATTCCTAAATTTCAAATCTGAGAGAAATATATCATGGGGACATTAAATATGAAACACTGAACAATGCTCTTACGCCTTAAAAAGTATAGATTCCTTTCCACCATCCTACATAGAATACAATGGACAGAATCCTTTCCTTAATGACTGAAGTTCATTGAAATCACTATCAGTTATTATGGCTATATTGCCTGAGTCTCCAGGGCCTGACTATGAAAGAAGGCAGGATGCTATTTACTACAACTAAATAGCCCCTATGATTTTACAGTTCTTTAATCATCTGTCCCATCTCATTCAGTCAACATCTAGTCATCAGCAGCTCTGCCTTCAGCAACATTTAGCTGTCCTCCTCTATTTGTTCCTTCAAATCTAATAGTTTGAGCCATGAAAGAAAAACCAAACTTGTGAAAAGTGTATTTAAATTAAAAGCAGATGATCCTGAACAAGGTTTTAAAGGGTTACCAAGTGTGAAATGCATAAACTACATAAATTCCTTTTCAATTTCACACAAGATCTATACAGGCTTTACTTTTTTTAAAAGACTTAATGCTAGGTCTGTGTTATTTTCCAAAAGGACAAAGAAGCTAGATGTCTGACCAGATAAAATGGTGCATTACTGTCTATTACTAAAGACATTTATTGGTCTTTCCAAATTTAAACCACTCACTGACCTTCCTTCTCTTTCTTTTCTTGGTTTTCTTCAGCCGCAGTCTTGTCTGCTCTGAAGAAAATTCTTGCACTGCTCAGTGAGAAATACAGCAATTCAAATTCCTAAGTAAATTTAAAAATTTGAAATAAAAACCAAAAATACTTATTATGGCAAAATACCAAAAATATATGCATTTTTATGCCTCTTATTATTATTTTTAAAAGCTCTAGTGGAAATCATAAATACAGAAACTGAAATAAGTAACCCGCCCATTTTTAAGATGTGAGTCAAATGGCTTCCAAATAGCACTCATTTTAAAATATAATCTTTTTGCCACTATTCATCTCACTTGTGAAAATGGTAGTTTCTATATGGCTTCTGCTTTTCAGACATTAAGAAGTCATGGATATCAAATGGTAAGTCAAAGCAGATGTGACTCTTAGGCTCCTCTCTACCTGTAGATAGACATCCAGTCGCTTCTGAGTGAGATTCATGGTTTGTAAGAGTTTTTCATCTTGACTGGCTGACTGTACATTCTGTTGCTTAGCAACTGCTCTTATCTCCTTCAGGTATTTCTCTCTAACAGACTGGAACCAGTGAAGTGAATCAAACTCCCGATACTGATCCAAAAGCTTTAGAATGTAAGCCACACCTGCAGGCATAAGCAAAACTAAGGTTAAATTACAGTGAGTACAGAAGTGGTATTCTACTCCTTCACCAATAATTCCCAACACTAAGCATTCTGAGTAATAATTCCTAGCATTTTAAGTTTGTCCCGTTTCAAGTTACATTTTACAGCATAAATGAATGATGGGTTTAACAAAATGGCTTAATTCCTCCTTTAAAAACAATGTAGAAGTATAACTAAAGACAAGTCAATTAAGAAGAAAATAAATAACTAACATGGCCATATAAATCACCAGGAGAAACGATATAGCTGTAAGCATAAAGAATAAAACTTTCCATGACTTGTACCTATAATCCCAATACTTTGGGAGGCTGAGGCTAGAGGACCTCTTGAGCCCAGGAGTTTAAGACCAACCTGGGCAACACAGTGAGACTCCTGTCTCTAAAAAAAACAAAAATTTTTTTAATTAGCCAGATGTGGCGATGCATGCCTGTAGTCTCAGCTACTCGGGAGGCTGAGGTGGGAGGATCGCTTGGGTCCAGGAGGTCGAGGCTGCAGTGAACCATGACTGCACCACTGCACTCCAGCCTGGGTGACAGAGCAAGACCCTGCCTCAAAAAGAAAGGAAAAAAACACTTCAACTGCTAAAAAGATGGCAATTGAGGAAGCTACAAGGAAACCAGAGAAACTAAATATAAGACGTTAAAACTGTACAACCCCAACAAAAACAAAGCCTAAATATTAGGCCAAAGTGGACAAGTGATTAGCAATACTAAGAAGGCATTCAATAAGTTATAAACTACAGAAAACAAGTATCGTCAATCATGTATTCCAGCTAAAAACACGGTAAACAACACTCATGAAAAACAAATCTATAGGCCGGGCATGGTGGCTCATGCCTGTAATCCCAGCACTTTGGGAGGCTGCGGCGGGCAGATCACGAGGTCAGGAGATCGAGACCATCCTGGCTAACACAGTGAAACCCCGTCTCTACTAAAAATGCAAAAAAAATTAGGCAGGTGTGGTGGCGAGTGCCTGTAGTCCCAGCTACTCGGGAGGCTGAGGCAGGAGAATGGTGTGAACCCAGGAGGCGGAGCTTGCAGTGATCGTGCCACTGCACTCCAGCCTGGGCAACAGAGCGAGACGAGACTCTGTCTCAAAAAAATAAAAAAGAAAAAAGAAAGAAAAATCTATAAAGAACATATAGACCTATTCTCAAGCAGATGTTTCTAAGAATCCATTACAAGGTCAATATAAAATTAATGGAAAAACAATTCCATTAAGCTTACCCATGGCAAAGCCATCATCAGTAAAGGCAGCTCCAATTTTATTTTTTTTATTTAATTTTTCCTTGCAACTAATGGAATGCTCTACAAAGTTGAGGGTCTAAAAAGATGTAACAACATGTTAGAAAAACAATTTTGCTAAGAAAATCTTCAGAATTCCTATAACAGACATTTTAAAAATTATAAATAGAATCACTATAAATAGAATAGAATAGAATCTAGATTCCTGTCCTTTTCATCTGAAACATTTGCCTTAGGTACCCTCTTGGTGAAGATACAATCTATACAAGTGTATCTTCATGGATCTCCTTTCCAAGTCCTTTAAATATGGGCACTCCCTCAATCACTACTTAGCCCAAGAACAGTGCCTTGTATATCTCATTATAAAATATTATGCACATTTTACAGAGAAGGACACCGAGGCTTGGGAGATTTATTATCTCACCCAAAGTCATATATTAAGTGAATGCTGGAGTTAGCAAAGTAGGCCTGCTTTATTTCAAAGCACAAGTACTCTTAAAAACATATGCAAGACAGTCCTTACTTACACCTACCTAATTCATTCGAAAATACTATTTCTTTTCATGTTCTTAAGTGTGAATCCTCAAAACAGTACGTCTCTTGAAAATTCAGCTCTTCCAAAATGACTTATCTAATCATATCTTTTATTCAACAAAGATTTACTGAAGCTTACAATATACCAGGCATTATTAAGTACTTATGATTAAACAAATGATTTCTATCTAGAGTTCACAGTCTAGAGCAACACTGTTGGCAGGGACAGAAATGTGTATCTGCACCATCCAGTACATACAGTAAGCCACTAATCACAAGCGGCCACTGAGCACTTGAAATGAGGCTAGTGTGACTGACAAGCTGAATTTTTAATTTTTAAAAAGGTATTTTTATTTTTTTCGCCCTGCCTTATGATTTTAATTTTATGAAATTTTAATTAACTTAAGTAGCCACATGTGACTATACATGGATAGCACAGCTCTAGAAGAGTAAATGCAGAAGTGTTTAAAAACTAATTATGATATACAGTGTGCTAAGTACTATAATAGCCTACGCTGGAAACAAAACCAAGTTTCATTTTTTTGACTGTGAAACTTATTCAGCAATTAATCACCTGTTTGTGAATTTTTTATCAATCATTAATTCAATCTTTTTTAGAAATCTCATTTATGCTTGTCTTTTTTCTGGAACTACACTACAAACACAAGTACAAGAACAGTATTCTATACTTCTTTGTAGTGCTTTTAATCCACTTTGTTTTCTCCATCACTAAGCGAATTCTGACAACTGCCTTGTAAAACTCCAGACTTTTTCCTAAGCTTACCAATGGGTTAACTGCTGTCTACAATGGTTTGAGTACATTGCCCTTCAAATTAAAAAAATATGGTGAGAACTCACCCCAAGTTAACTATAGTATTACCAAATATGACACTCTCCCTCCAGTTTGACACTATCTTAAGATGAAAAGATTCTTACAAGATGAATATGAACATTTTTTGCTATATCATAGTTAAAATACAATTATGATAGAAAATTAACAAATGTATAAAAGAAACAAAATTCATGGAAAAAAGCTGTTTATAGGCTATTAGCTACTTTCAATAGGTAATAATGGTTTTAATATGTAAGAAGATGTGTTAACAACTTGGGCAGCAATATGAAAAGTCACTATTCTTGATCAAAATTAAATATAATAAAGAGCTTCATCTGCTGGGTGATATTTAGATTTTAAAGCTATCTACTTACAATTTTTTTTAAACTTTATAGGAACCTTAAGCCAAAACAACTCTTATTACTAATATATACCTCTCAAAAATTCTTAACTCCATTTTCCCTAATGGAACAGCTGTTTTTATAATGCAATTTTTGATAACTTGAACTATTTTTAGATAGCAACTACAGAGTTAGAGCAAGAACACGTTACATACTCTAAGAAGCATTAAAAATTTAGTCCAGATGTTAGTATTTACTACTGAATAGAAAGAAGTTATCTTGAAACAATATGCTTTAAGAAATGTGTTAGAAAAAACTATAATAACAGCTAAAGTTATTCTACATTAAGCACTTAAAATGATTATATATTAATAATTCTGCCCAAAGATTCTATGGCATATACTCATATAACTTAAAAAATACTCAAATTTCTCCAGTAATTATTTAAAAAAAATAAGAATCTATCTTAGGCCATACGTGGTGGCTCATGCCTGTAATCTCAGCACTTTGGGAGGCCAAGGCAAGAGGACTGCTTGAGCCCAGGAGTTCAAGACCAGCTTAGGCTACACAGTGAGACCCCATATCTTAAAAAAGAAAACAAATTACCAAAATTAGGCATGGTGGTGCACACCTGTAGTCCCAGCTACTAGGGAGGCTGAGGCAGGGGGCTGGCTTGAGCCCAGGAGGTCAAGCCTGAGTAAGCCATGATCACACCACTGCACTCCAGCCTGGGTGACAGGGCAAGACCCCATCTCAGAAGAAAAAAAAAATTTAACAATAAGAAAGTGTCCTTCAGCATGGCTAACAAATAAAAAATTCTATGTCACATTCACTGAGATCACATTTAGTTTTATATGCAACCAGGAAATTAATAGTGTAGTCTGTATGCATTTCGTGTTACAAAGAAACCAGATCTATTTGTGCATACTCTTTTTAAAAAAAAAATTCATTTTAGGTTCTGGAAATACTCACCAGAGGGGGAACAATTATATAGAAATTTCGGAGATGTATATTCTTTGGCCTTCGAAATTCTGGAGCAAAAACGTCTACAAGCATTTTGAAATATTCTGTGCCTTCGGCAGAATTTCGTGTGTGATCACTGAGGACTGAATCCAAATGCCTAAAAAGCAAAAAATTATTTGGTTCCTTTCTCAAAAGAAGCGTGGCTTTGAAAAAAATCCATCTCTCAATAGTTTAGATAAGAACACTTGAAAAGCAGGAAACACTGTAAGACACTTCTAAGAAAATTTTCTTGGAGTTCAGAATAAACTTATTTTCTCATGGACAGAAAACTGATCAATATTAGTAAATTTAGTCCCAAAAATAGACTATTAGAACATCTTGGGACTTAAAATAATAGTTCTGTATTTCTTCTTCCCACAGTGAGGCCTGTAGAACTCCTCTTCATTGTAAATATTTCCTCTTCCCCTTAAATCTCTAACGTTTCTCCTACATCCCCTTACCTCAACATAAACCTGGCTCTTTTTTTCAAGAACTCAGTTTCCCTCTCAACCTTCAAAAACATCAGCTGCTTTTTCTCCTGCATCCCTCATGTACAGCTACTACCACTTTCAATTATTATTCCTCCACCACTGTAAGAAAGAAATCTTCCTTTGTGACTCACATAATCCAACTATATCTAACTACCCAAATACTCAACTACTTCTTCCTAACAGCAGACATCTACTAACCTTTTAACCACCGTCCTACAATTACGCAGGATTAGGATGCCTGCTCCAGTTCTCCCCTGTCTATGCAGATAATCTATTCATTATCATGACCCTACATTTCCTTGACTTCAATCAACCACTCCCTTGCACCAATCTGGATCTTCCAACTAGCAGTCAGCTTTACCCTAGAGATCTTAGAAGACAATATCCTACTCTCTGATTTCCTCACACTGCTTCAAAATATTTTTTAAATGGTCAACACTTTCGGAGTGAATGGCATCATTTAACATAAGGTAAAGGTCTGATCCTTTCCTTTGAGACACACATCAGAAACTATTTAAACCATTTTCAGGCACATGACTTCAAATGGCTTAACTTTGTAAATGGCTTATGTAATCTGGCAAAGAGCTTAAGCTATCTAACAGACTATTCCAGAGCAAAGCTTCTGTGCTGGGGCCTTATTCTCACAGAAATGCATGCATTTTCCCATATACTTTTTTATTTTTTAAGATTTCAAGCCTATCAAAAAGTTAAAATATAGTATAATGAACACCCGTATACCCTTCAACTAGATTCACCACTTGTTAACATTTTGACACAACTGTTTTCTCTATTTTTCTGAAACACTTGAAAGTTGTGGACCTTTTATCACTTAGCCCATTAATGCTTTAGCATGAATCTATTAAGAATGAAAACATTTTTCTACAAAGCCACAAAACACTGTTATACCCAAGAATATAATACAGTATTAACTAATATACAATCCATGTTCAAATGTCCCCCAATTATTCCTCAAATGTCCTTTACAGCTGTTTCTTTCCTTATCTAGGATATGATTAAGTATCACCCATTACATGTGATTATCAGGTCTCTTTATTCTCCTAATCTAGAACAATCTCCGTGTATTTTTTGTCCAGGCCAAGTGTTTCATAAAATGCTCACATTCTAAATTTTTCAGGACATTTCCTCCTAATAAATTCAGGATAAACATTTCTGGCAAGAATACAAACTAGGTACTTGACATTACATTGCATCAAGAGGCCACATTACATCTGTCTGCTCCATTACTGGTGATGCTAAGTTTGATCACTTGGCCAAGGTGGAATATATTTCTCCACTGTAAAGACAGTTTTCTCCTTTGTAATTAATAAGCAATTTTATGGGATGAATTACTGAATGAATCCTCTGTTCTCTAAAAACTTTTCACCTAATGTTTTAGAAACCACTGGGGATTCTTGCTTGATTTCAAGTATTACAGTGATGGTTACAATTTCCCCCCTAAATTTAACAAGCATTCTTCCATAAAGAAATGACTTTCATTCTCTTATCATTATGATCTTCTTATGATAACCCTTCTTATCATTATGACTCATTGATTTTTTTTATTCAACAGATTTTTATCTATCATTATTCTTTTTGATCAAATTGTCTCCCCCTTGCCCAGGGGTGCCCCTTCATGCCTGATTCAATAACCTGCTATAAGTGTGAATAAAACATACAGTTTTCTAAACATATTCTTACCAATTCTGCATGCCTCTCGTGTTATGGGACAAATGCACAACTGACTCAAGTCCTGCACTGTTCAATAAGACAGACATTAGCTATTTAAATTTAAATTAAGATAAAATTTACACTTCAATTCCCCAGTCGCATTTGCCATATTTTAAGTGTTTACCGGCCATATATGGTAGTGGCTACAGTGCTGCTATAGATTACATATAAGAAAGGACTGGCATTCTAGAACACTGTTGGTGAAGAGAAATATTTTAAAAAGTAAAAAGAAAATAGGTGAAATGAATTTTATGATTGAGGTATTTGGCATTCCTCCTTTTATACTAAATCTTCAAGGTTAGTTATGTACTTTATACTTGAGCACATCTCAGTGTGGACCAGCCAAATTTTAGGTGCTCAAGAGCCATGTGTGGCTAGTGGCTGAAATACTGGACAGCATGTTCTAGAAGCTGGAAAGGTCTTAGAATACTGAAGTCTTAAAAATTATACTTCATAAACTGAGGCCATAATTTTGTATAATAAAAACAGTGGCATAAAAATTACATATTACCCTCTGGTCTTCTCTTCAGAATGTTTTTTATAAACACACTTTTTTATATTTCCAAATTTAGATTACCTTGCTGCTTTTAATGTTTCTTCTGCAAGACCTTCTTCTTTTACTAGTTCTTCAAAATTTACAATATCTTCAAGATCAGGAACAAATCTACATAAGAATTTGGGAAGGCATTTATTAGGTCAAGTAAAATATGTGCAATTGACACAGATATAAAAGTGGTACTGCAGGACTCTAAAATTTTCAACTATGTATTTGGAAACAACTGTGCATTTCAGTAATATTATTCATATCACCACTTTAGTTCCAAATTGAATTTTAGATATGAATATTTTAATCCTTAAAATCATGTAATCTTTACATGCATTCATAAACCATATTGATAAATTAACTTAAGAGAAATATTTTCAGAAGTCTGCTGCAGTCTTAAAATTTGAGAAAAATCTAGTAGAATTAATAGTTTTCTTCCATATTTTATCTCAAAATATATCAAGAACAAACACCTTATCTACAATATCACTTGTAACATATATTTAATGGACACAATTTTTAAAATGGCATAAACAAGGCAAAAATGATGTTTGCATCCATACCTAATGGCATTGCTGCTACAATGAAGACCACCAGATCTTATCATTCGTACATAGCCCATAGCATTACCTTAAAAACCACACAAAAAAATCAGATATTTATATAAATAACTCTAAATTCTAATAGGAATATAGTTACATACAGTAGTAAATTACAAGGTTTCCACTCCTAAGAACCAAAATATTTTGCTATATTTTACTTCAGTTCTTATCATAAAAAGTAAAACTGTTACATATTTCTACACTTAAAATATAAACATACATACTTATATATAACTATATTAAATATTTAAAAGTAAATGTTATTTTCATTTGATAAACTAAAATCATTAAATGCTGACTACATTAAAATGGTCAAGCTTAAAATTATAATATCAATAATTTCTCCTCTCACATTGAGATTCAATCTCCGCCACATACACAATTGGAAGTGATATCAAGAAATCTTTATTTGATGCCTCCCAAATTTATATCTCTGGCCTGGACTCTTCCTCTGAACTCTAGGTTTTTTTATCCGATGCCTACACTTTTATGTCTAATAAGAATTTTATATTTCATATGTCCAACTCAAGCTCAGGATCTTTATCCCCAATTTTGCCTATCAAAGAAACTGGCAATTCTATCCTTTCAGTTGCTCAAGCCAAATGTCTTAAAGTCATCCCTGGCTCCTTTCTCTCACATTTTATAATCAAAATGACTGGGCAAATTATATTGACTTTGCCTTGAAAACGTAGCCAGAATCCACCCACTTTTCATTCACCCCTTCATAGATATCCTCCTATCCAATCCATCACCAGCTCTTGGCTGGAGCACTGCAATATGCAATGGCCTCCTGATTTCCCTACTTTCACCTTTAGCATCCTGCCACATTCCCCAGTGTTGTATAATATCTACAGAGCTGCTAGTGAATTTTTAAAAACTAAGTTAGAGCGTATAGTGCTTTTTCTTTTTTTTGAGACAGAGTCTCACTCTGTCACCCAGGATGGAGTACAGTGGTATGATCTCAGCTCACTGCAACCTCCGCCTCTGCAGTTCAAGCGATTCTCCTGCCTCAGCCTCCCAAGTAGCTGTGATCACATGGCGTCCGCCACCACGCCCGGCTAATTTTTGTATTTTTAGTAGAGATGGGGTTTCACCATGTTGGCCAGGCTGGTCTTGAACTCCTGACCTGAGGTGATCCACCCACCTCGGCCTCCCAAAGTGCTGGGATTACAGTGTGTGAGCCACACATGCCCGGCCCCATATCATGCTTTTTCTGAAAATGCTGTAATGGCTTTCCACCCTCAGTAATCAAAATCCTGACATCGATCTTGCACCCCTCTGCTACTGTTCAGATAGCATGCCCTGCCACTTAGATCTTTGCTCACTCCATTCCAGCCCCTATTTCTCAAAAATGTGAACGAATCAGGGCTTTTGCACTTACTGTTGCCTCTGTCTGGTAGACTCTTTCCCCAGATGCACGTGGCTTACTCCCCAACCTTATTTAGGTCCCTGCTCAAATGTCACCTCCTGTTTTCCCTGAACATCACTGACTAGCACTGCCCAGCCCCCTTACATCTCCTTACCCAGTACTTATCACTGACATACTATGTATTTTTCTGTCTGCATCTTCCCCCACCTAGAGTTCAAGATCCATGAGTACAGCCTTTGTCTTCTTCACTGCTCCATCCCTAGAGCCAACATGTCCTGGCAAATAGTAGGAATTCAATTTATAATTGAACTTTATTGAAATTACTTGAAAGAACAGACGGAAATGTAAAAACAAGTTAACATTTCATAATCATGAGTAACATACATTTTACATACATTATCTTATGTTTTTAACAACCCTACATAGCAGTTAACATTGAATCTATTTTAAGGCCTGTCCCAATATGAGAAATGACATTGAAATTTTTTTAATGTGCATCTTTAAAAAGTCAAATGACAAGTTTGTTTTCCTCCAAATCATCAGACCAAAGTCTGAGGAAGCAAAATAGGAGAGCCTAGTATAGAGCGGCAATTAAGAGTAAAAGCTCTGAAGCCAGGCCACCTGGGTTCAAATCTGGTCTCCCACATGTTAGCTAAGAGACCTACAAATTATGTTATGTTACCTCTCTGTATCTCAGTCTTCTCATCTGGTAAATTAAGCTCAATAAGGACAGAGACTTTGTTTACTGTCATAAATATCATCAGCACCTAGAAACATTTGTTGTACTGAATGAATACCTGTGCAGTGAATGAAGGGAAGAAATATTTCATAAATGTTGTGGTAAGATTCACGTGAGTTAAAACATATAAAGCACTAAGAATAGCCATGGCACAGTAAATGCTCAATAAATGTTAATTATTATTATTTCAGCAGGCAAGTTATTAGTCAAAAAGGCTTCCATTTTGCTCCCAGATTCTTTACACCTTTTCTCAAGATATTTATCAGACTCAAAAGCACATTACAGTGTTTTATAAGCAGAGGTAAAGAATTTGTATTGGCCGGGCGCAGTGGCTCACGCCTGTAATCCCAGCACTTTGGGACACAGAGGCGGATGGATCACGAGGTCAGGAGATCGAGACCACCCTGGCCAACATGGTGAAACCCTATCTCTACTAAAAATACAAAACTTGGCTGGACGTGGTGGCATGCACCTGAAGTCCCATATACTAAGGAGGCTGAGGCGGGAGAATCGCTTGAACCTAGGAGGCACAGGTTGCAGTGAGCTGAGAACATGCCACTGCACTCCAGCCTGGGTGACAGAGCAAGACTCTGTCTCAAAAAAAAAAAAAAAGAATTTATATTTTCTAAGAAGAGAATAAAGAGTAAAACGATGGATTAAAATGAAAAGGATAATATTCCCCAATTGTGGACTGCAACCTGGTGGTAAGCAAGGTGACATTAGATGGCACACCAAAGAACACTTAGTGATTATGTATTTAGGGCAAAAATGACTAGCATTTTAAGGACTATGATTTAACAACTGTTATTTCTAAGGAAAAATTATACTCTCAAAAAAAATAAAAACATGTAACAATAGTGAAGGCAGTATTAACAGGATGCAAAAATTCTGGGTATGTGTATAAATAAAACTTAAGTAACACTGCTCTAGAAGGACAGCTCTTAATCTGAGGTCCATAGACCCAAGCTTTAAGCACATGGACTCTAGCATATCATACACAAAATTGTGTACGTATGTCATATAGGCATTAGTTCTGGAACAATCATCCTGGAGTTTTCCTCAGATTCTCAAAAAAGGTTAAGAACTATTGCTCCATAAGTTTGCCGCTTAATATTAAATGTCCACTTGAAGAAAACTTATTTGTACTTATTTGACAATACTTAATATTGAATGGTTTATAATAAAACATTTACAAAGGTAAAATCCTCCAAGTTCTTGTACTAAAACATAATAGAAATGTCTAATATGCAAATCAATTAACTGAAAAAACTTTACTCCAGAATGAAATGCTTATAACGTATTACCCACTAGTAAACCTAAAGTCTCCTGAAAGCAAAGGGGTTGGTATTCCCAGCACCTAACAGAAAATGTGGCATAACAGATGCTTAGTAAATGCTTGATAAATGAATAAATCAATCTCACAAGGCAGAATTTTCCCAAAATATAGTCAATAAGATTTTACTGTTTGGTGTTAATATAAACTTTCAAGAATATAAAACCCATTTGGACTTATAGCTAAATAACCCTGGTTTAAGTCCCAGAAACATGACTTACTTCTTTCTCTAAGTTTCTCTTTTTTCATCTTTAAAACGATTACATGCCTATCTCACAGGGTTATTGTGAACATATAATGTATGTGAAAAGCTCAAATAAGTATAAAGTTTTGTTAAGCGATGATTATGAAATGTAGTTCTTACTTTTAAATATAAAAGTACTACATATCAGAAGACAAGTTCCACTCGTAAGGGCAGAAGGACAATACATTATATGCACAAGTAAAATGGTGTAACATAGAACTTAATAACTTTTCATGTAAATATTTTATACCTTCACATTTAGACTGGAACTTGTGGGAGCCTTTTAGAAGCCCAAAACAGTGCCTTGAACAGAGCAGGTATTCAGTAAGTACTTACCAGTTTACAATTATTAATATGACCTTTGAGATTTAGTTATTAAATAACTTTAATTATAATTGAAGAGGTTTTATTTACGTGATTAGCCTATAGTCTATCAATTATTTCTGCAGCAACAGTCTAATCATACTTACAAATTTTGGGGGTAAAAAAATTACATGAGTGGAGTAAAGCTGAGCTCAGGCTTTCACATGAGCTGCTTATTAGTGTGAAATAGTTAATATATGAGATAGACTGTAGGGATCTGTACCTGATTTCCCAACACTTTTATCATAACTTACCAATCTGGCTGATGAGTTGCCTGAATTGATCAAGGTAGCTCTGTCCCTCAGGTGTTACTCCAAGTTTTCTGATGCCTCGATTGAATTTTTCTGCTCTATCAAAAGGATACTAGACAGAAAATTTTAAGGCTACTTTTAATAAAGATTTCTAAAGCACAAAATGCCTCCCAAATAAACCATGCCAATACTACTCTCCTTTCAATTTTGTATTTCATTGTGCTTAAAAATTAATTAAGATTAATAATTCATACACTACCAATGTTCAAGGTCAATATAACTTTTTTCTTTTTGACATTAGCTAAAACGACTAATAATCAATGCCACTAACCTAATTTCCCTACCACAATTATTAGTCTCCTAACCTCCAACAACTCTAACAGAAAAAAGAAACCAATTCCTCCCAGAAACACCTGTTCACAGATGTGTGACCAAGTTTCTGTGGGCTGAATAGGTATTAGGGACTTAGAAACATACTCCTTCTCAATGAACACACGTCAGCTGGGTTAAAATTTCTAGTAACCATCACCAATAAAAAAACTACTTTTTGGTCTTGGTTGATTAGGAGATTTAGGAAATTATTCATTTTGTAATAATAAGAAAGCAATTCTTACATAATAGCATGAATATTTATCTCTAAATACTAGGAATTTCTGCTCCAATAAAAATGAGCTGGGCTGGGCACAGTGGCTCATGCCTGTAATCCCAGCACTTTGGGAGGCCGAGGCAGGCAGATCACTAGGTCAGGAGTCCAAGACCAGTCTGACCAATATGGTGAAACCCCATCTCTACTAAAAATACTAAAATTAGCTGGGTGTGGTGGTGTGCACCTTTAATCCCAGCTACTCAGGGGGCTGAGGCAGGAGAATCGCTTGAACCCAAGAGGCGGAGGCTGCAGTGAGCTGAGACTGTGCCACTGCACTCCAGCCTGGGAGACAGAGCCAGACTCAGTCTCAAAAAAAAAAAAGAGTTAATACAATCCTCTACTGATAAATGTAATCTGTAATTTTATTAGATTATCCTATGAGAAAGTAATATTTTGCTACTCTGGCACTGAAGAGAACTAGCAACCATTATACAAGAGAACTGGAAATAGGTGTATCTTAAGAAAAGTAATTAAAATAGTTCCGCATATGGCAAATCAAATATAGGACCCATCTAAGCCTGTTGGTTCTCAATCCACATGGCTACATGCGCCTGCTGCCACTTAACAATTCAACAGATTCTTCACTTCACTTCACTATGGGAAAACTCAGCCTGGAAGGTGAAAGGAAAACGGCGTTCTTTTTTTTTTTTTTTTTTTTTTTTTGAGACAGAGTCTTGCTCTTGTCACTCAGGCTGGAGAGCAGTGGCATTATCTCGGCTCACTGCAACCTCCACCTCCTAGGTTCAAGTGATTCTTGTGCCTCAGTGATATAGCTTGGCTTTGTCCCCACCCAAATCTCATCTTGAATTATAGTTCCCATAATCCCCACATGTCCTGAGAGGGACCAGGTGGAGATAACTGAATCATGGGGGCAGTTTCCCCTACCCTGTTCTCATGATAGTGAGTTAGTTCTCACAAGATCTGATGGTTGTAAGGGCTTCCCGCTTCGCTGGGCACTCATTCTTTCCCGTCACCCTGTGAAGAGGTACCTTCCGCCATGATTATAAGTTTCCTGAGGCCTCCCCAGCCATGCAGAACTGTGAGTCAATTAAACCTCTTTCCTTTATAAATTACCCAGTCACAGGTATTTCTTCATAGCAGCATGAGAATAGACTAATACACTCAGCCTCCTGAGCATCTGAGACTTCAGGCATGTGCCACCATGCCCGGCTAATTTTGGTATTATTAGTAGAGATGAGGTTTCGCCATGTTGCCCACGCTGGTCTCAAATGCTTTGCCTCAAGTGATCTACCTATCTTAGCCTCTCAAAGTGCTGGATTACAGGCATGAGCCACTGCACCCTGCTAACAGCAGCATTCGTATAAATTATCAGTGGGAATATCAATAGTGAAGTGTTTTTGGAGTGCTAGGCAATATGTACCACAATTTTAAATGTTCACATTTCCTTGTCCTAGAAATTTCTCCTTAAGGAAGTTTTCAGAAAGTCTGAGATTTACAGAGATAGATGTGTAAAGATGTTACTGCAGCACTGTTTGTAAGAATGAAAAATTAGAAAAACCTAAATAATGGTCAACAGAAGAAGGTTAAATAAGTTATGATATACATGGATGTATCCCTATCAACTTGAAGCAGATCTGTATGTACTGACGTGATGAGCACAGTGCAAAATGCTATGTATAATATTACTCCATTTTTACTATACTGCTTTTAAAAGCAATATATGTGTGTAAATATACATGTTTATATACAAAGATATCTGAAAGCCATCACACTACATTGTTAGCAACTGCCTCCAGAAAATGGAATGGAAAGAGAAATGAAGGTGGATATTCAGTTTATCCATTCTATATTGCTTAAATGTTTCAAAATAAGCATGTCCTGCTTTTATATTATTTTAAAATAAAGAAAAAGTATCACCTGGCTACATTTATGATTTAATTTTTTCCTTACCTTAAGCCTACAGATAATGCAGAGTAAGAAATTATAGGGAAAATAAAACTAAAACCCCAATAGAGATCTAAATAATGAATTTTAGCATACACATTTGCCATATACTCAATAGCTTAATCAAATACCTTAAAAAGAATAGGTAGCCTACCTTATGATCATTTTGGTCCTTAATTTCCCTGAAAAATCGAATATCTTTAATCAATCTGGATTTGATGTGTTCATCATACATAAATTGGCTAAATATATAGAACTTCTTTTTCAAAAACTGGTAGGTGAAATTAACCTATAAAATTAAAATTCAAAAAGTTGAAAAAAGTTAATATAAAAATTAATTCAAATCAATTCAAATAAATTTTACTGTATCACAGTTATCTATTTGTACTACCTATAAAGTACTATTTAAAAAGTCTATTTCATATTGGACCTGAAAATATTTAAATAACATTTTTTATTGCTGAAGTTCACAAAACTTTCTATAAGCTCCTCTTACATATTTTTACTAAAAAAGAAAAAAGAAAAGAAAAAAGTGGAAAATATTCTCATGATAGGACTAAGGGCTGTAGTGAGAATCACAAAACCAGACTCAAGACTCTAGTTTTTAAGCCATGGTCCAGTGAGAAGTTTCTATGTTCCTCCATCAGTAAGATTACTTATTGCTAATCTACAGGTCTAGAATGATACTAAAGTAAGAAACATGGTGTTCTCTGAACCTTCCTGAAGATACCACATATTCAATTATCTATCCATAAATATTTCTAATCACCTCTTACACACAAGGCAACGTGCCTTCTCCCATGCTAGACATGGTCCTTGTCTTCACGAAGTTTATATTCTAGAACAGGTGACAAACATTTTAAACAAGTATTGTTAAATAAATTATTAAATCTCTACTGTAATAATTTCTCAGAATGTTAAGTACATGTGTGCTTTGACAATAAATAACAAAAAGCCCTTGACTCAGAAAATCCTAAGAAAGTGAGGTATGAGCTGAGATTAAAGTCAAAATAGCACAGTAAAATTAATTCTAACCTACAGATGGAAATAGCAAAAGATTAATTCCAACCTACAGGCAGAAATAGCATAAGATTAATTCCAACCTACAAATGAAAACCCTAAATTCATTTCCAACCCCACTAACTCTCAAGTATTACTAATGATTTTGACAAATTTGTGCCCGTTTTACTCAGTATTCATTTACCCAATTATGGAAACAAATGATTTTCGGGAACTTATCTTGTAGCTTAAACATTGTACTCTCTCCTTGTTTTTTCTGTTTCTTTGCATTTTTAAAAAAATCTCTTTAACAGTCTTTTGTTTTTAATCCTTTCCACTCTTAATAGTGGGTAACTATTCTGCCATCCTGATTTCTATCCTTCTATGCTCATTTCATCAACAGACATCAGTAATCTACATTCATTAGTGTAATTAACTGATGAACATCTATATCCCTGTGATTACTGTGAAAGCAGGAAATGTGTTTTTCTCACACTAGTGCCCAGCACAGTCCCTGACACATAAAATACATTCACATCTGTTACATGAATATTTGATAGATGATAGAAGTCAAGGAAGAGTTTACTCTCAAAAGTTCAGTTTTATTTATCCTCAAAGGTACAAACATGATCATTACATGGATGACTCTTCATTTGGAATTTAAAATTGTATGTTTCATTTCTATATTGATAACCCCACTATAATGGAGCTCCAATCATATCACTCATTGGCTCAAAATCTTCAATGCTTTTCCACTGTATACTTAAATGATCCCAACTTAACTTTCCATTTTCTCCCAATTCCCTACTCCAAATGTGTTTAATAATACTGTACTACTTAAGCATTCAGTCTTCTCCCCTAAAGGAGAAATTAACTGTGCTCTGAAAACCAGGTAAATTCAAAGACTTCTCTTTTTCCACAGACAGAAAAATAGCATACGAGTTCAAATAATTCCTTCAAGTGAATGCCCATTTCGTTTTTGTTTGTTTTTTTTTTTTTGAGATGGAGTTTCGCTCTTGCTGCCCAAGCTGGAGTGCAATGGCGCAATCTCAGCTCACTGCAACCTCTGCCTCCCAGGTTCAAGCGATTCTCCTGCCTCAGCCTCCCAAGCAGCTGGGATTACAGGCGCCCGCCACCACGCCTGGCTAATTTTGTATTTTTAGTAGAGATGGGGTTTCTCCATGTTGGTCAGGCTGGTCTTGAACTCCCAACCTCAGGTGATCCTCCTGCTTCAGCCTCCCAAAGTGCTGGGATTACAAGCGTGAGCCACCACGCCAAGCGGTGAATGCCCATTTCTAAGAAGATTCAATATATTTTTAGTAAGTTCCTATTTATATGGACATCAAATAATTAGCAAACCCTGCCCCAAAAAGGGCATAAATAACATTAAGTAAATTACTATCTATTGTTGACTTTCAAAAGTAAACTTTCAGGGATCACAGATCAACACAGATAAACATATATATATGTGTGCACACACATATATTAATGTGCTGATGTCCTCAAATATCTAGCACTATTTATAATGATGGCTCTGAGATGGTAATCTACCCTAAAGTGTCTTTTGTATCACAGCTCCCATCACATCCAACACAATTTTAGGACCAGACATTTTAATTACTAACCAGAAAAAAAATGGAAATTCATGTAAAATATAAACTAGTAGTGTATGTTTACCGCAATATTCTATGAGAAAACCACGTTCCAAGCTATTAAACGGGTCTATTACCCACTCAACCCCCAAAGAAAAGTTCTTACAGTTGTATTCATAATTCCCGTGCCATGTGTTCGAATTGAATTAGCAATATGCCGAATATTAATAGTATTCAAATGCTTGTTATTGCTTGTTCGTTCAATAAAAATCTGCAATGAAACAAATTTATGCTCAGTAACAACGCAACCCATAGCAAACACTGGTCAAACAGGTATCCAAAGAAAATTTTAGAATCTATTTCATTAAAGACAATTTAATTGAAAATGCAATCAAGACAGTACAGGTGAGTATCCTTAATCCGAAAATCTGAAATCCAAAATGTTCCAATGAGCGTTTCCTTTGAGCGTCATGTTGGTGGTCAGAAGTTTACGATTCTGGAGCATTTCAGATTTTGGATTTTCAGATTAGGGATCCTCAAGTGGTATATGATACGAATATTCCAAAATCCAAAAAAAAATCTGAAATCCAAAACACTTCTTGTCCTAAACATTTCGAATAAAAGATACACAACTGGTATAATCAAGGCAAAAAAATAAACAAGGCCTCGAAAACAATTATTTTTTGTTTCATTTAATTTTCACCCATAAAAATCAATTCCTTGCCCCTCAGCCTTCCAACTATCTCCACCTACATTAAAAAAAAAAAATTTATAAACCCTACTCACCTGATTGTTGAGATTATAGAGGTATCGGGACACAAATATATGAATGTTTCTCATAATTTCTAAAACATCAAGGCCCTACAACATAATACACATACAAGTTTTATTATAATTCATTAAAATAATCAGTTAAACTTGTATCAGCATAATGACTTATTGATTATACTGTTTCCTAATAATTTTTAAGTTATTTTAAAGAACTATATAAAAGGTACGATCAAACGTTAAAAGACAAATCAAGACTATCTCCTTAGGGAAACCTGGCTGCTTATTACTTTATCTTTTGTGCAGACAGGAACAGTTAAGTTTAAATATTAAAAGATCCATGACCCACAGTCATCTCCCCACCAGCCTTGAGAATATTTGTCTCTTCAACAATCTTCTCTACATTTTTTCTACAAAGTAAACTAGTAGCCAGATTCTAAAAGGTAGTCAGAATGTGCTGTGACATTCATAAAATACATACTATTTTTCAGGTACTTTGCAAGGTTCCTTATATGTAATTCTAAAATATGAGGTATCATTCTTCTAAATTCCACAGGTGACAAAAAAGAAGCTAAGGAAGTTGTTCTCTGAGGCAAAATAGCTAGGCAGCAGCAGGGCCTTGGGACTTTAGAAAGTCTAATTCCAAACTGTTATGCTTCTTTTGATCACACCAGACCCCTTTTAAATAGTACAAGTTTTCTATTAAGAATCCTTCATTCTTTAAATAGATATTACTCTAACACCCAATGGTATCATATAAACTGTTCCATAGTTTTTTCTAATTAGAGCTCAAAGGAGCATCACAATACCTTTTTAAGTTTTTATTATAACTTTTATCATATTCTAATCTAAAAATTTGTTTACACATTTTTTCTCCCAGAGGATATTACATGAGCTGGGACTATTTATATTTATCTTTGTATTCCTAAACATAGTTCAGTGCCTAGCATGTTCTCAATAAATATCAGATATATAAATGAATAAATGAAAGGATATACAAAATAAATGAAAGGATATACAAACTGATCCTAGAAATAATCCCTACATGCAGCAAGATAAAGGGAAAACTAGAATCCTCAAATTTTAGAACTGAATAAATGTTTTTTGGTAAATATTATCTGGATCATCTTAAAGAGAACTCCACGCAAATTATCTGATAACATAAATTATTACATTCATGAGACAATGCCATACTGTACATTAACTAATTGAATTAGCAAAGCTAAATGTTTTCCTATACTCCTCATTTTAAGAACAAAAAACACATTTGTAATCATGTAAATTTAACCATTTTTCCTAAGATACTAAATTTTATATACTATAACCAGGCTTAAAATCCTTAAATGTGACTTTGAACTTCTTAAAATTCTACAGAAGTCACTTCACTATTCTAGTGTTTCTGAAAAGCTGTATATAAATATAAATATATATGTATATCTCGAATGCTCAACAGAAGGCTGAATATAAGCAGGACCCCGGTGGTAAATTCCTTTATAAAGCAATTTAGCAGCACCTAATTTTTTACTGTTGTCAAGTATAAGATTTTATATGGCAAATAATTTCTTAAAAAATAAGCACATACTAACTAAAGCAAAAAGAAAAAAGACTTCCTTAAAAAGTACTGTTACAGCCAACAGTCACAGTATGCTAAAAAAAACATTTTATACTATACCTGTTCCAAAGTCTGACTGGGAAGATGTGCCTCTGTCATAACCAGTCCATAACGCTGAGTAGCTAAGTTTCTCATCTCACTATAAGTGGCCCAGTCATGAAGGGCTACAGTTGTTAGATTGTAGAAAGTCTTGTCTAGGTAGTGAGTTACGTAAGCTACCAAAAAAAAAAAATTCAACTTGTGAAACAGTAGAAAAGGAAAAGAAATGAAACCTAAAAGGAAAAAACAACAACTTGTCCTTGAACATCAGATTTGTTCCTTTAAAATAAGGTATTAATAAAAATGAGAAAAGAAACAAAATGTAATTAAAGAATAACAACACAAAATTTAAATATACCCTCAAAGTTTTGTTTAACAGTAGGGTAAAAAAAAAAAAAAAAGAGAATATGACTCTAAGAAGGAAAGCAAAACACTCACCCCGAATGTCAATGAAACGATTGAAAAACCGAATTGGATTCAGAGAGAAAAAAAGAGCCAGGTCTTTCATGCCAACTTTGAAAGGGTTTCGGTCATCCAGCTTTAAATGAGTATGCACAGAAAGTCGCAGATCTTTCTCTATTTCTTTGCATAATTTGTCCAGCAAATGCTATTCACAAAAGATTTGATACTTTAATTTTTCAAAATGATATTGCAATTGTATTGTTTCCCTACATGTCTATGCTCCATTTTAAACCAATAGTTTTTTGGTCAGAAGCAGTTACATAAATTCTAAGTCTTTATTTTCACCAATACCTTAAGGTTAATACTCTTGAAAAGAAAATCTAAAACTAATGATTGATGGTACCATCATAAGGAACATGAATATGCAACTTAAAGCATAAAATTTATGGAAACCAGCAACAAAGGAGGAAAGGGCATGAGAACAGGCAAGAGAGAAAAGAAAAAAGCTTCCTTGTAATAACTGTTAAAAAAAAAATCACAAAATTCATTGTGCTAAAGGTAATAAAATTAATCATCTTTTCTGGTCTACCAAGGAGTTCTAAATTACTATCCAGGCATGTATTTTATTTCCTAAATAAGAATACGTAATACAAGAAATTATAAAAAGTTTTTCACAATTTCATCAAACCCAGGTAGGATTATATTGTGAAATTTCCTCATTTTTAATTCCTCCCTCCAAATAAAAATATCACTAAATGGAAATTTAATTTTAAAGATATCAGTGTTTATAATACATATTTCCTTAACAAAAGGAGGGGCATACATATTGGATTCAAATTACTTTTGTTACACACTAAATCTTTTAAATATATAATTTCCTTCTCTCAGGAGCTCTGCAAATAAAATTCAGTAAAATATTAATGGTTAAGTTGCTTTAACTGGACCATTAGCAGCTTTCAACATTCAAAACCATTTCACATTTGCATTCTTCTAATAAACAACTTTAAATTAAAATATCTATTTACAAAAGTAAATTTAAAATCTCCTAATTCCTAGTGTGATTTCTAAATAAATGAATTACAGACCAATTAGCACAACAGTGATATTGTAACTAAAAATAGTTCTTTGTTCTACCCAGCAATTTATAAATAATTTTAACTCAGTGAGTCTGCTTCAATCGAACATTTTTTTTCCAAACACTACATTCCAAACATGTTTTAAGCTTTTCAATCTCAAATATGATGTTACCTCATTTAAAATTTCCATAATTTCCTTGTCATAGCAATCCAGAAGTATCTCATAGGACTCTAAATGCCTTGCATGCATCATAGCAGGTACACAGTCGCGCAAAGCACTGAACATGTACTAAGAAGAAAATTAAAATGTACATGAATTTAGAAAAACCAGGTCTCTAATCTAAACAATACTGCAAAAGTTAATTATCTTGAAAGACAAAACCTCGATCTGAAGGAAAAATGATTTTCCACAACTGTCTTAACTTTCCTAAAGAAAAAGAACCTAAAGCATATACTTTAACTAAATATACCCAAAAAAAATCACATTCGCTAGTCCTTTCCTATCTTGTGCATTTAAACACACTTATTTCCATAAAGAAAAATATGAATATTTCTTAAAAATATTTTTTCTTTTGCATTGTAATTTGCTGATGAGTAAATGTCAGATTACTATGACATAAACTAAAATTAAGTGAAATGAAAATGATTAGGAACATGAAGGAAGAAATTAAATAAATTAACTTCGTTAACAGTAACATAAAATTTAACTACAGACTATAAACACTTTATGAATATGCAGTTTACAAAACAGTCAATTTTAAAAGTTTATTAAATCAAATGATCTATTTTAAACTAAAACGGTTTACACAGTGACTTTTAAAATGATAGAATTATTCTTTATATTGTTCTTTACTTACATGTAATCTGGCTGCATCAACAGCATTTTCATATACATCATCTAAATAAATTGGGAAGACAGCTCGATGCCAGTATAAAAAACAACAGTCACATTGTGTTTGGACTCTACAATGTAAAGTAGTAATCAGTCACACCAAAACTGAAGAATCCCAAAACAATATGAAAGGAATGACATCTACTACAGAAGGAAGAGTTCCATCTTACACAGTTCGCATTCCCTACATCACTTAACCCAACATAGTATAGAAAAGTCACAAAAGAAATACTATCAAAATGAAACAAAGGTAACAAACACTCCAATGCCTGACATTGTCAGAATTCTGCACATATGCTTTTGTAAACCATACTTGAAAAATGATATGCATAATATTCAAATATCAGAGTTTAAAATAAACATTTATTGACCATTTTTGGTTTTGGTAAATAAAAACAAACTCATTTTCAATATTATTTGCTATGACTAGACTTAAATACTTGCATCACATGCTCCATTTTCCCTGACTCTAAGTTGGAAAGAAAAATCTTTTAAAAAAAAAAAATTGTGACCCCCCCCGCCCCAAAAAAAAACCCACACTTAACATGTCTACAATCTTTGCCAAGTGACTATTTCACACCTTAAAGGGCAACAGAATGATCATTAACTATCTTATAATGAAAAAGGCTCAATATTTCTTCCAAGAGTGGAAAATTAAATGCCAATAACAAGAAAAATGTCAGCTTCTCCAGAACAACAAAAAAGTAAGTTATAAATATGAATACTAAATGGAAATTGTGCTGTAACCTTAATTCAGCTGGAAACCAAAATTCAAATTTCCCTTCAAGAAATTTACGCTTACTCAACAAAAAGAAAACAAGAAAGCCAGAAGGAGCTACAAAAATAAGCCTTCCAAAAACTAATTCAACAATGTTAATTCAAATTCGTGTCTTAAAATAAAATCATAGAACACTACGTATCATGGATTGCTAAGTCTCACACAAATAGAGGAAGCCCTGTTATAATACAGCAATTTAAGTCCAATAAAGATACCCAACATAATAATCACGATATGCATCAAAGTCGGCCAGATGCTCTGAGGTTGCACTGCTTTTTCTCATGTGAGTTTTTCTAGGGGCTACATGCTTCCTGTAGAAGCAAAGCTAAATAAATATGATCCCTAGTCACAATCTCATTTTGGTCATGCTAAAGAAGTTACAGAAAGGAACTAATGCTCGATCTGAATTTTATTTCTTCTCTTGCTATGCTAAAAAGAAAATCAATGTTTCTATTAACCCTGTCTTTGGAGTACCACAGCATATCCCAGTCCTACTTACCGTTCTCTAAGTTCACTAATAAGATCCAGTTTTTTCATGACTACTTGAAGTGGAAAGAGTTCTTCATCTTTAAATGTTTTCTATCAGGGACAGGAAAAAAAGGCAGAGAAGTTGCAGTCAAAGGTTTCTAGGGTCAGTAACAAGGGAACTGTGAAATCTCAGATCTCATTTCTGTTCCATAAGTAATAGCAATACACTTACCATTTGTGTGCCAACACTTAGTGCCAAAGAAACAATAAGTCGCCGTTGCTTTGTGCTTGGTCCATTTAGAGTGTTTTCAGCCAAAACTAGAGCAGAGAGCACATCAAGACGCTGTTCGCTGTATTTTTTGTCAGAAATCACTCTTTTCTTAAAAATAAAACAGGAAAACTATTTGTTTCTGAGGCAGTAACAAAAGACTCAGAAGAAAAACTTCTTGATTATCTTTTCCATGATTCAATTTAAGAGAGCATACACAAATACTTTCCCCATTTAAGCTTCTGACATTTATACTTTACTTCTGTAATATGATCCCTTAGTACTGTCAGAAACAGCAAATGTATTAGGCATACTTTAAAATTTCCATGTTAATTTACTAAGAAATCATTTTTTAAATGATGCATCAATTTCAAAAGTGCAATGTCTTTTTAGAAGTGTATTAATGTATTACATGCTGCAATTTCACAGTAAAGATAATGCCAATAACTTGAAGTAAAAATTGTAAAATACTATGGAGATAAATAACCGAGCATATTATGTTTGAAGGAATGGAATAAACAGGTTAAACCAGAAAACACATATAAAACAATGAAAGAACAAACAAAAAAGATAACATACTTATGCTAAATACATAATAAGCTGCATACCTTGGCCACAGAAATAGAATGAAGAGCCTGATGTTGAAGGTGCTGTGTTATATGTGAAACTGAATCAGCCACAACCATGCTTCTCCTGTAGAACATATGCTCTATTGCCTAAAAAGAATCAGAAATAATTTTCTGACAATCAACTTAAAAATTTCAGGCAAAATTATAGAAGATCTTTACGACCTTAGGCTAGGGAAGGGATTTGTAAATGAGATACAAAAAAACCTTACAGTCCTGGCGTGGTGGCTCACGCCTGTAATCCCAGCACTTTGGGAGGTCGAGGCAGGTGGATCACCAGGTCAGGAGTTCGAGACCAGCCTGGCCAACATAGTGAAACCCTGTCTCTACTAAAAAATACAAAAATTAGCCGGGCATGGTGGCGCACACCTGTAGTTCCTGTAGCTGAGGCAGAATCGCTTGAACCTGGGAGGCGGAGGTTGAGGTGAGCCGAGATGGCGCCACTGCACTCCAGCCTGGGCAACTGAGCAAGACTCCGTCTCAAAAAAAAAAAAAAACTTACAAAGTATAGAACTGATAAATTCAACTATACTAAAACTAAGCACTTCTGTTCATCAAAAGTCTCTATAAAGAAAATAAAAAGGCAAGCCGATGTATCACAAAATATCTACCAGGTACAAGTGACTAATGTTCAGGATATAAGAAGACCCAAAATGAATGAAAGATTTTGTTTTTTAAAGGCACACAATCCAATAAAAAAAATGGAAAAGACATGAACAGATTTTTCACAAAAGAAGAAACATAGTTAATAAATAATTGAAAGGATATTTACCATCACTAACAATCAGGGGTTAAATATTAAAAATCATAAAACCAATTATACCCACTAATTTATTTTAAAAAATGAAGCTCGATAATACCAGTGTTGGTCAATTGGAAATACAATTTTATTTCTAATGTAATTTTCTAATGTATTGTGGGAGGCATATATATATATATATATATATATATATATATACACACACACATATATATAGTCTGTCTATAGAGACAATGTGACATCATCTTGAAAAGGTGAACATATACGTAACACATAATCCAGTAACCAACTTTAGGTATATAATTCCTTACAAAAACTCCTGCACAAGTACACCAAGAAACACATACAAGGATGGCAACATTGTTTATGATACAAAAACCGGAAACAACCCGAAGTCTATCCACTACACAACAATGAAAATAGATGTGCTACTCATCCCAACATGGATACCCTCAAATACAAAATGCTGAGTAAAAAACAAAATGTTGAATAAAAAAATGGATCAAAAAATACATAAAATACTGCTCCACTAATATAAACTTCAAAAACATATATAACGATTAATGCTTTATTGATTCATCCATATTTGGCAAGCTAAAAAGAAAAACAAGAGAATGATAAACATAAAATTCAGGACAGTAGTTTCCTCTGAGGTGGACAGGTTGAGATGCAATTAGGAAAAAACACAGCATTTGAAAATATTGGTAACATTCTATTTCTTAAGTGGGACAGTGGGTATTTCTTAAGTGGGACAGTGGTTATTATTTTTAAAACCATGCTTATGTATTACATATTTATACATATTCTAACATACACATATACTTGTCTGTATTTATAGTTCATAAAAAATAAATCTAACATAAAATATCTATAAACAAATCATACAAAGAAAAAAAGGCTGAAAATCCAAAGGCAGAATCTCCAAAAGAAAAATCTTTATTTCCTGAACAAATCTAGTCAATTATTAGGAGAAAATTTACCAGCAAATCTTAATTTCAATTTTTACAAAAGGTTAACTGGACTTTCCTGCCTACAGGTTTTTTCTTTAATACAGAAGTAAGCTAAGAAACACGTTACCATACTTGCATAAGTGCACTGTAATTCTTAATTCATTTGACCACCTCTGTAAGTAGTCCACTGTTCAAATCACAAGATTACAGCACTTCATCTAAATTACAAAATAAATAGCCTTATGTTAACTAACCTCATACGCATGTAAACACTATAATGGATAATGGTAGACAAGCTGTTTTTTTTTTTTTTAACTCATGCAACCTTTTTAAAACTTCCAAGAGTAAAGCTTTACTGATAATATTAAAGTTAACTTTTCCATTTTCTTTCTTTTCTCTCTCACTACATTAACTTTTTTTTTTACTGTGTAAACTGGATATATTAACTTTATTTAATAAAGTTTAAATATAATGACCAGCCATAAGTAGTTACTCAGAAATTTATTTAAATGGCTAGTTCCTTTATTCAATTGAGAGAGAAGTACTTTCTCACAATTT
The DNA here is from genome assembly GCF_000001405.40 of Homo sapiens. Taxonomy (NCBI): domain Eukaryota; kingdom Metazoa; phylum Chordata; class Mammalia; order Primates; family Hominidae; genus Homo; species Homo sapiens. The sequence continues at coordinate 105,138,115 of NC_000012.12, read as the reverse complement.
TCTGTTCTCATATAATCATGTAGTCAAACCTTACAAGATTATCCTAATTTAAGCCTGGGTCATTTCTCAATTATGATGGAGCAGTAAAATAATCTAAAACCTACCTTGAGAAGTTCAACAAGCCTGCACAATGCCTTAACTGAGGTTTTGGTCATTGGCTTTTGCATGGACATGTAGAGATTCATTGTGGTTTTAATAATGGTACTAATACTATATGCATACAAGAAGCCCTGTAAAGGAAAACATTGATTATAATCACAAGGAAAGATTTTCTTCAAGATTTCATTATCTATTTAACAGCAGCTATTCCTCAACTTACCAATAACTAATGTTTCTAAAGTTCATCTTAAAGCCAGCTCTTAAGATTTGGAAATACTCTTCCTCACAGAGACAATGTTATACATGGTGGTTAAGTTTCAAAGCAGCCCTAACCGTTTATTTATCCTGTCACATACCAGAAGTTTTGTACTGTCAAAATAATAGTGTATAATTACAGCTTAAGAATCTTTCCCTTAAAAAAGCTTTGAGTGAAACAATTTGAATGTTAGAAAGGTATCTATTCATCCTTATCTTACCTGCCAGGGAAGAGAATAAAGACTCCTATCTGTTGCCACTTAAGGCAAGAGCTGAGGACTCTGAGGAGTTACAAATTGAAAAATAAGGAGAAAGAGGGCTGTTCTTCAGTCAATACAGATAGGCAAAGAAATTTTTGAGTTCCAAGCCAAGTCCCCCTTTCCTATTCACCTAGACCAATCCCCACAGTCCATCTGCTATCTCATCCTTGCCTAGTTTGGTGCTGCATTAGGCTTTCTCTCCTTCCAGCCCAATGAGAACAGATTCTCCCTCCCCTTCTATTCATGAAGGAAGCCAGGTCTTGTGAGGTGTTAAAATTCTTTTAATGCTATTAAACTCAGTGAAACAGTGGAATAAAGGAAAAAAGGGATATTGCTTCTCAAACACTTTTTCATTTAAACCCAAAAGGGACACACAGAAAAACACAAAGATAATGATGGAGATTCTTTGGGTCTATAAAGTTCCCAAAAGAGACACATGTACAGTTTAGCAAGGAACCTTAACTATGTTATTGTAGATACATTATGGAGGTGGGGCAGAAGATATATGCCAATGTTCCTCAAACTTTTGCTCCTGTCCCACCACATGTGAAAGAAAGTATTCTCCCATCGGAAACAGTGGCTCACTAAAGGAATGATACTCAGCGCAAAGTAGGAGTTCCTCTGAACCACACACAAAGTTTCTCTGTGGCGAAGAGACATGCTAAATTAAGAAAATGAAAAAATCAAAGAGAGGATAGCATCCTAAGAAAGGTGACCGTAAGACCAAAGCTTGGCACATACATGCAGAAAGAGCCACAGTCTTACCTTGTCAGCTGCAAGACTATTACATCAGACCCTACTCTAGTGCAGCCCTGGGAAAAATTAAAAAGCACAAACAAGGAACAGCAAAGATCTAACTCTAAGTCAGGCAGAAAAAGGAGGCTTCCCTTTTTTAGGGGTACTTGAAGTTCAGAACTCCAGGGCCCATATTAGCTCATTCCCAGATAACCATTAATTTGTGAAGGGATGTATTTTGAAATCTAAATTGTGAGGGAGAGGGTAGTCTGGAGTCTGTATTAGTTAATGATAGAATAAATAATTTAGATCAGCCTTCCCACTGAGAACAACTAGAATATATGGGCAAAACGGTTTAAAAATGCCTCATAAGGCATCAAAGAGGATTCAAATAAATAAGGAAATATAAGGCCAAGATCTGGAAGACAGAAACTCAGAGAAGTGATCCTGGCATTCAGGGTTGCTTTCTCTTAAATCATCTGCCTTAAAGACAAAAGCCAAACATACCTTTCAACAACATCTCACAGGGAAGGGAAATAAAAACAGGAGCTTGGGGCTCATCGGAGCTGGTTTTCATAAACCACCTAAGTTCTGAGTTGGCATCCTGAAGGATAACCCCCCAAAAAAGTAAGGGTGAATTAAACAACCATCACAGGATCAAAATCCTGCTTCAAATCATCTTGATCAACCTACTAGATTGATATAACCTGGGTTGCTAACCGTCCTAGACTAGCTGTGTACAAAAGCAAATACAAATACAAATACAAATCCCTTCTGGAGGAAGAAAATATCCAGATCCTCAAATTACGTCTACAGCTTTTCATATATAATGTGTGGCACTCTATAAAAAATAACTGGGTATATAAAAGGTAAGAGATGTACAAAAACAAGAGAAACAACAGATAAGACAAATACCCAAATAATGAAATTATTAGACATGTGCTTCAAAATAAGCTGAATGTGTTGAAGAAAATAAAACACAAAATCAAGTATCTCAGAAGAGAACTGTAAACTATAAAAAAGCCAGCTAAAAAGTAAAATTATTAAAATTTAAAACTCAGTAGATGAATTGATTAGAGACAGATGAAGAGAGAATTAGAACAGAGGAAACAGAAAAGAAATAATGCTCGAAGAGTTAATGGTAAAGAATATTGCATGAATTCAAGAAGCTCTACTGACCCCAAAGTAGCACAAACACACAAAGAAAACCACACCTAGGGGCATTGTAGGAACACTGCTAAAAGCCAAAAAGTAAAGAAAGATACATATTTTAGAAGCAACAAACCTACAGTTGACTTCTTAACAAAAACAAAGGAAGCCAGAAGACCATAAAATGACACCTTTAAAAGCTAGAAGAAAAAAAAAAACCCCACCAACCTAGAATTCTAACACAGCAAAATGATTGAAATGAAGACATATTCAGACCAAAAACTATTACAATTCATCAACAGAGACTTGTATTAATGAAATACTAGCAGGTATTCCCCAAGTAGAAAGATGAAAATTAAGAGATGTAGGAAGAATAAAAAGCAACAGAACAGGTAAATATGAGTAAATCTAAATAAACGCTGACTATAAAAACAACAATAGCGATAATAATGCCTTGTGAGGTTTAAAATACAGAGGAACTCAAAGTACACAACAACAGCACAGAAGATGAGAGGGAGATAAATAGAACTAAAGCTGTTTAAGATCCTTATACCGTCAGGAAAGTGGTAAAACTACTAACATACATTAGAGCTAAATGAGCAAACGATACATCTTAAAATGTCTAGAGTGACCGCTAAAAGAACAATAAAATAATATAGAATTAAACTAATAGAGAGGAGGAGAAATAAAATTAAAAATACTCCAAAAAAGAGCGAGAGAGGAAAAGAAAAGGGACACAGAACAAGTGAGACAAATACAAAGCAACTAGTCAGGTGGTAGTTTAAAACCAAATATATCAACAATGACATATAGAAAAAATAGTACTATGAAGAAAAAAAAACAAAGATTATCAGATAGGAGAAAAATATACGTTACTTACGGAAGACACACATTAACTATAAGGAGCCAGGAAGGCCACAAGTGAAAGGATCAAAAAAGATAATACCATGCAGACATTAATTAAAAGAAAACAGTTATAGTTAATATCACACGAAAGAGACCTACAACAAAAAGCATTACTAGAGATAACAAGGAATATTTCTTAACAAGAAAAGGTCTAATTTACTAGGAAGACAGAACAATTCTAAACATTATATACTTAGCCTAAAAATACACAAAACAAAAACTACAGAACAAGGATAAACAGACAAATCCACAATAGTGGGAAATTCTAACATGACTCTCAGTATCTGAAATACCCAGACAATATCATTAATCAGTATGACCCTCTTGTCATATACAAAATGCTACAACTGACAAATACAAATTATACATTCTTTTCAAGTAGACGTGAAATGTTTACCAAAGTTGACCATGGGCTAGGCCATAAAGCAAATTTCAAAATACTAAAATTATTTAATTATTGCTACAACTCAATAATAAAATAACTAGAAAATCCTCATATATTTCAAAATAAGGAAATCTTTCAAAAAGCCCACAGTTATAATAAAAATTTAAATAGTTTGAAATAAATGACAGTAAAAATACAACATATCAAAACTTCTACGATACAGCTAAATAGTCAAGTTGTAAAGGAATATAGAGCTTTGAATGGGTTGTTAGAAAATTTAAATTAATAAGTCACACAGATCCCAACATAACCAAATCAACTTGCTTTAATAAACAAAAACATACTCTACCCTTTGTTCAGTTTTTTCAAAGTTTAACTTCTGTAAGTTGGATTAACAAAAAAATGATTCCCCGAAATAAGATGCAACTACCTGTATAAAAACATTACATCTATTGGTGAGATCTTCAGCAAATTTATCCATTCTCTGCTCTTTAGACAAAATAGATTCCATTTTCATCATCCATGAGCTCACAAAGACGTAGTAAGACTGTACATCTCTAACAAAGGAAAATATTGGGGTTACTCAGCAAAGAAAATTTACTTCCATTTCTTGATACTGATTGCAGTACATTATTTCCCTGCAGCAGTCATTTCATCTTTCTGGTTTTCAAAAGATAAATATTACATAGACATATATAATTTACTCATTCAACAAACATCCCAGGTACTGTTTCTCAGTACAGGTACTGAGAATACAACAGTGAAATCAGCAGTAAATAAAATGAATACAAATCCCTCCTCCCATGATGCTTACATTCTAGAAAGGAGAGCTGTATAATAATGAAATCAGTAAGTAAAATTTTAAATTAATTAAAAGATACATACTACAGAAGAAATAAAAGCAGGGGAAAAAGGATAAGGACTGGGGTGGAGGTACAATTTTATATAGCATGATCAAAGTAGGCTCATTGAGTAGGTGATTTTGAGCCAAAGTTTGAAGCAGATGAATGAGTAATTCATGCAAATATACGAGAAGTGCAGAAAAGTGAAAGACAAACGCAAAATCCTAAGACATTTGGAAATGTGTCTGGCTTGTTCAGGTAATAACAAAAAAGTCAGTATACCTGAAGCACTGTGAGCAGGGATTAGATGAGCGAGATACAGAGGGAGGGAGTGGGGTGATGGGGAAGGGATTTGTGGAAGGCCTTACAAGGAGTAGGGATTTTGACTCAGAGAGACAGAAAGCCACTAGAGGATCTGAGCAAAGTAACTTGATCTAAGTTTAGTTTCAAGAGGATCTGATGAGTTGAAAATAAACTACAGAGGAGGCAATGGTAAAAGCAGGAAAACCACCTAAAAGCTACTGTAATAATGCAGAAGAAAGAGGATGACAGCCTGAACCAGAATAGGAACAGTGGAAGTGGTCAGAATCGGACTATAAAAGCTAATAGTTATTGAATGCTTACTACATGACAGGTACCATTCCAAGCACTTTACACACACACACACACACACACACACACACACACACACACACACTACCTCTTTCACCCCTCACATTAACTTTATGAGGCAGGTACTACAACCTCCAAACAGAACAAGAAACTGCTACACAGAGAAGTTAAGTAGGCAGCAAGATCATAAGTTCAGCCAAGATTCAAGCTCACATCCAGGAAGCTTTCCCCTCCCAGAAAGACTAGGGCAATACAAAATGTAATTCTCTCTACTATTCGGGATGATTACAAATACTAAATCTCTCCATCAATGTTTCCCAACTCAGTCTCATTCCAGATGGGAACCTTTTTACATTCACAAGCTGTTTAAGCTATACTTTTCTTTAAAAAACTTAGTATGTGGCCGGGCATGGTGGCTCACACCTGTAATCCCAGCACTTCGGGAGGCCGAGGCAGGCAGATTGCCTGAGGTCAGCAGTTTGTGACCAGCCTCGCCAACATGGTGAAACCCCATCTCTACTAAAAATACAAAAATTAGCTGGGTGTGGTGGCACACGCTTGTAGTCTCAGCTACTCCGGAGGCTGAGGCAAGAGAATTGCTTAAACCCGGGAGGCGGAAGAGATTGCAGTGAGCTAAGATCACGCCACTGCACTCCAGCCTGGGCGACAGAGCGAGACTCCGTCTCAAAAACAAACAAACAAACAAAAACTTAGTATGCAAAAATGGGCAATTCTCCTTTATGGAATCGGACCCTACCAACTCTTTTAAAATCTTCTTTAGTTACACAGGGTAAAGAAATGTCCCATTCTTACAGGTCAGAATCAGCTAAAGGATAGCTCTTCAGGGCAAGGAACTGAAGACACTCAATTACGTTTAGAATCCCACACTGAGGTCAGCAGCTAGCCATATTGCTGGGCAAACTGTCAATCTCAAGATTTCAATCTAAAGAAGGATCCTGTCAAAATCTCTAATAAATGTGACTCAGGGAGGTGAAACCCTAGCACAAAATCTGAGAAAAACAGTTTCTACAGAGCCATAATTCCATTAGACGAAAAACACAAATAGTCATACTTTGTGGCTTTGCTTAGAGTGGTGCTGAAACATACTGTTTGACTTATGAATGATTCCTTTTTTAAAAGCCTGGTCCTTTTTTAAAAACAGACAGCACAGTCCTAGAGCAACACCTTCACTTTTGAGGAGGAGGTTGTGATCAAGACTCAGCAGGAATCCCATGTACAGGAGAGAACAGAAAAGTCATAAGCAAGGACCACAGAAAGAGACCTAGGCTAGACTATGGAACTCTCCCTGATGAGCAACTGTGTCAATAACACTATGAAGAAGGCAATAATACACAGTGAACAGCATTCAGCCAGCTTTAGGTAAGGCTATAGGATAATGCAGAGGCTTTTATGTCACTTCTGCCCATCACTCTGTGATCACATCCAGATGACTGATGATCTTTACCTCTTATAAATATATAAAAACAGGCCGGGCGCGGTGGCTCACGCCTGTAATCCCAGCACTTTGGGAGGCCGAGGCGGGTGGATCATGAGGTCAGGAGATCGAGACCATCCTGGCTAACAAGGTGAAACCCCGTCTCTACTAAAAATACAAAAAATTAGCCGGGCGCGGTGGCGGGCGCCTGTAGTCCCAGCTACTCGGGAGGCTGAGGCAGGAGAATGGCGTGAACCCGGGAAGCGGAGCTTGCAGTGAGCCGAGATTGCGCCACTGCAGTCCGCAGTCCAACCTGGGAGACAGAGCGAGACTCCGTCTCAAAAAAAAAAAAAAATAAATAAATAAATAAATATATAAAAACAAAACTGCTTCAAGTTTTAAAAAGCAAGTTAACTGACAAAGAGTACAAAAATCGTGAAGTGTCCTATTGGATTGTCAGTTGCATTTCAAAGTACAAACAGGAAAAATACCAAGGTAAAAAAACAAATCTCCTGCCCCAACATAAAGCACTAAACAGTGTCAACGCCTATATGTCAACATGGGGGGTTGAAACAAAGATTCAGACCTCTGTCCTCTAAAGGCAGTATTTTCCAGTGTTAAAGTGGTTGTGAATCAAAAGCAAAATGCAAAAATCCACAAACCTTGGACCCCAGTCAAGGAGGCAGCTGGGACACTGGCCACTTGGGGTCTGGTGTATAGTATGGGGGCAGGAATACTGTTGCTCATTGCTCTCCATTGCTCCCTACTCACTTACATAAACTCTGAAGCCTGACCTTGGGACACCTCTTAGACAACCCCTCAACTTTCTCTAAAATGTCAGGACAAAGCCCTGCTGATCACATCATCCCTCTGAGTTTCACTTTAGTGGAGTGAATTTTAGGTTTCCTTGACATAACTGCTAAGAGACTGAAAAAAATAACTGTGCCCTTCATCTTCATGGAGCTCTGTAGTAAAGAATTTAGAAACAAAATCTCATCATGTGATAAGTCTTTGAAAGTCAACTTATTCAACTGTCCACTTAGTAAGACTCACTTCCCACAGATCTTGGACTGACAGTTATCTATATTCTGCCTACACAGCTTTAGTGAAGGAGACTACAGAGCAGCCTACACAATGCTACCTGCTGCAGAGGCACCAGAATAGGATTGGCACTGGTTTGAATGCCCTCTCTGACATGTACTTAGCTGTGTGACCTGGCAAAGTTCATTTCTCTAAGACTCATTTTATCTAAAAATGGGATAAAAATGGTTTATAGTAGTAGTTAACAGCCTGGGCTGTAGAGTTGAACTGCCTGCATCTGCCACCTACTAGTTGTTTAAACTTGGGCAAGTTTAATCTCTGTAGGGTTTTCTCATCTACAAAATGGCAACAAAAGTATCTACCTCATACAATTTTCTGATCATTACAGGAGGTATGTGTCAAGTTCCTGGAATACCTACTAGCATATAGTAAGCACTCCATAAACATTAATTGTTACATTTATTATTTTCTGCCGGAAGGCTGTTACATGCTTTATGGAACATGGTATGTTTAAAGCTATTAGCATAATGCCTGCCATAGAGTTGAGAGCTTCATGATGTTGGCAATTATTATCATTACTATCTGTCATCTTCACCTTTTGGTTTTAGTTTAGCCTACTGGAGCCACAGAGATCAAATCTGTTCCCTCTTCATTCTGAATGTCCCTCAAATATTTAAAGAAACCCACCACATCATTCCACAGATTTCTCTTTTAAAGGCCAAACTATACAGACACTAACAAAGAGAAGACAAACAAGAAGGCATGGTTCTCAGACCTTCTGACATCCTGATCAGCTGCATCTAGGGATGCTGCAGTTTGTGACCCTCTCAAAACATGGCACCACCAAACACCAGCTATGATCTGACCAATAAAAATTCCATGGAATATACCTGGGTTATGAAGTAATCTGCACAACAAACCCCCATGACACATGGTTACCTATGTAACAAACCTGCACTTGTATCCTGAACTTAAAAGTTTAAAAATAAAAAATAAAAACAATTTTAAAAAGAGGCCTGGTGTGATGGCTCACGCCTATAATCCCAGCACTTTGGAAGGCCGAGGTGGCGGATCACCTGAGGTCAGGAGTTCAAGACCAGCCTGCCCAACATAATGAAACCTCGTCTCTACTAAAAATACAAAAATTAGCCAGGCGTTGGCGCGGTGGCTCACGCCTGTAATCCCAGCAGTTTGGGAGGCTGAAGCAGGCAGATCACAAGGTCAGGAGTTCGAGACCAGCCTGACTGACGTGGTGAAACCCAGTCTCTACTAAAAATACAAAAATTAGCCGGGCGTGGTGGTGGGTGCCTGTAATCCCAGCTACTCGGGAGGCTGAGGAAGGAAAATCACATGAACCCAGGAGGCGGAGGTTGCAGTGAGCCGAGATCACACCACTGCACTCCAGCCTGGGCGACACAGGGAGACTCTGTCTCAAAAAAAAAAAAAAAAAATGTAGCTGGGCATGGTGGTAGGCACCTGTAGTCCCAGCTACTTGGGAGCTGAAGTAGGAGAACTGCTTGAATCTGGGAGACAGAGGTTACAGTGAGCCAAGATAACACCACTGCACTCCAGCCTGGGCAACAGAGCGAGACTCGGTCTCTAAAAAAAAATCAAAAAAAAAAACAAAACGGAATTTAATGCAACTATCAATTCCCATGACCTAGATACATGATGAGTACCCCTCATCCAAAATGGTTGGGACCAGAAGTATTTCAGATCTTGGAATATTTGCATTATATACTTACCAGTTCAGCATCCCTAATCTGAAATCCAAAATGCTCCAATGAGCATTTCCATTGGGCATTACGATGGCACTCAAAAAGTTTCCAGTATTGGAGCATTTCAATTAGGGATACTCAACCTGTACTATAACTAACTAGTTTCCACAACCTGGGTATTAGAGTTATTAATGTAAGCTAAGTATGTATTGGCATTTTGAGTAACTCCATCACACTGTTACAAAATATCAACATTCTAAGAACTAAAATACACACATTTTTCCCCACTTACTGCTACTCAAATGGAAAGATAAATCTCTACATATATCTTGTATTACTTAATTCAGCTCTTTAATCTAAATCTAAACATTTGTTTTTAATCCCTCTTCAACCCTGATTTAGGATATCTACTAGAGTTCTGAAATGAGTAGACCTGCCTAAATCTGTTGTAGTTTTCCACTTTAATCAGAGGACATGGCAGTACTAAAAATGACATGATCTTCCTTCCCCCAATGTATAGTAGTGATCCAACTTCCCTTTGATAGTCAAAATCAACAGAAAGTAGGTAAGTATCCCCATTACATCTTTAGCCATATCACAAACAAAAATCTGTCACCAGCATGGGGCTAGTGGCAGAGTCCTGTGTCATTTCACTCAAAAGCTTTATCCAAGTTAACGTGATTTTAGCCATGTACTCAAGAAAGAATGTGCAATAAATTAATTGTTGAAGCTGGGTGATGGGAACGTAGGGGCTCTTTATACTATTTTCTCTACTTTACGTATATTTGAAAATTTACACAATAAGAGATAAAAAATAAGGACGTATACAAAAAATAAGGATGTAAAAAAAAGAAGAAACAAAGAGTTAAAAGTGTGCCTTTGGAGAGCAAGACTGAAATACAGGAAGGAACTGGGAAGAATTATCTTTCCCTTTAAGCTTTAGCACTTTTTGATGTTTTATATACATGCATATACTATTTTCATAAAAATAAAAAGAAGGGGGAAAAAGGAAGCACATCAAGAAAAACTCAACCTCTCCCAAAATCACCATGGACACAGAATGTTTTTAATGTCATCAAATGATATCTACTGCAACAAAATCTGAGACTTCATTTGGACAAAAAATATTTAACACAGATGATAAAAACTATGTATGTACGCATTTGTATCCATAAAGTATAATCTGTCTACATCTTAAATTGACTTTAAGTGTAAAATATTCTTTACAAAAAACTTCTAGAAAACAAATCTCCTGGAGATTGCCTGACCCTTACTTATCAAGTACATTTAATCTTATAATTCAAATGGTACTATACATTAAGTGTTAGTATAATCTTTGAAAATAAAGGATATCTAAATATTTTCATTATACTTGTTTATAAAACCTACTTGGTAAGTGATTGAGCTTTCTGTTGTAGAAAAGTATCCCTGTGTATTTTAATGGCTTGAAGACTTTTTCTGTCTAGCAGTTTGGCAGCTGCTGGTATTTTCTGGATCAGAAAATTATCAGGAAACCAAATAATATTAGCAGTTAGAGTGATGGCTGGTACCTGAAACAGAAAAGGGAAAAGGGGAAAATTCATTAAATGCAGGCTAAACAACAAGCTGTTTAAAAGTTCTATAATACACATGGAAGACAACTGATTTCAAGAAAAAATAACCACAAAAAATACTTATTAATATATTATGAGACAAATATCTTTCACTGTGGCAGAGTTAAGGCATTTCTACATCTGGTGTTGAGCATGACAATTTTATTCACCTGAATATTAAATAACACACACACAAAACACCCTTTCATGGACTGTCAGATAAAAAAATGCAACAATAGAAACTTGAATCTTCATGTCTTTTAGTTTCATTCTATTTAAGTACATAAGTTTTTTAAAAAATTGGCTGGGTTATCATAGTTACTATCACTTGATGTTACACACAAACTAATCTTTCAATTTTGAAATCAGATACCACATTATGAAAATAGCAAAGACATAGAAAGAAATATATTTTAAATTTCTTCATCTTCAGTAATGAAAATCAGTGGCAAAGAAAAGGAAAAGAAAAAAGTAGTATTAGTAGCACTAAGAGAAGTTGTACAGGAACAAATCTGAACACCATCTACCAATATGTAGTAATATGATGTAGAAATACGACGTATTTTCATTCACTAAGTTACTTATTTCTGGAATACTTGAATTTTACAAGTGAATACTTTTAAATTATTTTTGTAAACAGGAATAAAATGCATTTTAAAATATTTAGTTTTATCTGCAATCTTTTTAATCTGCTCAAATTGAAAAATAAGTTTCAAGTTCTTACCTTCTTACAAATGTCCAATAAAGACTTATAAAACTTTTTATCAATAGTTCGAAAAATCTGAAAGTGCAATACAAAGAGTCCACAAATTCCAACATACTTGTCTCTCTGGTCAATTTCAGAAGGTTCTCCTTACAAATCAATAACATAAGAGAAAGCAGAACAAATATACTTCAATTATGCTTTTAAGGAAATGCAAATTTTATAAACAAAAACCAAAAAATGCGATTTACATTACCAAGTTTGGCTTCTACATTTGCAAAAATTGACCGAATACTATGTGCAAATTCCTCAGCAAAAGTACTATTTTTTGACACAGATACTCCTCCATTGAGAGAATCAAATTGTTGTTCTATACAGGCCTAGACAGGAAACATTGAAAGAGAAATTCAGACTCTCAATAATAAACGATTAAACATTTAAATATCATACACTAAATACAGTGTATGATAAATTTCTATATTCATCATTTAAATTTTACTAAAACTAAAGCTCAGGTTCTTAATCTAATCTAATATTTAGATCTTTGTGAATGAAAAATATATATGTATTTATATATTTGGGTACTAGTTATGTGAAAGTAATAAAATTGAACCCAAATCTATAATCCTGTATAAAGAGATACACACGATGTTCAGAGATGTATAAAAGATAAAGCATATTTTTTATTTTACTTTGCACTTTTAAGAGTAGAATTTATGTTTTCTGCTTACAATTACTTTCCTAGCACTTTATTATAGCATGTATAGAAATGTCTCCTGGAAAAAGAATCAATAACAAAAAAATTATCTTCTTAACCTAATGAACTAACATTTAAATTGATATATAGTTGACGCTTAAACATAAAGTTAGGGACACTGACCCTCGTGCAGTCAAAAATCTTCATATAACTTTTGTCTACCCAAAAACTTAACTAGTAATAGCACACTGTTGACCAAAAGCCTTATGGATAACATAAGTCAATTAACACATAAATAGATTAGTATCTACATATATTTTATGCATTCATGACATACCTAACTTTTCCTCAAGTTTTTTTAATATTTCTAGGCTATGCCATTTGTCTGCAAGTTTTTTTCAAAAGTGTTGCTAATGTTCAAAAAATTTTCTAATACATTTATTGAAAAACAATCTGTATATAAGTGGACCCGTGCACACTTCAAAAGCATGTTATTCAAAGGGTCAACTGTAAACAAGAGTTGAGATCAATCGGTTAAAAACTGTGATCATGTAAAACATAAACTAAAGGTAACCTTGAAGTATATTATAAATGGAATATAATGCAATTTCGAGTGGAACCTGCTTAAAGCAGCGCTCTCCAACAGAACTTTCTGTGATGATGGAAATATTCTGTATCTGTGCTGTCTGATATAACTAGTCATTAACTATATGTGGCTATTAAGGACTTGAAATGTGGCTAGCGTGAGTAAAAAAGTGAATTTTGTATTTCATTTTAATTTATTTACATTTAAATAGCCACATGTAGTTAGAAGCTACCATACTAGACTGTGCAAACCCAAATTACATTCCCTGGGCCTAGGAAGAATTAAACAGACTTGTTAAGGGTTGTCTTAAAAACCTTAACCTGGCCGGGCATGGTGGCTCATGCCTGTAATCCCAGGACTTTGGGAGGCTGAGGTGGGCAGATCACGAGGTCAGGAGTTCGAGACCAGCCTGGCCAACATGGTGAAACCTCGTCTCTACTAAAAATACAAAAATTAGCTGAGTGCAGTGGTGGACGCCTGTAATCCCAGCTACTCGGGAGGCTGAGGCAGGAGAATCATTTGAACCCAGGAGGCGGAGGTTGCAGTGAGCAAAGATTACGCCACTGCACTCCAGCCTGGGTGACAGGGCAAGACTCCATCTCAAAAACAAAAACAAAACCAAAAAAAACCTAAACCTAGAGGTTAACAGCAAACACAATACAGGCACACCTCACAGAAACCATAGGTTCAGTTCCCAACCAGCACAAAAACATGAGTGACACCAATTTCCAAGGTGGGCAGATCACCTGAGGTCGGGAGTTCAAGACCAGCCTGACCAACATGGAGAAACCCCATCTCTACTAAAAATACAAAATTAGCTGGGCATGGTAGTAGATGCCTTTAATCCCAGCTACTCGGGAGGCTGAGGCAGGAGAATTGCTTGAACCCGTGAGGCAGAGGTTGTGGTGAGCCGAGATAGCTCCACTGCACTCCAGCCTGGGCAACAAGAGTGAAAGTCCGTCTCGAAAAAAAAAAAAAAAAAGTTATATTTACACTATACTATAGTATATTAAGTATGCAATAGCATTATGTCTAAAAAAAAGTATATTAATTAAAAAACACTTTATTGCTAAAAATGCTAACATTTGAGCCTTCAGTGAGCTATCATCTTTTTGCTGGCCAAGGGTCTTGCCTCAATGTTGATATGCTGTCATCAGGCTTTGTTGTTCCACTTACAGAGAACAGGCAGAGTAGAGTAATATAATTTTTAAGGGCCCTAAGATTTTCAGAATGGCAAATGGGCACTGGCTTTCTTTGAAGCCAGGAATTGACTTTTCCTCTATGAAAGATGTAGGTGGCATCTTCCAATAGAAGGCTGTTACATCTACACTGAAAAATCTGTTGCTAAGTGTGGCCACCTCTATCAGTGATTTTAGCCAGATCTTCTGGATAACTTACTGGCTTCTACATGAGCACTTGCTGCTTTTGCACTTTAATGTTATGGAGACAGCTTCCTTCCTTAAACCTCATAAACCAACCTGTGCTAGGTTCAAATTTTTCTTCTACAGCTTCCCCACCTCTCTTAGCCTTCAGAGAATTAAAGAGAGTTACAGCCTTGCTCTGGATTAGGCTTTGGCTTAAACTAATGTTGCGGTTGGTTTGATTTTCAATTCAGTCCAACAAAACTTTCTCCATATGAGCAGTAATGCTGTTTCACTTTCTTATCATCTGTGTGTTCACAGCATTTTAATTTCCTTCAAAATTTTTCCTTTGCATTCACACGTTGGCTAGCTAGTCACAGCAAGAGGCCTAACTTTCAGCCTATCTCTGCTTTCCCCACCCCCCTAAAAGATGGAGTCTCCCTCGTCGCCCAAGCTGGAGTGCAATGGCGTGATCCTGACTCACTGCAACCTCTGCCTCCCAGGTTCAAGCGATTCTCCTGCCTCAGCTTCCCGAGTAGCTGGGATTACAAGCGCTTGCCCTAACACCTTACTAATTTTTGCATTTTTAGTAGAGAGAAGGTTTCACCATCTTGGCCAGGCTGGTCTTGAACTCCTGACCTCACGTGATCTGCGTGCCTGGCCTCCCAAAGTGCTGGGATTACAGGCATGAGCCACCGCGCCCGGCCCTATCTCTACTTTTGATATGACTTCCTAGCTAAGCTTAACCATGTCTAGCTTTTGATTAAGAGACATGAAACTCTTCTTTTCGTTTGAACACTTAGAGGCCACTGTAGGGCTATTAATTGGCCTAATTTCAATATGGTTGTGTCTCAGAGAATAAAAAGGCTTGAAGAGAGGGAGAAAGGACAAGAGCTAGCCAGTTGATAAAGCAGTCAGAACACACACAACATTTATCGATTAAGTTCATCATCTTACAGGGGCACTATTTGTAGCACCCCAGAACAATTACAATAGTAACATCAGAAACCACTGATCACCATAACAGCTATAATAATAATGAAAAAGTTTAAAATATTGCAAGAATTACCAAAATGTGACACAGAGACAAAGTGAACACATGCTGTTGGAAAAATGACGATGAAAGACTTGCTTGATGCAGGATTGCCACAAACCTTTAATTTGTAGAAAATGCAATTACCTGGGAAATGCAATAAAGCGAAATGCAATAAAACAAGATATGCCTATACCTAACTACTAAGATTAGATGTTAATCCTCAAATATTTTTATCCATTTACATAATTTTTCTAAAACTCTTGCTCCAAATACAACTAATATACTATTCATTTTGTTGGCTACTAGATACAGAAATATTTTAGTACTGTAACAATAATTTTAAGCCAAAGCACTTTTTAAAGAAAATTATATTCAACAGTATATTATAAAAGTGTCCTACTATAATTCTGAGCTTTGTCGTCTAATATGAGCCCCACTGTTACAGTCTGATACAGACCTACTTACCTGGAATATCATTCCATCCAGTAATTGCCCTTCTAGCTTCAGCAAGAACTTTTCAAATGGCTTTAATTTTTCTTCCTGAATTCCAAATTTTGAAGGATTGTGATGGACAGATTTCAGTAACCTTGAGGAAAATTAAGAGAAACATCTTAAATCTACCTAATAAATTCTTAAATTAAAAATTAAAAATTTTCCTGGAAGTCAAAATTTTATATTTATATTTCTTGTTTGGCTCTACACATTTGAAAATTTGAACACAACAATCCTAATAGATTTTCTTACGCTTTTTAATATCATCTTCAATCAAAATGCCTCATAATCTGTACATACCAGACATTTAATAAGTACTCAGAACATGAATAAAATAAACCATGGTCTAAAAAAAATTCAGGGTATACAATAAAATAAAACCAAGCTCAGGAAAGAAAAACTGTCGGGCTGGGCATGGTGGCTCACACCTGTAATCCCAGCACTTTGGGAGGCCAAGGCGGGCGGATCATGAGGTCAAGAGATGGAGACCATCCTGGCCAACATGGTGAAACGCCGTCTCTACTAAAAATACAAAAGTTAGCTGGGCATGGTGGCACACGCCTGTAGTCCCAGCTACTTGGGAGGCTGAGGTAGGAGAATCACTTGAACCCAGGAGGCAGAAGTTGCAGTGAGCCGAGATCACGCCACTGCACTCCAGCCTGGCAACACAGTGAGACTCTGTCTCAACAAAGAAAAAGAAGAAAAAACTGTCACCTGAATAGAACCCAAGGAAAACAATAAATCTGAGTCCTAAGCTAGGCAAATTAACTTTCTACTACTATAAGAATTAGGATGCTTTATACAGATGTATTATACTCGTCCCAACAAACTCATGTGAAATTAAAGAATGGTTACTGTAGTCATAAAAATATTTGATATGAGCTCCTTCTAAATATCAATCCCCAGGTCTTTTAGAAAATCTGTATTATTTATATCTGTTTACTTTTTACTAACACAAATACATTAACCAAAGTAAGAAACATTTTAAAATATTTTAATTGGTGTACCTTTTGTACATAGTCCAGTGGTCTTTCAGTGTGATATGATTATCAATAATTTCATCCAGGGTGAGCAAAACTGTTAGCAGTTCTCCCAAGTGCTCATACATAGTCTGTCAAAAAACCTTTAATGATTATCATTTAGTCACTAGTTAGAAGTTAAGCCTCATGTAGACGTTTAAAGTAAAATCATTTGGGCTGATTACTGAATTAGTAAAAGTAGTGGGTAAATCAATTTATTCAGCTACAGGTTGGATCCTCAGAAAGGACTATTTGTCTTTTAGTCTTAAATAGAGAATACTTTTCTCTTTTTAAGATGAACAAAATTTCATCCTTAGTTGCAATACTGCAGATTTATTTCACTGTCCAAAGACATCATTTAGAGAATCTGCATTACGGCACTACTGGGAAAAACTAAGTTACACTGATAATGGTCAATAATGACTCATCAACTTCACAGATGAAAGAGAACAAATGCAAACACACACAAACACACACACACACACACGCCTCTTTAAGAGTGTTCCTATGACTGTCATACTCTCCAACCATACAAACTCCAAAGTAAAATATAGTAATAATTACAGTTTTACAGGTCAAGCTAAATGTCTTTTACCTGAAAATGAACTCCAGTTGTCTCTATAATTTTGGGTGCAATCCTATAATAAAATAACAACCAAGTTAAAAAAAACTTCCTTTTTGTCATAGTTTATTCTTATTTCAAATACATACAGGAGCAGATGATCTTGGAATTTTAATATTTATCTTTATTAAGGCTCTAGTTATTTAAAATTTAAGAGCGTCAAGTCCACTTTCCCAAGAAGAGAACTACTTTGTGCATACTATTAGGATGGTGCAAAAGTAACTGTGATACAAAAACAGCAATAATTCTTGCACCAACCTAATAGTATTCTTGCCTATATCCCACTCATGGGTAGGGCTATGATGATAGGTGACCTATGAATAACCTTACCCATTGAAACCCAAATGATTTATCTTGGAATAAAGGTAGAGAAATATTAAAAGTGGTATTCATATCTTTCTAAACTATTAGAATTTCTCAATTACCAACTAGAATTTTTGTTATCCTATCCAAACTGGTCTTTGTCTTTTGTTTTTTTGTTTTGTTTTGTTTTTCCTTTTTGTGGAGAAGGGGGTCTCGCTATATTGCCCAGGCAGGTCTCGAACTCCTGGGCTCAAGCTATCCTCCCGCCTCTTGCCTCCCTGAGAGCTGGGATTACAGGCATGAGCCACCGCGCCCAGCCTCCAAACTGGTCTTTAGGAATCAGTCCTCTCTTCAGTTGGGTTTGAGTTCTCATCCCTACTGAAAAACAGTGCATACTACTAGAATTATACCAAAGTCAAAAGTCAAAGAAAAATTCACTTCTACCTCCTACTCATTTTGCTCAACAAGTTTTAAATAGTGCTTATAATATTAAAGCACATATAGATATTCCACAAGATAGAATGCATATTTTAAATTTAAACACAAAATTCAAATAAATTTCATCCTTCTAGGGCAGGGGTAGGATGAGGGGGAGTCTTCTTAGAACTACCCATCAGGTACTGCAGCGGGTATGGAAGCTATACTCTCATTCTCTCCTGCCATGAGAGCTTTAGTGAAAAGACAGAACATAAAATAAATACCTAACTGAGGGGGAAAATGGGAGAATAAGAAACAGTTAACACTCCAGTATAAAGAGTTTATATGCAGCATGGTATAGTAAGAACAATGAATGTGCTGGTGACCAAAAGAACAGTGCCAAAATTGCTCTTGTTATCTCTTCCAGGTATCAGTTATCTCTTCTCATCATTAATAATCCCTAGACATAGAGCTAAACAAAGTTAATGTATTAATTAGATTGTAAGTGTGGAAAAAAAATTTTAAGTATAAAGAACTAATCAAATGAGATATTATTTTGTGGTAAAACTGCAAGAGCTCTATGAAAATGTGATCGTTTTTCTTGATTTAGGGTAATGGTCCAGCAGCAGCCAGGCAGTATCACCTCCTCAGTGGCACGAGCACCAATTCCATGAGGCTTCTTCTCCAAGCTCCCAGATTCTGGTAACCTCAATCTTTTCCTTTCTGTTTTCTGGATGGAGAGGTGGTATCTGTTTCCTCCGGATGAACTCACTGTTCTCTTTGTCCTTTCAGCCCTCCAACTCCCATGTAACCAATTCTCCATATTAAATTCCCTTTTTTAATTTAAATAAATTTTACTGTGTATATTTAAGGTATATTTTACTGGGTATATTTACGACCATTAGAACTACTCACAAAATTTCTTCAATGTAGATTCCCTAGCTCCATCCCTCAAGATTCTGTAGTCTAAGAAAAGTCTCAAGTGACTCCATTAGAGTCAGGCAACCATTCGTGTAGAGGAAAGGAATAAAGAGAGAGAACACAGAACATGTACTAATTCCATGTTAGCCTTCTTCTATATGGTCAAATTTCTTGAAGATTGTTCTGTAGACACTGTCATTCAGACAGATAATGGGTTCGCTCACCATGGTGGAAACTGCATCTTACTAACCTACGTATGATACACATCAAGTAGTGTTTGAAATATCATAAGTGTTCAAAGAATGCTGAATGAAAGAAAAACTATTACAAGTTATTAATTTTAGAAAGAACATTTTCTGCATCTCTATTATAAAAGCAAAAATATTTCTAAAATCCATTACTTGTTACTGATATAGAGGGCAGCCAACTGGTGGACTACGTTCATCACCACTTCATAGCACCTCGTAACAAAGCAAGACAGTTCCTGAAACGAGAAGGTGGGTATATATTATAAAGTTACTCTTTAAATCTCACCATTTTTTACTGAATTTTATGGTAACAACTCTAACAAAAACAAAACAGTTTTCCAATAAAGCCTCCAGTTAACCAAAAGCCAGACAAGTTCAAGCATCCCTCAAGCAATCAATACTTAACTCACCTCCTGTACTCCAGGGTCGTTCCTATCTCTTTGTTCCCACTGCATTTCATTCATACTCCTATTTCAAGTCTAATATTGTAGTTACTTATATAACTCCTAAATGATAGGTGCTGTCTCATTCCTTCTTTGAATATCCACTGCCTAGCATAGTGACTAACACTCAACTGCTTCTCAATAAATTTCTACCCTATTACATGAATAAACATCTGAGTGAGTGAAGGAGCTCAAAAGCTGCCAGTATAGAAAGTACAACTATGGCAGGAAGGGGTTTCCAGAAGTCACTGTAAAATAACTTCAAACACTGATCACCTGTAATCGTATGTATAAGCAGGCTTGGCACACAGCAAGTGAAATGTCGTATCACTTATCCTAGGGATATGTTTGTCATTAAATAATTAGCTCATATCTAACATATCCTAGACTTTCTGAAAATCCATTTTCAGAAGCTCTCAACTTTTAAACCTATAGAAACAGTGTGTATCTGAAGTATTTAAAACCTAATTAAAACTATGCTGATCTAAATTTTAAGCTCTATGAGAACAGGAATTTCTGTTGGTGTTGTGCATTGCTATATCACCAGCACCAATAACAGTTTCTAGCATATACTAGGCTTACAAAACATATTTGTTGAATGTTTAAAAACGGAATTTTTATGCAGCTGTGAGATCTAAATATGATGTAAAGTATTTTTTAAAATGAAAATAAATAACGCATTTTATTTTTAAATAGTTATAGTTTTACATGTCCTATTAAACTTCTAGAAGTTTAAAAAAAGCAGAGAAAATGTAGGACAAACAGAAAGAACAAAGTAAAAAGGCAGAAACAAGCCCAGATATACATACAGACTATATAAGATAGACCTAGAAACAGAATAAATTAAGCGATTAAAAAACAGGTATTGTCAGACTACATTAAAAAAGCAAAATTTAGATATATGTGGTTTTAAATAAACCCAACTAAAACATGACACTGAAAGGCTGCCAGAATGGAAAAAGATAAATCAAGAAAATGTTAACTAAAACGGAGCCAGGGCAGCATTATTATTATACTGTCAGACAAAACAGACTTGATTAGCATCAGTACAGTAAATTGCTATGCATGTAAAATACATATACATAATCATATACACATAATCATGATCATAGCTAAGGAAGGTCACAAATGATGATAAAAGATTCAATTTACCAGGAATGATTAACAATTCTAAACTTGTACACACTGAATAAAATACCCTCAAAATGAAAAATGCAAAGTTTCCACATTTACTGGGACCTTACCAACTACATTTTTTAGACACCTTGCTGGAAAAGAAGCCAGCAGCAGATAGGCAGTGCCACCTCAGCATAGGCATCAGTTTCATGGGGCTTCTTCTCCAAGCTCCCAGATCCTGGCAATCCCAATCTTTATCCTTTTTGTTCTCTGGATGTAAAGGAGGTATCTGTTTCCTTTGGACTACACCTCAGTATTTTCTTTGTCCTCCAACTCCTGGGTAACCAATTCTCTATATTGAATCCCCTCTCTTCTTATTTAAATACATTTTATTGTGTATATTTAAGGTATACAACATGTTATGGGATACATACCGATAATAAAAAGGTTACTATAGTCAAGTGCAAATCCATCATCTCACATAGCTAACCCATTTTTTTGTAGCAAAAGCAGCTAAAATCTACTCAGCATGAATGCCATATACGGTATTTTATTACCTGTAATCTTCATGTTGTACATCAGATCTCTAGACTTACTCATCTTACATATCTGCTACTTTGTATCCTCCAAACTACATCTTTTGAAATACCTTGTATGGAGTTTTCTAGACAGGACCCTGAATAACACATATCACAATATGAACAAAATGCTCTCAATTAGATCAATTAGACCAAAAAAAGTAGTAAAGATATAAAAGATTTGAACAGTATGTTAGCATGCCTAATTTGATGAAATATATCAAATCTTGTACTCAACAACAGAAAGGAGGTGGGACTATGGGTATTTTTTCCTTAGCTTCAATTTTTGCTTTTTCACATCGTACATGCACTATTTTTATCACAGAGGAGGAAATAGAAGCCATTTTATTCTTTTGATAAGAGTAAACCAAAGGACCTACAATCATTAAAACTGGCAGTGATGAGAAGCTATCTAAACTGAAACAAGCTGTTAGAAGCATGGAGGGCTACCGCTTTAAACAACTTCATCATTGCTCATGTAATAGCTTAATTCTCTCCTATCCGTTAACAACTTTTCCTGATACAATTTATCTTTTCCAGTGGGTACAAAGTTTAAATTATTTTAAAAGGCATGGTGACAAGTTGTCCATAAAGAAATATACACAAAGAAACTTATTTTGATAGCTTTTTCCTCTAAAAATACTTGGAAATCTTTTAGGAGTTATGATCTCCTAAACTATAATCCAATGCTAATTAAGTGTCTTATCCTCAGAGTACACATCTTTAGTATTTGAAGGTTTCAGAACTTTTTACGTGTTGTGTAATTTACTCAAACTTTTTGAAGTAAAAGCTCAGTAGAAAGTAAAAATCAGTTACCTGTAAGAATGAAATAAATCTCCCCATTTGAATTTGGCAATCACCTTCCACCATGCTGGCATCTGTAGCTGTAAAAGGCAACATGAATAAGCATATTTCATTTTTTAAATTTAAACTCAATCAATACCAAAAAAGGGGGAAAAGTTTTTTTTTTTCATTAGGACATCTTTTACTCTGCATAGTATTGAAAACAGAATTTTTACACCAAAGAGAAAAATCAGACAATCATTAATCAAATAATTAGAAGTATTTGCTTCACTATTTAATGAATTCAAGGAAAATTCTCATCTACCTACAGTACTTCGTAAAGTACAAAGATATCACAAATTTGCTGCTGCTTCCTCAGCTTTTTTACCTGTTTACCAAACATACCAACAAAAAATATGAATACTTATTTTTCTCACACTATTATATAATCATAGTAGTCCTAAAATTGTCTGTTAACTTTTTGTTCATTTCAATATCAAAAAGGCATCACAATTTGGAATTTTAAACTTACCTCCTTCTCCATAAAACAAGAGACCATTGTAAAATTTAGTTTCAGCCTGTTTTTAAGAAAAAAATTAAAATAATTTTAAAGGTTGTTTTGTTTCCAAATTCCTATGCTCTCTTAGATCTGTATACTTAGTAATAAACAGAGGGCTACATCATTTGCATACAAATTCATTTAAATTCAAAATCTGTTTATAAAGCAATTCATCTTTAGAGTAACAAAAATATTACTGATACTCAAAGCTGTATCTTGATTCCTTTAGCCTTTACTTCATCTTATCTGACCACCCTCACTGTCCCACATCCTCCCATTAGTTTATGGGAAATAAAGAGCAACCACATGGTATCAAAAAGCAGGAGAAGAAAATACGAAGTTTGTCAACTTCTACCAGACTTTTAATGGTTCTTGGGTAAGGAAACACAAAACTAAATGCATTTTAAGAAAAAAAAATCAGTTTTCTCTAGATAGCCAGTATATATGGCAGGTAACACAAACTCTGGAGGTTTGTAAACCTAGATTCAAACTGTTGACTACCAGTAAGATGTTATGCAAGTGACACTCTCTTTAAGCTTCAGTTTCCTCATCAATGTCTCACCTACCTCCTGGGGTTACTATAAGGATTACAGTGTTAGCCTGGTGTTTTGTACATACTAAGTACTCAATGAATGGTAGTCCGTATTAGTATTACGTTAAATAAATAATTCATTCAACATTCAATAAATATTTATTGCACACTGTACATATATAAACACATACTTGCTTCTAAATGATGTTTTTAAAGTTTTAAGACAAGAATTCAAATAATTACCTCATATTTTAATTTCTTGATTTCACAACAAAGTGCAGCATAAACAGTGATGACTTTGTTTAAGACCTAGTTTCATGAGTAAAAACAAAATAAAAAGTAAATTGTTACAGATAACTAAAACATTTTTAAAACAATTTTTTAGATTTAGGATTCTGTACCTTGTTTTCAGTCTTTATGAGTTCCAAAAGAGAGGACTGTTCATAAGGCAAAAGCTACAGAAACAAAGGAAAAGAACATTTCTTTTAATTTGAAAAATAACTGAAATTTTAAAAACACAAATTGAGGCTAGCTTTATTCGACTTAAACTTGTGTTAGATCCTGTACTCAACATTAGCACCATATCAACTACTTCATCCAAAACAATCTCATTAGACAACACGTAAGGAAAGAAATGGCCCAACATGACACAATCACGACTCTACTTGTCCTATGGAGCATAAGGTGGCTGATTATGAGTGCAGTATAAGAAAATGCAAGGTAATAAGGTAATAGTAACATTATTAAACTCCATTAGTTATGATCATGGGGAAAAACCTTTCATCATTTTTGAATTTTCTATGCAGCCACAAATTTAATAAGATATTGTAGCTAAAGGGTCAAAATAAATTAAGAATGAAACAAGACAGAAAATACATCTTTTCTTGTATAAATCCATGCTCAGAAACACTTAAAATAGTATGTGGAGTTCACTCCTAAAGCCCGTTCAATTTCCACCTCTTCCTGATCATTGACTATATGTGATCTATTTATCAAGTGAAATCTCAGATCTCCCTTCTGGTTACATACTAACTAACTATTTATGCAAGTAAGTTATTATATACCCTTTCTCATTAGGTTGTAATTTTTGTTTACAGAGGTTTTATCTGAGTTTGTGGTTTTTCCCAAAATACTAAGAACCTTGTATAGTAAAAACAATAAAATAACTGCCCAATAATAGAACTTAAACAGAGGTTCCGAAGAGAGCAACTGCGGAGATGGAGTCTGTCATATAATAAGATTGTAAAGATTAGAAAGCTTCTGTAGGGGAAGATAAAAACTAAGAGATGATTTCACCCTTTTATAAAATCTGAGAGTTGAGAAAAAAAACAGATTTTATAATCCTATCTAGAAGAGGCCCTTAAAGCCCAACAGCAAGTCTTAAAAAAATCAACAAGTATTACTTAATGGCGAGAAAGCCCAACAGCATCTGTTTAAAAAATCAACATGTATTACTTAATGCCAAGTGACAGATATATGAAACTTATTACCCTCAGAGATAGTACAGGTTGAGAATGACAGTTTCCTAGTAGAGTTCCTATAACTTACATACAATGATTCTCACAGAAGTGTTGAGGAACAAAAAGAGACAATTACAAATTTGGGGGGGGATGATTTTTAAAGTAAGACTAAGTCTATCCAGCCTGCAAGAAAAGAAGTCAAAGGAAAGTAATTTCAGTTTACAAATATATAAAGTATTTGTGAGGCAGTTCAGGGTATTGGATAAGGGCACAGGCTCTGGAGTCAAGCTGCCTGATATTCATTATTTAACTAAATGTGTCACTTACTTGACTAAGTTACTTAACTTTTCTATGCCTTAGTTTTCTCATTTACAAATGGAGATGACATTGTATCTACTTTATAGGATTGTGGTGGGAATTAAAAGTCAATACTTGTCCTATAATGCAATACTAAAAAGATAACCCAATTTAAAAATGGGCAAAGGATGTGAACAGACATTTCTCCAAAGAAAACAGACACATGGCCATAAGCACATGAAAAGATGCTCAACATTATTAGCCATCAGAAATGCAAATCAAAGCCACAATGAGCTTTCACATTCACTAGGAAGAATATAATCAAGACAATAAAGGCTGGCAAGGATGTAGAGAAACTGGAACCCTCATGCAGTGCTGGTAGTAATGTAAAATGGTATAGCCATATTGGAAAACATTCTGGCAGTTCCTCAAAAAGTTAAACATAGTTACCACATAACCCAGGATTTCCACTCCCATATATACATATGTATAAAATATACACACAATGTACACACATTTTATATACAATATACTTATATATGTCTACACAAAATCATGTGCCCAAATGCTCATAGCAGCCAAATAGTAGAAAAATCCAATGTCTATCAACTGATGAATGGATAAATAAAATGTGGTTATCCATTCCTTACAATGGAATATTATTCAGCAACAGCAAAAAAAGAAAGTACTAAAAACATGTGACAACATAGATGAGCCTTGAAAACATAAGTTAAAGAAGCCAGCAACAAAGGAGCACATATCGTATGATTTCATTTATATGAAGTGTACAGAGGAGACAAACACATAGAGATAAAAAGTAGATTGACTGGTGGTTGCCTAGGGCAGGTATGCCATGGCATGAACTGGGGGTTGATTATCACACGGTACATGGTTTCTTTTTTGGGGGCTGAGAACGTTCTAACATTGACTGTTGTGATGGTTGTACAACTCAGTGAATATGCTAAAAACAACTGAATTATACAATTTAAATGAGTGAATTGTATGATATATGAATTATATCTCAAGAAAGCTGTTATAAAAACAAGTCAGTGTGTGACTTAGGACAGTGTGTAATACACAAGTGCTCAATAAAATGTAAATTATTTTTCAAGTGGTAACAAACTAATTTTAAAGATAAAAGAAATATTTCAAAATGGAAAGAGTAATGTATTTTATACATTAAAAAATTACTCACACATTAACATCTATATAGCATGAGAGAACTTTTCAGAAATGGTGAAAATATTCTCTATCTTAATTGGGATATGAGTTACAAGTGTTTGGCAAAATTAAGAGTATCTGCATTTCACTCTATGTAAAATAGTCTCAATCAAGAAAAAACAAAGCCTGAATATTCTATCCAGCCCTCATTTTCTTAATAATGAAAATCAAAGGCAAGCTCAAAGACTTGGAGTTTGTGTCATTCTTTGACACTAAAGGCTGTGTGTTTGTCATTCTTAAACAGAAAACACACACATTTAAAAAACATCTGCATGGCTTAGAGAAAAGGAAATTAACAATTTTCTCCAACTTTCATTTTGTTCTTAGATTTCAAATAAAAATACTTTTTCCATTTTAAAAAATTATGTTTTCAGGATATAGTATGTCCAGAAAATATATACATATATTTTTAAAAAATCAAATCAAACCTTTAATGCTATAGGATCAAGATTGAAATCCCAAACATCTCCAATTGAGTCATCCAGAGCGTCCTCAATTCTTCTCAGTTGAGAGGTATACTCCTCAAGAAATTTCCCATAATTCTTAAGTTGGACTTCGGCATGAATTTCTAAGTTTAAATTTTAAAACAGTATGTGATAAGTGCAAGTAATGAATTGCAGGACATTTACTTCAAATAACCTCAAAAGTCACGCAAAGCACTGTTAATTATTACTCTGGAATGTCTGGACTTCCTGAAAATAAAGTTCCAAAGTTAAACAACAATTCAGCTTTCAATCTTCTCTATACACGAAATAATTTTAAAAGCAGTAGATGTTACCATATATAAAGTTACTACCTTAAAACCCTAACATATTATGAAAAAGCCACTAGCCCATCTACCCCCATAATAGAGGGCTTTGAACCAATCTGAAAAGTGCCTTAAACAATTCAATGTCCTGATTCTATCTTTTAGTCATGAACAACTCTTTTGCAAAAACAAATATTCATGATCTGAAGGTGAAAAAAACAGTCTGTCACAGAAGTAACACTTAAAAATGTAGTTTTTAATTCTATACACACTAATGTTTAATAATACACCTAAATATTTTTAAATGGAGGTTTTATACCTGCTTGAGCATATTATTTCTATAATGTCTAAAATTTAACCAAGATATTTGTTAAATTATTTAACTGTCATAATCAAGTTGGAAAAACCAGCAAAGAACACTGCTTGACTACAGAATACTATGCTGTTCTTCACAGAATTAACACATTCATAGGTAACTTTAAGGAATCATTGGAATAAGCTGGATTTTAAAATATGCCTATTCGTCAAAGTATTTCACGTTACACATAAAAATTCATTACTTGTTCCCAAAGGTAACAAATTCAACTCCAACTCAGTTTCTTTTATTGATATGAATAACTTTATTCAACCTTTGTCTTCTAAAAAAGGTAAAAATTTGCTCTCCTCAAATTAGCAATGTGAAGCAAGTAAGAGAAAGTGTGTTCTGACTCATGCTGTATTAAAGTATAAAGACCTAGCCCCCACTCTCCTTTATTCTTCAACCACATAAAGTTTTAAATCCGGTGAATCCATTTAGTTCATTAAGGTTTCTGTCTTATTATAGCATTAATCTAGGCAATTTTGGAAAACAATTAGTCTAGATATGATTCACAGACCAAAAATTAATGAACGCCAAGCACAGGGAGGTGTTCTCTTCCCTACAGCTTACATATAAGACTGCCCAGATTCTCAGAACCCCAAATAGTTGTCTTATTCTCAACTACACAGGAAATGACCAGTCAAAGCTGCATTTGACCAGCAAATGACTTCTTAAAGACAATGCTAGGCCGGGCATGGTGGCTCACCCCAACACTTTAGGAGGCCAAGGCCGGTGGGTCGCTTGAGACCAGGAGTTCAACATGGCAAAACCTTGTCTCTATCCCAATTTAAAAAGAAAAAATCAGCCAGCTACTAAGGAGGCTGAGGTAGGAAGATCACCTGAGCTCAGCTGGTCGAGGCTGCAGTGAGCCGTGGCGATGCCACGGCACTGGGCGACAGAGTGAGACCTTGTCTCGAAAAAAAAAAAAAAAAAAAAAGACAATGCTAGAGAAACACCACGCCAATAAATCACTCCTTTAGTATGTTCAGGGATTCACAAACAGGAAACAGAAAACCTAAAATAACATTAAAAGTTCCTTGCTGACAATAAACGGTTGTAAAATTGGTGAAAGTTAAAATAACAAAAGTTGAGATAAGAACTACATGGTAATTTTTTAAGAGTAAAAATTCCAAAAACCTACTTAACATGCTCATCTTTGTCAACAGACTGCACTCCTTGTTTTATCTTTTTATCCCTAATATCTAGCACAGCCACTGGTTGTAGAAAATATCTGTTGAGTGAATCAGACCATTCTACTCCAGGCTGAACCATTTTCAAACTCAATTAACATAACTCTATTCCAATTTTTTTTGAAGATACCAGTTCGTCATCTTTGTCCATAAAACATATATGACAAGGTACAGTTCACTTTATAACAATACAGAATCCCCTCCACAAAAAAAAATTAAAAGATTTTGTCATTATCTCCAAGGTTAATTTTTATGCTGCATAAGAGCTAATACCTTATTATCACCCAGGCTAGAGTGCAATGGCGCGATCTCGGCTCACTGCAACCTCCGCCTGCCGGGTTCAAGCGATTCTCCTGCCTCAGCCTCCCAAGTAGCTGGAATTACAGGCGCTCGCCACCAAGCCCAGCTATTTATTTTTTAGTAGAGACGGGGTTTCACCATGTTAGCCAGGCTGGTCTTGAACTCCTGACCTCAGGAATGTTTTGTGAAAAACTGCAACCCATCCTGGATGTAGCTCACTCTTCTCTGAGAGACTTGTAAAACCTAATTCATCTAACATTGTAGGCATTAGTCTCTCTTCGTAAATCAAGCAAAATTCATCCGGAATTTTTAAAAGCAACGTTCCACCTTTTGGGAAAACTATGAGGGAAAAAAAAAATCACAAACAGCATGCTCCAATCTCTCTTAGATCACTTACACAGATTACTATGACCAAAGATAAGAAGCAGATTGCCAACTTGTATTTATTTCAAGTAGAGTTTCACTACAATTAATTTGGCCTCAATATTTTACTGAAAGAAACACAATTTGTTTATTTCGGGATAGACTTCTAAGTTAAAATCAGACAATTCGATCTTGTGAAGCAAAATTTGAAGATTTGCTGTAATTTTTGAAGCCTTTATAACTGCGATGGAAACTGCAGAACATCACTGAAAAATATCACTTAGCATAAATAAAAGGCCTGGAAAATGATAAAATGACATTCACGTGTTTATTTTCGCAGGGTGAAAAGTTCTTTTTTCGCTCCCTTCTACGGTTATAGCAACGCGATGGGAAAGACACCCAAACTTGCAAAAGTTGATTTGGGAGGAAAAGAAGAAAAACAGGAAACCGAAACAGGAACCCAGACATCAGCGTCCTCCAGAGCTGAACGCTCAGAATCTGGCGAAATCCCCAAGAGGCCAGAGACAGAAGCAGCCTGGGATCCCGGGGCCGCTGGGCCTCCCGGGCGCGCCCCGCCCAAGCCCCGGGGCAGCTGAAGGGGGACGCCGCTCCCCGCGGGGCACCGCAGGCTCCCCAGGAGAGTCTCCGCCTCACACGCCGAGCCCTGAACGGGCAGCCTGACCCGCCGTGGCTGGGACCCCAACCCCGAAAGTAACGCTGGAGAGCGCGTCCCTCGCACACCCCAAGGGCTCTGAAGTGTCCCGCACCAGACGGCTGCGCAGCCGTCCCTCTCGCAGGAGCGCTGCCCAGCCCAGAACAGCGGCGGGCCGAAGGAGCGTCCACCCGCAGCCCTCGCCCTGCAGCTCCCTTACTCTGCGAGCCGTCGTCAACGCGGTCAAACTCCCAGTCCGGGGACAGAGTCTCCACCGCCATCACCCCGGCGCCTCCCACAGACACAGCCCCAACCAGCCCGTGCGGCGACGACGGCCTCACCCCAGCTACTGTCACAGCACGTGACTTCCGGCCCCGGCCCCGCCTCCGCTCGCGAGGGCCGGCCGGGCTCGTTGCCCCTGCGACCGCGGGGGCCCCTGGGAAAGCGAGTCCTCCGCCGTGGCCGAAGGCGGCCGCCATGGCGCCGGCAGTGCCAGCGGGCGTCTTGCGACCCGGCTCGGGCTTCGCCACCATTCACTGTGCTTCTCAAGCCACTTCGGCACTCTAATTTCGCCCTGCTCTCTCTAGACGATTTTTAATACCTGGGAAAGTTACTCCCCAGTCTAACCTAAAAAGGTAGAATTGATGGGGTGGGGAATTAACAGGAAGGCATGATCCTCGAGGATAACGCTGACCAGGCGCTTCTTCCAACAAGCCTGTTTCCCTCTCTGTCGCCACCGTAGGAGTTCCTACAGCTCTCCCGCACATTCTGTACGGATTGTTTTTTAGTCAAGACGTTCTGTGCGAGAGGAGAAGTTACTTTATGAACACCCTAACAGGGGATCTTACGACCTCTTCCCCGCTCTCCACTCAGTCCTTTTAAAAACGCGAGGCAGGATGAAGAACGCTATTGAAGTACATTCTAAAATGATCCCACCTGCAATTTGGATTTTTGGAGAATCGGGATCGGTGTAAAATTCTACATGCATACACGTATTTGCACAAGAATATTTATAGCAACGTGGTTTTTAATAGGAAACTATCTAAATGTTCATTACAAGTGAATTACATAAAGCTCAATACATCCATACTACGAATCACTGAAGAGCTGCTAAAATAGATGAAATATATTTATAATGGCATGAACAACCGACACAAGACAGTTGCAGAGTAATGTGTATTTGTGATTACATTTATGTTTTTAAGTTATACAAACGCGTATGTGCCTACGTGTATGTAAATTCATAGGAAGACAAATCAGAGGACGGTGGTTACCTGGGGAAAAGCATGTGTTGGTGAGTAACAGGATTTTCAAGTTTTGATGTGTCTACTTATGTGTTTTGAATCCTTAACAATGAGAATTTATTAGGGTTTTACTCTTGTAATCTTAAAAAGTACCGAAAAGAACTAATCAATGTAGGCAAAAGGTCTATTGAAGAGCATTCTTCTGAGGTCATTGGATCTGCCCTGAGTTAAATGTTTATTGAGTGCCCACTGGGTACCAGGCACCAGGCTAGATGCAGAAACTATAAAACATGTAAGAAAATTGCTTTCTGACCCTATGGCAGACTTAGTGGGCATTTCAGAAAGAAAAAAAAAATCTTGAAAAGAACAGGCATCCTTAGGGTCTAATGGCTGACAAACTTTTTTCCTGTACTTTCTGTGTGACCATGAGTTTGACTTTCCTGGATTCTTAACATTTGCATTAAATCACTGTAATTAATCTCCCAGCAGCTCATTGTGATAAATTGAACTTACAAGTCAGAAAAATTTGAGTCTATAAATACACTAATCTATTAAAGTTAATAGATTAGTAGCAAGAGGCAGTGTCATGTAATAATTGAAAGCACAGTTTTGACTGCCAAATTGCCTAGGTCCAAATCCTGGCTCTGCCACTTACTAACCATGTGATCTTGGGTCACGTAATTTAACCTCTGCCTCAATTTCCTCATCTATAAAATGAAAATAAAATAAAACTAGTAAACACCTTGTGGGATTCTTACGAGGACTAAATTAGTTAATACATATAAGGTACATAGAACAATACCAACCACATACTGTACCAGGTTGCTATTATGAATCAATATAGATTTATCTTAAAAAGATCTCAGAAGTCCCAGATCTCACAAGTCCCAGTGTGGTGGCTCATGCCTGTAATCCCAGTACTTTGGGAGGCCAAGGTGGGTGGATCACTTGAGG
Organism: Homo sapiens; assembly: GCF_000001405.40. Classification (NCBI taxonomy): domain Eukaryota; kingdom Metazoa; phylum Chordata; class Mammalia; order Primates; family Hominidae; genus Homo; species Homo sapiens. Next base: position 105,105,883 of record NC_000012.12, on the reverse strand, counting down.
TCAGGAGTTTGAGACCAGCCTGGGCAACGTGGTGAAACCCTGTCCCTACTAAAAATATAAAAATTAGATGGGCATGGTGGTGCCTGCCTATAGTCCCAGCTACTCTGGAGGCTGAGGCAGGAAAGTCGTCTGAGCCACTACACTCCAGCCTGGGCAACAGAGCAAGACTCCATCTCAAAAAAAAAAAAAAAACTCAGGGATTTTCTGTCTTGATCTTAAATATGTTTAAATCAAATTTCACAGCCTATAATTTCAAATTTTGTTAGAGAATTACAAATTAGATACCAAATAGAAAAGCACATTCACTAAATGAAAAGTGCTATCTGAAAGTTATTTATAAAAATGTCCTATTGTTCTTAGACGTAGTCTGCAGAAGGCAAATCATTATTTTAAGTAATCACATATTCTTCATTCTACTACTCTTCATTCACACGGTACTTTCTGAAAAGCAAGCTTGGAAATAGAAGGAGAAACTTTTCATATGGGCAATATTGTGCTATTCTGAGAGCTTCTGTGAACTTTAGAACAGCTGCCTACAGAAGGTGCCTGCCTGCCAGTTCCTAGGAATCTGTGCCTTTAACTTACAGCCCCATATACCCACACCTTAAGTTCTAGTTTATTCCATACCAAAATATTTTACATATATGTTATATAGCTAAGTTCTTGGTGAATTTGTTTATTAACTTACATTAAAAGTCTTCTTCCAACTGCTATTCACCCCAGCAATCCCATTACTGGATTTTTACCCAGAGAAATGTAAATCATTATACCATGAAGATACATGCATGGGAATGTATCTTCCCATTGCAGCACTATTCACAATAGCAAAAACATGGAGTCAACCTAAATGCTCCTGAATGACAGATTGGATTTTTAAAATGTGGTACATATATACCATGGAATACTATGCAGCCAAGAAAAAGAACGAGATCATAGCTTTTGCAGGAACATGGATGGAGCTGGGGCTGTTATCCTTGGCAAACTTAGCACAGGAACAGAAAACCAAATACCACATGTTCTCATTTATAAGTGGGAGCTAAATGAGGAAAGCTCATTAACACAAAGAAGGAAACAACAGACACTGGAGGCTAACTGAGAGTGGAGGGTGGGAGTGGAGAGAGGAGCAGAAAAGATAACTATTGGGTACAGGGCTTAATACCTGGGTGATGAAATAATCTGTACCACAAACCCCCGTGACATGAGTTTACCTATGTAACAAACCTTTACATGTACCCCTAAACCTAAAATAAAAGTTTAAAATAAATAAATACAATCTAAAATAAATAAAATCTTCTTCCTACAATAGAAATTCTATGGCAATAACTCACTAGAGACATTTCACTTAGTAGTTTGTCACAGAATCCTGCGTGTATCTGTTTAAAAAATTCCTAATATGTTAATTCATGTATTTATTTACAAAGTAATCCCTCACTTGAACAACCACTATAGATGTGTGACAGGTCTTCTCTCTCCACTGTCCACATTCTCTGTGTGAAGCTTCTCGAAACCTATCTGATCAGGTCATGCCCTTTTAGATCCTTCCCATTGCCTATGGTATGGAATTTATGCTTCATAGCATGTAACTCAAGGCTTCTTCCAATCTGCCCTTTTATTTAAGGGATCCTAAAATCCTTGTACTGGTTGGTTATCAGTGATTGTGGAATCATATAGATTACCACTATATGTATTTTTAGTAGAGACGGGGTTTTGCCATGTTGGTCAGGCTGGTCTTGAACTCCTGACCTCAGGTGATCCGCCCACCTCGGCCACCCAAAATGTTGGGATTACAGGAGTGAGCCACTGCGCCCAGCCTAGATTACCGTTATATCTAATTCCCTGAATTCCTGGTTGGACCAAGTGCTTCGGCCCTGTGCTTCCATGGTATTTACCACTTCAAAGTTATCTATTGACATAATTATCTTCACTATTAAGTTATGTATTAGTTTCCTATTGCTGCTGTAGCAAATTGTCACCAACTTAGTGGTTAAAAGAGTACAAATTTATTATCTTCTAGTTCTAGAGGTCAGAATGCCAAAATCAGTCTCACTGGGCTAAAGTAAAGGTGTTAGTAGGGCTGATTCCTCTTGGACACTAAGAATCTATTTCTTTGCCTTTCTCATCTTCTGTGCATTACTTGAACCTCTTGTTTCTCCCATCACATTTCCTACTATTGACTGATTCACCTGCCTTCCTCTTATAATGACCCTTGTGATTACATCAAGCTCACACAGATAATCCAGGATAATCTCCTTATCTCAAAAATCCTTACCTTAATCATATCTGCAAAGTCCTTTTAAACATGTAAAGTAACATATTCACAGGGTGTAGGGATTAGGACATGAACATCTTTGGGCACCTGTTATTCAGCCTAATACAGACCATCAGCTCTTTGGTATCAGGGACCATGATTTATTCCCACATTCCACAGTCCCTGATACATGTTAAGCACTCAGAAAATAATTACAGTAAATATAGGAAGTCAAGAAGCCTGAAGTACTTTCTTTTTTTTTTTTTTTTTTTTTTTGAGACGGAGTCTCGCTCTGTCGCCCAGGCTGGAGTGCAGTGGCGCGATCTCGGCTCACTGCAAGCTCCGCCTCCCGGGTTCACGCCATTCTCCTGCCTCAGCCTCCCGAGTAGCTGGGACTACAGGCGCCCGCTACCACGCCCGGCTAATTTTTTGTATTTTTAGTAGAGACCGGGTTTCACCGTGTTAGCCAGGATGGTCTCGATCTCCTGACCTCGTGATCCGCCCGCCTCGGCCTCCCAAAGTGCTGGGATTACAGGCGTGAGCCACCGCGCCCGGCCGCCTGAAGTACTTTCTGATAACTCCAATATCTGGATTTCCTGAGGGTCTCTTTTCTGTTGTCTGGTGATGTTTTTTTTTGTTATGTTTTGTTTCTTTTTCTCTTGGTTTTCCATCATTTGGCCTTATTTCCTGGTATAGCTGATAATTTTTTTAGTGCATCTTGACCTTTATGTATGAAAAATTGTAAACATAAGTTAAGCCTCTGAATGATGTCATCTTTCTTCAGAGGGGATTACTATATTTTCTGGAAGGCCATTAGTGTAGGGACAGATTACTTTAACCCAGTCTAGGACTGTTCTGATTAGAAACTGGGTTTCTGTCTTTGTGAGAGCTCATCTATTTCTGTTATCACCTCAGTCCTAGGGTATAGCTTTGCAGGAGAGCTTGGCAGAGCCTGCCAAACCTGATCAGCTTTTCCACCTCTCAGCTACTGCTTTCGGCTCCCCAGCCTCATAAACTCTCAGCTGCCACATTACAAATCAGCAGATGTCTTGAGGTGAAATGTGGTGCCAAATGTCAAGCTCAACTTTTTGGATCATCTCTCCTGAATTTCAGTTCCTCGAATCCTCACTGTCCTGGGTCTCCAATGCCTTCAAAAAGGATTTTAGCAAAAAAAGCAAAAATGGAAAAATTGGATAACATCAAACTTAAAAACTTCTGCATGTTAAAGTAAATAATCAACACAGTGAAAAAGCAAGCTATGGAATGGGAGAAAACAATTGCAAATCATATGTCTGATAAGGGATTGATTTCCACAATATGTAGAGAACTCTTACAACTCAACAACAACAAAACAATTTAAAAATTGGGCAAAGGATCTGAATAGACATTTCTCCAAAGAAGATATACAAATGGCCAAGAAGCATATGAAAAGATGTTCAACATCACTGTTAGAGAAGTGCAAATCAAAATCACAATGAGGTATTACCTCACACCCATTAGGATGGCCACTATCAATAAAACAAAAAATAACAAGTATTGGCAAGGATGTGGAGAAATTGGAACGCTTGTGCACTGCTGGTGGGACTGTAAGATGATGCAGTTGGTATGAAAAACAGTATGGAGGTTCCTTAAAAACCAAACATAGAATTACAGTATGATCCAACAATCCCTCTCCTGGGTATATATCTAAAAACAGGCTGGGCATGGTGGCTCATGCCTGTAATTCCAGCACTTTGGGAGGCCAAGGTGGGTGGATCAGTTGAGGTCAGGAGTTTGAGACCAGCCTGGCCAACATGGTGAAATCCCGTCTCTACTTAAAATGGAAAAATTAGCCAGGTGTGGTGGTACACACCTGTAATTCCAGCTACTCGGGAGACTGAGGCAGGAAAATTGCTTGAACCTAGGAGGCAGAAGTTGCAGTGATTGGAGACCACGCCATTGCACTGCAGCCTGGGCAACAAGAGCGAAACTCTGTCTCAAAAAAACAAACAAGAAACATGGAAAGCAGGATCTCAAGGAGATATTTGCACACTCATATTCACTGCAGCATTAATCACAATAGCCAAGAGGCAGAAGCAGTCCAAATGTCCATAGAGGAATGAATGGATTTTTTAAAATGTGATATATATATATATGTATGTATGTATGTATGTATGTATGTATGTATGTGATGGGGTGCAGGAAATACTACCCCAGCAGCTTCCAATTGTGCTTACAATAATATAGTCTCCCACTTGTCTGTATGCTCTATAAACATCTAAACCTTATCTCTTTGATACAGTTCAGTGCCAAGTATAATGCTAGGTACATAGATGATAAACATGTATTTGTTGAATGAGTGAACCAATAATTGTCATTTTTTTCAAGTGCTCTGTAGTAAATACTCAGTTTACAGGAAAAGTATTTCCTAATAGTTCTTCAACAGATGGCACTGTTTGTTAAGGAATCTAAAGATAAAAGAAATCATGTAATAAATGGCTTTTTTAGTTGTTCATTTCTTCAACCAGTATTTAATCAGGACTTTCTCTGTTTGGTATGTCACAGTGACCAAAACTCTTCAAAGAGCCCAATTGTCTGGTAAGTGAAATTTTTCAGATGTTTTAACTTAGGGGTCAGCAAAGTACAGACAGCAGATCAGTAAATAAAGTAAAACTTTACTTACTTTTGTAAATAAAATATCAGACTACAGCCATGCCCATTAATTTACATATTTTACATTAAACATAATTTACATTTGTGTTTCATCTATGGCTGCTTCACACTAAAATGGCAGTTGGGTAGTTATAGCAGCAATCATATGGCCCACAAGCCTAAAATATTTGTCACTTGGCCCTTTAAGAAAAAGTTTGTCAGCTGGGCATGGTGACTCACTCCTGTAATCCTAGCAGTTTGGAAAGCTAAAATGAAAGGGTAGCTTGAGCCCAGGAGTTCAAGAACAGTCTGGGCAACATAATGAGACTTGGTCTCTAAAAAAATTTGTTTTAATTAGCTGGGTGTGGTGGCATGCACCTATAGCCCCAGCTACTTAGGAGGCTGAGGCGGGAGGATCGCTCGAGCTCAGGAGTTCAAGGATGCAGTGAGCTGTGATTGCACCAGTGTACTCTACCCTCGGCAACAGAGTGAGACCCTGTCAAAAAAAGAAAAAAAAAAGAAAAAAAGAGGAAAAAAAGAAAGAAAGAAAGAACGAAAGAAGAAAGAGGAAGGAAGGAAAAGGAAGGAAAGAGAGGAAGGAAGGAGAAAAAGAAAAAAGGAAAGAAAGAAAAAGAAAAGAGAAAGAAAGAAGGAAAGAAGGAGAAAGAGGAAGGAAGGAAAGGTAGGAAGTTTGCTGATTTATCTGAACTCTAAAAGCAAAATAATATAAAAAAATTTTTTGCTGGCTTGACGCAGTAGCTCATGCCTATAATCCCAGCACTTTGGGAGGCCGAGGCTGGTGGATCATGAGGTCAAGAGTTTGAGACCATCCTGGCCAACATGGTGAAACCCCATCTCTACTAAAAATACAAAAATTAGCTGGGCGTGGTGGTGCGTGCCTGTAGTCCCAGCTACTCAGGAGGCTGAAGCAGGAAAATCACTTGAACCTGGGAGACGGAGGTTGCAGTGAGTCAAGATTGTGCCATTGTACTCCAGCCTGGGGACAGAGCGAGACTCTGTCTCGAAAAAAAAGTTTTGCTATATAAGTTATGTAAAGTAGGTTGAAATAGTCTACTTTTAAAAGCATAGACATTTTTGAAAATCTTCATGTCAAAATAATTGATAAGGACACTTCTAATAATGGAGGTAGCATAAAGTGGTCAAGTGAACCCATCTACAGTTAATAACTAAGAAAAGTGGCCAAAATATCTAAAAATGACTTTTTAAAAATCTAAAACAATAAAAGCAGGTAAAAACCACAGGAGAATTTGTTCAGCAACTGATAAGAATTATGAGTTTGTGGCTTTTTGTCTGATGGTGTCCCTCACCACTGAAGCTCAGCACTGCAGGCTTACTTGCTCAAACTGTCAGCAAACTGAGTACAGGGTTTGTTAGAAGAGGTCATCAGTTTGGGGAGTGACCTACAAAATGTGTGAGATCCAAAATCTGGGTGTAAACTCTGCCCAAATCACTGACTGACCACTAAAATACAGACAGCCTGATGAAATAACAGGAGTCCCTGAAAAGCAGAACTGCACTCAGTGAAGTGTATGAGTTTGCTGCTCTTTTGAATGCATATATTTCCCAACAGAGGTACACCTTGGGTAGCAGAAAGCTGAAGACTTATTTGAGGTAACAGCGAATAGAAGTAGAGCTGCCAAAGCAGTTTAGAATTTAGAAGGAAAGACTGATAATTAGGGCAACTGCAGATGGGTGTAACCCCCGCAATCTAAGTATAAACACTGGCCAAATCCTTCACTAAACTAAGAACGAAGCAGAATATAAACTGCTTCACTCTACTAAGGAGACAGGGAGTCAGGGCAAGTTTACTTCATTTAAAAACAAATAGTCAAACAGGCATGGTGGTTCACACCAGTAATCTCAGCACTTTGGGAGCAGAGGTGGGAAGATCACTTGAGCCCAGGAGTCAAAGACCAGACTGGGCAACAAAATGAGACCCCGTCTCTACAAAAAAATTTTAAAAATTAGCCAGGTAGCCAGGTGTGGTGGTATGCACCTGTGATCCTAGCTACATAGAAGACTGAGGCAGGAGAATTGCTTCAATCCAGGAGGTCAAAGCTGCAGTGAGCCATGCTCCTGCCACTGCACTCTAGCCTGGGTGACAGAGAAAGAACTTGGCTCAAAGAAACAAACAACAAAAAATGCCAGTCAAATAATTATCTGAAGAAAAAAATAGAATCCAGAGTGGCCACAATATGTTACATACAATGTACAGTTTTAACCAAAAGCTTTATAAGAAGATAACAAAATCTAGGCACTCAACAGTGTAAGACTCAAATATCCAATTAAAAATTATGAGACATACAAAGAAGCAAGAGAATGTGATCTATAACCAAGTGGAAAATCATGTAATAGACATAGAAAGGATAGGAATGGCCAGGCATGGTGGCTCACTTCTGTAATCCCAGCACTTTGAGAGGCCAAGGTGGGCAGATTGCTTGAGCTCAGGTGTTCGAACCAGCCAGGGCAACATGGCGAAATGCTGTCCCTACAAAAAATACAAAAATTAGCTGGGAATGATGGCATGTTCCTGTAGTCTCAGCTACTGGGGAGACTGAGATGGGAACTGGAGCCCAGGAGGTCAAGGCTCCAGTGAGCCAAGATTGCACCACTGCGCTCCAGCCTGGATGACAGAGTGAGACCCTGTCTCAGAGGAAGAAAGAAAGAAAGAAGGAAAGAAAGAAAGGGAGAGAGAGAGGGAGGGAGGGAGGAGAAATAATGGGAATGGTGAAATTTGCAGATGAAAATGTGAAAACAGCATTAAAATCATGTTTTACAGAAAATCTGCTGAATGGGAAAAAATATTTGCAAACTATGCATCTGACAAAGGACTAATATCCAGAATCTACAAGGAACTCAAACAGAGCAGCGAGAAAAAGCAAATAATCCTATCAAAAAAATGGTCAAATGACATGAACAGACATTTCTCAAAAGAAGATATATGAATGGCCAACAAACGTGAAAAATGCTCAACATCACTGATCAGGGAAATGCAAATTAAAACGACAATAAGATACCACCTTACTCCTACAAGAATGGCCATTATTAAAAAGTCAAAAAACAACAGATGGTGGTGTGGATGTGGAGAAAAGGGAATGCTTATACACTGCTGGTGGGAATGTAAATTAGTACAACCTCTATGGAAAACAGTATGGAGATTTCCTAAAAAACTAAAAGTAGATCTACCATTCGATTCAGCAATCTCATTCCTGGGTATCTGCCCAAAGGAAAATAAGTTATGTTAAAAAGTCATCTGCACGCATGTGTTTGTTGCAGCACAATTCACAATTGCAAAGACATGGAACCAACCTAAGTGCCCATCGACCAATGAGTGAATAAAGAAAATGTGATATACATACACCATGGAATATGACTCAGCCATAAAAAGAACTAAATATGTCTTTTGCAGCAACTTGGATGGAGCTGGAGGCCATTATTCTAAGTGAAATAGCTCAGGAATGGAAAACCCAATATCTTATGTTCTCACTTATAAGCAAGAGCTAAGCTATGGATGCACAAAGGCCATATATGCACAAAGTGATATAATGAACTATGGAGACTCAGAAGGGGGAGAGTGGGGAGATATAAAAACTATATATTGGATACAACATATACTACTAGGGAGACAGGTGCAGTAAAATCTCAGACTTCACCACCATACAACTCATCCATGTAACCAAAAACCACTTGTACCCCAAAAGCTATTAAAATATAAAAAGTTTTAACTGAAAAAAATAAAATAAGATAAAATTATGTTTTAATTTTTTTTCTTTTTTTGAGACAGAGTCTCACTCTGTTGCCCAGTCTGGAGTGCAGTGGGTGCAATCTCAGCTCACTGCAACCTCCATCTCCCAGGCTCAAGCGATTCTCCTGCCTCAGCCTCCTGAGTAGTTAGTATTACAGGTGCATGCCACTGCACCCAGCTATTTTTTTTGTACTTTTAGTAGAGACAGGGTTTTGCTATGATGGCCAGGCTGGTCTTGAACCCCTGGCTTCAAGTGATCTGCCTGCCTCTGCCTCCCAAAATGCTGGAGTTTTAGATGTGAGCCACTGTGCCCAGCCTGTTTTAGTTCTTAAAGGAAAACATGGGCTGAGTATGGTGGCTCACACCTGTAATCCCAATGCTTTGGGAGGCCGAGGCAGACCGATCAGCTGAGGTCAGGAGTTCAAGACCAGCCTGGCCAACATGGTGAAACCCCATGTCTACAAAAATACAAAAATTAGCTGGGCACGATGGCAGGTGCCTGTAACCCCAGCTATTCAGGAGGCTAAGGAGGGAGAATCACTTAACCTGGGAGATAGAGGTTGCTGTGAGCCGAGATCGTGCCATTACACTCCAGTCTGGGCAAGAGAGCAAGACTCCATCTCAAAAAAGAAAAGTAAATATGAACACAATGAGGAAAGAAATGTAAGATATAAAAAAGAGCCAAAAAAAAAAAGAGCCAAACAAAACTTTTAGAAATGATAATGAAAGATTTATGGAATGAGATTAATAGCAGAGTAGGCACAAGGAAGAAACTGTCAATAAATGTGAAGAAATACCAATAGGAACAATCTAAACTCAAGAGAGAGAAAAAAAAGAAAGAAATTAAGAAAATCTCAGATAACTTTGGGACAATATCAAGTGCTATAATGTACATATAGTTGAGGACCCAGAAAAGGAAGGACAGGAAAATGTTTAAGAAACAATGACCAAAATGTTGGCACATATGAAGCAAATAATAAACTTATATATCTTAAACTCTCAATAACCCCAAGCAAGACACACACACACACACACACACACACACACACACACACCATACTCACATCATGTTAAGATGGCTAAAAACTGTTGCGGGAAGTCAGGGACCCCAAACGGAGGGACCGGCTGGAGCCAAGGCAGAAGAACATAAATTGTAAAGATTTCATGGACATTTATTAGTTCTAATACTATAAAAGTATTAGAATTAATAGTTTTATAATTTCTTATGCCTGTCTTTACTGCAATCTCTGAACATAAATTGTGAAGATTTCATGGACATTTATCACTTTCCTAATAATACTCTTATAATTTCTTATGTCTGTCTTTAATCTCTTAATCCCATTATCTTCATAAGCTGAGAATGTGCATCACCTCAGGACCACTATTGTACAAATTGATTGTAAAACATGTGTGTTTGAACAGTATGAAATCAGTGCACCCTGAAAAAGAACAGAATAACAGCAATTTTAAGGGAACAAGGGAAGACAACCATAAGGTTCTGACTGCCTGTGGGGTTGGGCAGAATAGAGCCATATTTTTCTTCTTGCAGAGAGCCTATAAACAGACATGTGAGTAGGAGAGATATCACTGAATTCTTTTCCCAGCAAGGAATATTAATAATTGATACGGTGGGGAAGGAATGCATTCCTGGGGGGAGGTCTATAAACGGCCGCTCTGGGAGTGTCGTTCAATAAGGACTGAAATACACCCTGGTGTCCTGCAGTACCCTCAGGCTTACTGAGGCATAAAGCATTGGGAAATTCCAGCCTGGCAAATTCTAGTCAGACCAGTTCTCTGCTCTCGAACCCTGTTTCCTGTTAAGATGTTTATCAAGACAATACATGCACAGCAGGACATAGACCCTCATCAGTAATTCTAATTTTGCCTTTGCCTTGTGATCTTATTGCCCTTTGAAGCATGTGATCCTTGTGACCTACTCCCTGTTCATACACCCCCTCCCCTTTTAAAATCCCTGATAAAAACTTGCCAATTTTGTGGCTCGGGGTCATCATCACAGTTCTACCAATAAAAATAACTAAGAGAGTATAGTTGGATACAAACAATCCAACTATACAAAGAATAAATGCTTGAGGTGATGGATACCCCATTTACCCTGATGTGATTATTATTTATTTATTATTATTATTATTTTGAAATGGAGTTTGCTCTTGCTGCCCCAGCTGCAGTGCAATGGCGTGATCTCAGCTCACCCCAACCTCTGCCTCACAGGTTCAAGTGATTCTCCTGCCTCAGCCTCCGGAGTAGCTGGGATTACAGGCATGCACCACAGTGCCTGGCCATCTGATGTGATTATTATGCATTGTATCTCTGTATCAGAATATCTCGTGTACCCCATAAATACATACACCTACCTATGTACCCACAGAAATTCAAAATAAAAAAAGAATGCAGAGATAGACTGGGTGAAAAAAGAAGATCCAGCAATATGCTTTAAATATAAAGACACAGATTTTATGCAACAAAGGGATAGGGAATGATATACCATGATAACTCTAATCATAAGAAAGCTGGAGGGCCAGGCGCGGTGGGTCACACCTGTAATACCAGCACTTTGGGAGGCCAAGGTGGGCGGATCACCTGAGGTCGGGAGTTCGAGACCAGCCTAACCAACATGGAGAAACCCCATCTCTACTAAAAATACAAAATTAGCCAGGGATGGTGGCGCATGCCTGCAATCCCAGCTACTCGGGAGGCTGAGGCAGGAGAATCGCTTGAACCCAGGAGGCAGAGGTTGTGGTGAGCCGAGGTCTTGCCATTGCACTCCGTCTAAAAAAAAAAAAAAAAAAAAAAAAAAAAGCTGAAGTGGCTGGTGGCCATATTAACATCATACAAATTAGAGTTTGGAACAAAGAATATTATCTCAAATAAATAGAGACATTTCACAATGTCAAAGTGATTAATTCATCAAGAAGACATTACAATCCTAAATATATATGCTCTCAATAACAGAACTTTAAAATATATGAAACAAATTCTGACAGTATAGAAAGAAGAAAAAATAGATGAATTTACAATTATAGTTTGAGACTTCAACATTCCTCTTTCAGTATTTGATATAACAAGTAGACAGAATGTAGACGTATATAGAAGAATTAAACAATATTTTCACCAACATGTCTTAATTGATGTTTACAAAACACTCCATCCAACAACAGCAAAATACACATTTTTTTCAAGAGTACAGGGACTATTCAGTAAGATAGGCCTTGTGGTAGGCCATAAAATAAATCCCAATAAAGTTAAAGGGATTGAAATATAGTTATATTCTCTCACTACCATGAAATTATATTAGAAATCAGTAACAGAAGCATCGTAAACTCCATGGAAAACGCTAAATATTTGCACAAATCTCATGGACATCATGCTGAGTGAAAGAAACCAGGCTCTAAAAGTTACATACTATTGTGTTTCCGTTGATTTGACAACTACATTCAAACTACAGTCATAGAGAACATATCAGTGTTTATCAGGGCAAAGAGGTGGTTAATGGATATCACAACAAAGGGATAGGGCAAGGACTTTTTTCAGAAGGTGAGTAATGCAACTATTGATATTTTGACTGTGGTATTCCCTACACAAGTATATACATGTGTTAATACTCATAGAATTGTATACCAACAGTAAAGTCATTTTTACTGAATGTCAATTTTAAAACATCTAGTGTGGGGTTGGCCTTTGTGTGCATCTGGCTTCAGAATTCAAATGATGCCCACTGTTTGAATTTTTTTTATTATTTTTTTATTTTTATTTTATTAATTTTTTTTTTGATAGGGAGTTTCGCTCTTGTTGCCCAGGCCTGAGTGCAATGGCGTGATCTCAGCTCATCGCAACCTCCGCCTCCCAGGTTCAAGCGATTCTCCTGCCTCAGCCTCCCTAGTAGCTGGGATTACAGGCGTGTGCCACCATGCCTGGCTAATTTTGTATTTTTAGTAGAGACGGGGTTTCTCCACGTTGGTCAGGCTGATCTCAAACTCCCGACCTCAGGTGATCCGCCCGCCTCGGCCTCCCAAAGTGCTGGGTTTACAGGCATGAGCTACTGCGCCCAGCCATCACTGTTTGGATTTTTACTGTTTCTTTTCTGTGTCTTCTACAGTTTGGGCTACATTCTTTAGGTTCCTATGGTATTCCTCGGCAGCTTCAGGCTCACATCATGACAAAGCATCTGCCTTGTTCATCTCTCTACATCTAGCATCTACTACAGTGCCCAGCACATGACAAATGCTCAAACATTACTTAGTGAACAATTGTCCTTAAATTTGACACACAGCTTGGTGGAGTCAGGCATGGAGCAACATATTATCGCATTATTGCACAGATTACTGGTGATAACATGAAAATGAGAGTGGTTATTTCTACCTAGTTTAGCACTGTTCATGTGGCACTGTTTATTTCTTTTGCTCATTTTTCTTGATGTCCCGGTGAAATGGCTCCATTGTCTGGAGTATATCCCCTGGTTCTTTGTCACAGCCGAGAAAGAATTCAAAACATGGACACACACAAGGAGTGGGTTTAGGAGCGGAAAGTTTAATAGACAAGAAGAGAGAGAAAAAAGGCTTCCTCATGCTGAGAAAGCGGATTGCCCCAAAGGGACTCCAGTTTGGGGCAGAACGCAATCTGTTTTGTACGGAGGCTTGAGGAGGCGGTGATTGATTTACATCGGGCACAGGAGATTGGTTTGACCAGGTGTGTCATTTACGTAGCCAGCGAAAAGACTGTCCCTCCCATCCTAGTCTTTTTTTATGCAAATGCAGCCTCCTCCTGGCGGCAGCCATCATACCTGTATACGTGGTTTTACCTGAAGGCTGCTTTAATGCCAGCAAAGGCGGTCATAAGGAAAAGAGGGCGGGAGACCCCATATTGAATGTACCCGGGTTTCAGGTACAGCTGCCGACATTTACATATAAAAGCTTCTCAGGCTGCTTTCTGTTAAAGAAGAAGTGGCTTGGGGCCGCTTTTTATTAAAGGAAAATTCCACTGAGAACTTTCACCCTTTCTAGTTGCCTAAGAATTATTTCTTAATAACTCCTGTATTACCTGGTCAGTTATAATTGAATGCAGGAGAGTGAATGAACAATTGCAGGCTTTCTGGATGATGTTATTTTTCTCCAGACAGGATTGATCCTATTCTTTGGCAGGCAACTAAAGTCAGGCAGATCAGCTCATTCCAATCAGGGCTGAGAGCATGTGAGGCTAGGCTGCAGTCTTACAATAGTTGTACTATCTCTAGTTTGCACCCTTTCCTAGGGTAATGTCATTGAAGAGTATCAGCTGAGAGCTTGTGGTGTTTACTGGACTTCTTCCTTCTTGGCAGATGCTGAATTCCAATTTCATGGTACAGAAAACTCTGCTGTGCTTTTCGGTCATTTCTGCTTGGTTTAATAGCCTCTAATCCCATGCACCTCTAGAATCAGCAAGTACTTCTAGCTAAAAACAGTTATCATGAACTGAGTACACTTCTACATCTCTTATCTCCAAGATCTTGGCTCCTAAATTCCTGGCAGCTCAAACTCCAGTTTTTATCTTCTCCATCCCGTTAGATTGCTGAAAACTGCTGGTGTCTCTAGCATCTTCTTTATGCCTGGCTTCTCACCCCAAACCAAGCATTTGTAAATGCTGAAGAGGAAAGCAGAATGCAAAATATTGGATTCAACTTAGTGAGCTGCTTTTTCCTCTGGGACATCGGTACGTAGAGTCTTGACTGCCATTTCAGCTTTCTGATGCCTTCAAGTAGATATGCCAAAAAATTTTAGCTAGATGTACTAGTTGTTCTTCATATGAGTATTAATCTGCTGCAAAGGACTTTGTCATAGCTGAAAGAGAAGTCTCTTATGCTTTTTTTTTTTTTTTTTTTTTTTTAATGACAGGGTCTCCCTTTGCTGCCCAGGCTAGAGTGCAGCAGCATGATCATGGCTCACTGTAACTTCTGGGCTCAAGCAATCCTCCCAACTCAGCCTCCCAAGTAGATATGACTGCAGGTGTGTGCCGTGACACTTGGCTAATTAAAAAAAAAAATTAATAGATACCAGGTCTCTCTATGTTGCCCAGGCTGGTGTCAAACTCCTAGCTTCAGGAAAGCCTCCCACCTCAGCTTCCCAAAGTGCTGAGATTACAGATGTGAGCCACTGCACCCAGCCTCTTTTTATGTTTTTAATGTCTATGTGATCTGTACTACTGTCCAATTCTCTGTTGTTGATATTTGTTATTTCTCTTTATTTTTTCTTTATTAATCTCACCAAATGTGTACCAATTTTATAAGCCTTTTCAAAGAACCAACTTTTGGTTTCGTGGATGTTTCTCATGATATACATTAATATGGCTCTGATGAGTGAAGAACACCAGGGCTCTTGTCTCACGCCGAATTGGATAAAACGACACGGACACACGTGGAGTAGTTTTAAGGAGTGGAGACTTTAATAGGCAAGAAAGAAGGGAGAAGAAAGAAGAACCTCCCCTGAACAGAGACAGAGGGAGGGGGGCGCTCCAAAGCCGTGAGAGGAAACCCTGAGTGCCGTGGAAATGTAACTGCTTATATGAGGAGGCTGGAGGAGGTGGTACCTGATTTGTATAGGGCTCAGGGAATTGGTTTGAGCAGGCATGTCACTCACATAACCTGTGAAAAAAAACTGGTCCTCCCACCCTAGCCTTTTAATATGCAAATACAGGGCACCATGATGTTCTACACACGTGGGGATATGTGGGGGCGGCCATGTTGCCAGGCACATGTGGGGGCAAGGGCAAGAGGGCAAAGGTGGGAATTGCCATGTTTGGGTGGACCTGGTTTCTAATGGCTTGCATTTGCATATCAAAGTTTGCCGGCCTGGCTCTAAGAGCTGGGGCTTTCCTTTTCTGGAGCTGCTTTAAAAGAGACAAAAACTTTCCAAGGACCCCTTTTCCTCTCTATCTGCCTAAAATAATTTCTTAATAACTCCTATAACATTATTACAGGTTTCCTAAAATGCCAACATGAAATTAGACATGCAAGGGATTTATTAGTGGAAAACAGCGGTGAGGGGAAGTGAGGAGGCTGGGAGGGGAGGTTGGGAGAACTATCAGGCCACAGTGCAGGTCTGACCTTTTGTGAAGGAAAGCAGGCTAAAGAAGAGGTTTAGACTGCTATGAAAGTCAAAGAAAGTTCAACAGGCCAGTGAGGAGTCACCCTGTCAGAAGTGATCTGCGTCTTCCCCGAAATGACCTACCATAGCATTTCTGCCACTCCCAGTCACTGCTTGGCAGCACCCATGAGAAGCATAGACTCAATGTGTATGCAGAGCTGGATGCAAGGAGCACAGCAGCTGAAGCCATCAGTTTTCACCCCACAGCTGAAGATCTGTCAGTGAATATGCTCAAGGTTGCCACTATAATTTTGGGTCACAGGGTAGTGCTTATACTGATGCAAACAAGATCCAAAGGGATGCCTGGTTCAAAAGGTGGGAGGCTTTCTGCAAGTGAAAGATGAGGAAAAACTTTAAAAAGTTTATTTTAGGCTCTTGATCCTCATTGTTATGATGCATCCTTGTAAATTTGTCCCAAGAAAACTTTATTAAAATTCATTTATTTAATGAGATTAACCACAGGAAAAAAAGGAAATGAATATTAAAGTGACAATTACAGAAGTAAAAGACCTAATTATTTACCAGGGGCAAATTCCATACAGTATTTATATTACATAATATATTTGTATCAAGTTTAATTCACTTAATTCATCATTAAAATTGTTTACCAGAATTCAGTTCTTCCTGTTACACATTGCTGGGCTGGTGCTCTCAAGTGTTTGTTTTTATCATAAAATTATTTTTGCTTAAACAATAATTAAGCATTAATAATTGTTTTAATTAAAAATTGTTTAATACAAGGTCAAGAGTGCTTAAAAAAAGTGAGATTTAGGCCAGACTCAGTGGCTTACACCTGTAATCCCAACACTTTCAGAGGCCGAGGCGGGAGGATGGTTTGAGCCCAGGAGTTCAAGACCAGCCTGGGCAACATAGTGAGACCTTGTTGCTGGAGTGCAGTTGCGCTGTCTCGGCTCATCACAACTTCCGTCTCCTGGGTTCAAGTGATTCTCCTGCCTCAGCCTCCTGAGTAGATGGGATTACAGGCATGTACCACCACACCTGGCTAATTTTGTATTTTTATTAGAGACGGGGTTTCTCCATGTTGGTCAGGCTGGTCTCAAACTCGTGACCTCAGGTGTTCCTCTTACCTCGGCCTTCCAAAGTGCTGGGATTACAGGTGTGAGCCACCGCACCCAGCCTCAAATTTTTTAAAAAAAATTACGTGTGATGGTGCATACCTGTGGTCCCAGCTACTCAGGAGGTTGAGGCAGAAGGATCACTTGAGCCCATGAGATTGAGGCCACAGTGAGCCTTGTTTGTGCCACTGTATGCCAGTCTGGATGACAGAGCAAGACCCTGTCTCAAAGAGAGAGAGAGAGAAATTTATAAAGAAAACATCTCTTTTTTTTTTTTTTTTTTTAAAGTCAGGGTCTCTGCTCTGTCACTCGGCTGGAGTGCAGTGGTGCAATCATAACTCACTGTGCCCTCAAACTCTTGGGCCCAAGTGATCTTCCTACTTCAGCCTCCCAAGTAGCTCGGACTACAGGTGCATGCCACCATGCCCGGCTAATTGTTGTTGTTGTTGTTGTTGTTGTTTTAGCGATGGGGGTCTCCTTACATTGCCCAGGCTGGTCTTGAACTCTTGGCCTCAAGCGATCCTCCTGCCTGAGCTTCCCAAGTCACTGGGATTACAGTCGTGAGTCACTAGCCTAGCTCACATCACTCTTATATATGGTAAAACAGAGTATTCAGCAGAGCAAAATTTAAAAATATAGAGAGAAACAGCAATGTTTCCAAATAGTCAATATGGCTACATGTTAATTTCAGTCAAAAAGCAACCAAACAAGAAGAGGGCATGGAAACCCATAGAATTTTGTTCTAAAATCCTTGAAGTTGACTGTGGAAGTAAAAATGTTCTACACACATTTTTAGAAGTTTATAAATTATATGACTTGCAATTTCATAAAATTCTGAGTGAACGTTGTGTCTAGGACAAAACAGATCCCTGATCAACGTATTATATTTGCACAAGGCCCCTAATGTCACAGATATTAGTCACTAAACAAAACATTTGTCTATGGCAGAATGAGTAGATTCCAATTTAGGGCCAAGTGCAGTGGCTCACGCCTGTAATACTAGCACTTTGGGAGGTGGAGGTGGGCAGATCACTTGAGGCCAGAAATTCGAGACCAGGCTGGGCAACATGGCAAAACCCCTTCTCTACAAAAAAATACAAAAAAAATTAGCCGAGCATGGTGGTGTGTGCCTGGAATTCCAGCTACCCAGGAGGCTGATGTAGAAGGACCACCTGAGCCAGGGAAGGTCAAGGCTGCAGTGAGCTGTGATCCCACCACTGCATTCCAGGGACACCAATTCCAAAAAATAAAAAATAAAAAAGATTCCAATTTAGTATTCTGTAAACCCAAGACCCTAGCCACTCCTACTATGCAAGCTTTACATAGAACTCTAACTTTCATAGAGTTTTGTGTGGGAATTCTTGGGTTTCAACTTGGCACATCATCTATGTACTTTCTAAAGCGTGAAATTAATCCAGACACTTACAAAAAGTTATTCAAATGATTGTATTTACAAAAATGGCACAAAGTGAATTAAATAGTCTATGCACATGCATATATATATTTGAACTCCATAAAACATTATTATTATTGTTCTATACAATTAATATTAACTTAAATTTGCCCTCATATTAATCCTTTACATTACTATTCATTCTTTCATCTGTGAGTTTCCATCTGGGATTATTTTCTTTCCTACAAACTTATCCAACAATTTTCTATTGTTGTTTGGATATTTGTGTATTTTCATGTATACATATATAAACATAATACTTTATTATATTAATTATAATAATTTATTATTGTTCATGTGGTCAATGTTCACTTTTTTTTTTCTTGAGACAGGGTCTCACCCTGTCACCCAGCTGGAGTGCAGTGGCACAACCACAGCTCACTGAAACCTCAATCTGCCAGCTCAAGCGATCCTCCTTACTCAGCCTTCCGAGAAGCTGGGACTAGAGGCACGTGACCATGCCTGGCTAATTTTTGTATAATTTTTGTATTTTTTTGTAGAAACAGTGTTTCACCATGTTGCCCAGGCTGGTCTCGAACTCTGCCCACCTCATCTTCCCAAAGTGCTGGGAATACAAGCGTGAGCCACCACGTCCAGTCCAATGTTCACTTTAAATTTGCTCACGTCTTTGCCTTTTTTGTTGGGCTTCTTGCATTTCTAGGTTTCCATGTGGGTAAATTTTTTTTTCCTGCTGGAAGGATACTCTTTCATATTTCCTTTATTGTCTGTCTGCCGATGACAAATTCTCTCAAGTTTTTGTTTCTAAAAATGGCTTTGTCTTATCTCTATTTTTAAGGAGTATTTTTGCTGGGTATAGAAATAGATTGGCAGGGGTTGGTCTCTTTGTCAAACTCTAATTGCATCTGATCTAATTTCCAGTTATCAAGGAAACTATACTTTTGATTCTTCCAGGGAAAAAGTAAACACAATGAATATTTCATTATATTTGAGTGAACATAAATTCTACATTTCCTAAACTTGGGAATAGTAATATATAACTATGGAACCTCATTCAGGAAAAAAAAAAAAAAAAAAAAAAAACCCCTCCTTATGCACCCTTCTAGTATACACAGATCAGAATAAATAAAGGGAATATCAATATTTGGAAGTTTAAAAAAGCAAGAAGTCACAAAATGCAGTCAGGAAAGTGGGTTGAATTGGCAAGATGTAGGGCTCAAAGCAAAACCTTGGATGTTTGTTGCAATTCTCCAAGTTTTTTTTTTTTTGAAACAGAGTCTCCCTCTGTCGCCCAGGCTGGAGTGCAGGGGCGCGATCTCGGCTCACTGAAAGCTCTGCCTCCTGGGTTGACGCCATTCTCCTGCCTCAGCCTCCCAAGTAGCTGGGACTACAGGCGCCCGCCACACGCCCGGCTAATTTTTTGTATTTTTAGTAGAGACAGGGTTTCACCGTGTTAGCTAGGATGGTCTCGATCTCCTGACCTCGTGATCCGCCCACCTCGGCCTCCCAAAGTGCTGGGATTACAGGCGTGAGCCACCGCGCCCAACCGCAATTCTCCAAGTTTTAATGATGGTTCTTTTTTGTCTCCTTACTCTCTTAAACACATTCATCCGTTTCAACAAGTTTTTTTTTAACAAGTTATTTTTTATTTTATTATTATTTTTTTAAAGCTCTGGTTAGTGCTAGATACTGTAAATCCTGATTAATCAGACATGGACTTAGCTTGCAAGGAGCTTCCAACAGAGACGTTAATAGGTATACAAATACCAGTAGCAGATTGAGACAGCCATAACAGATGCATAGACAAAGATTATTTCCTGTTAAGAGGAGTGAACAATTATTTATGGGGAATAAGGAGACTAAGAGAGAAAAGAATCAGAAAAAAGCGCCTCCAGGAGGCAGCATGTAAGCGGTACCTTTCAGAAAAGAAACGGTCGTGCCAAGATAATTACAAGTGACAGATGACAAGCTTTTCTGGGAAACATTGTCCAAGAAGGAATAGGCAAGAACTGCAGTCAAGCAGAATTACATATGCAAAAGAGCAGTGAGAAATAAGAGAAAATGGCAAATTGCAGACGGCCCTGAATGCTGGGCTAAGAAGTCTGGCTTGAGATAAACGTCCAGCTAAAGCAGGTCTGAGCGTTTTTTCCAGAGAGGTGAGGGAGAAGGGCACGTATCTATTAGGTTGATGCAAAAGTAATTGCGGGTTTGCCATTATTTTCAGTGGCAAAAACCACAATTACTTTTGCACCAATTTATTTATTTATTTTTAAGACAGAGTCTCGCTCTGTTGTCCAGGCTGAAGTGCAGTGGCATGATCTCAGCTCCACTGCAACCTCCGCCTCCCCGGCTCAAGTGATCCTCGTGCTTCAGCCTCCCGAGTAGCTGGGACTGCAGGCATGCGACATCACGCCCGGCTAATTATTTTATTATTTTATTATTTTTTATTTTTAGTAGAGACGGGGTTTCACCATGGTGGCCAGGCTGGTCTCGAACTCCTGAGCTCAGGCCATCTTCCCTCCTCGGCCTCCCAAAGTGCTGGGATTACAGGCGGGAGCCACCGCGCCCGGCCTACCGTCCTACGAGGTAGGCATCAGGATCCCTCCACAGCGAAGGCGCCCCCACTACCTATCTGTCTACAGGCGTGCCTTTTACGGGCTGTGCTATGGACAGCACTTGGGATGTCAGATTGACCACTAATAAGGTAGATCCGTATACACTGCTGCGGGGCTGAGTAACTGGTAGAGGGTCCCACAGTTAGAAAGCACCTGGACCTTGGCTGGAATTGGCGGAAAGTCCAGGCAGCGGAGAGGCGCGGTCCCTGGGACTGGGTGCGCTCTTGGCACCAGGGTCAGGGCCCACAGGCTCCAGGAAGCCCACGCGCTCCGCCGGGTCGCACCAGGTTGGCTGTCCGAACGCAGCCAGCTGGCGGGGCGGGGCCTTCCAGCTGGGGGCGGGGTCTTGACAGCTAGGGGGCGGGGCCTTGCAGCTGGTAGGGTGGGGCGGGCCGCGGGCTGTGGGCTTTGGGAGGGGTGCGGACTAGCAGAGGCCGAGAGCGGCGAGCCGCGAGCCAGGCAGTCCGGGGCATCCAGACTGCAGGCCGCGCCCAGGCCGCGCCCAGGCTGCGCCGCCCGCCTGCCTCCCGCGCTGCCGCGTCGCCAGTGCTAGCGCTCCTCTCCAGCATGCTGCGGCGGGGCAGCCAGGCGCTCCGGCGCTTCTCCACTGGCCGGGTGAGTCCGGCCCGGGCGAGCGTCCCGGCTGTCACCCTGTCCTGGTTTCCAGACTCCGGGGCGGGAGGGCCGGGGCGGTGGGGCTGGGGATGAGCAGCGATGCTTAGACTTTGCTAAACACCAAGACAGCGTTTAAAACAAACAAACAAACAAACAAAAACAGAGAGACCTCAGAGGAGGGCTTGGGGAGGGTCCCGGATGGGAACTGGCACGCAGGCCATTGTCTTCTGCCGGGAGGGGGCTGAGGATGCAGTTTTTGGACGTGTCAAGTCTGGCTGGGATGGCAAGGTGGGAACAGTCACTTGGTAAGGAGGACAGAGTCTGCTTCCTTTCCTTTTTCACTTCAATCATGAGATCCCTGGTCAAGAGCTGGAGCCATATGGAACCGAGACTGTCTCCTGGAGGAGGGGAGTATCAAGTCAATAGGGTCCTCGTTGGCGGCCTGGGAGGTGTAAGCGCTCGAGACTGGCACGCAGGGCCGGTTCAGATAATGGCACTCAAAGCTGATGGCTGCAAGCTCAGTATTCCTGAGCTGAGCTGCAGATGGCAAAATTTCTAGAATTGCCAGGCGCTGCAGAGGCAGCCACGCTGGAACACTATTCTACTGTAGCACAAGAACCGAGCTCTGGCCCAGCCCCGCGCCTTGGAATTGCATCAGCTCCTCCAGAAATGGAACCGAGAGAGGACACGTTGCACTGCGGTGCTGCCTTCAGCACCCAGGGGGCCTCGGGACTGTTTAGGGAAGAGAGAGAGAGAAAAAAAAAAAATAAAAACTGTCTTATGTATCGTATCTTTTATAGGAAGTACATAAAAGAATTTGCTTATCGATTCTTTTTCTCGGCCATGCCAAAGCCATATGTACATATGTATATATTCAGATGTAAAAAACTTGGAGGCAGAGAGAAGTCTTGAGTAGCACCAAAAACTGGCCCAAACTTGCATCAAAGGAAAAGCTTTCTGTATCCCAGACAACCCCAAATAATAAGAATTCGTTTTACTCTTTGCAACCAGTTCTAGTTACTTTGAGGTATAGTCACCTTTTATAAAACGAGGGGTGGGGGTGGGGAAGACCTGCTCTGCTAGGACTTTGGCCTGCTCTCCTGGACCCCTCATTAGCTTCCCCCACCACGTGGCACATGGGATCCCAGATGGATAGCACAGAAAGCAACGGGCTGTGCCCAATGCCTGAGCCTGTTTTGTTGGCCTCCTCTGTCAACACCTTTCACTGACTTGTCTTTTTTGGTGACCAGAAGGAAGTCTTGCAGAATGAAAAGATTTTGATAGTGCGGTTTGCATAAGATTTCAGTAATAAAAGGTAAACATCTCAGGTGGCAAATGGCATAAACAAAACTATGGATGTGGGGAAGAACTGGCGTGATCAGGGTCTAACTGTACGCAGGGGTGCATATGGAAAAGCAGTGATACTCATGGCTGGGAAGAAGACAGTTTCCTCAGTGGTCGAAAGGAAGCTACTGAGTGGTGAATGAAAAATGTGGGATGTTTTATCCTGTAGAAAATGTTCTGGACTGTGTTTTATAAGAATTATTCAAAATCAAACAGATACATGGCTGGTGGAAATATAAAATGGTACAGCCACTTTGGAAAACTGTTTGGCAGTTTTATATGTAGTTAAACATAAACCTATCATATGACCCCGGAATCACACTCCTAGGTATTTACTCAAAAGAAATGAAACCTTATTTGCCCGCATAGAAACCTGTTTATTGATGTTTCTAGAGGTTTTATTCATAATTGCCAAAAACTGGAAATAAATTGTCCTCAGCTGGTGACAGGATAAACAAGCTGTGGTATATCCATCCATACAATGGAATTCTACTCAGTTGGGGGAAAAAGGAATGAACTACTGATGCATACAACATGGATGGAACTCAAATATGTATGCTAAGTGTAAGAATCAGACTCATAATGCTACATATTTTATGATTTCATTTATCTGACATTTTGGAAGAGTAAAACTATAGGGACAGAAAAAAGATCAGTGATGTCTGGAGCTGGAGATAGGAGGAAGGATTGATTATAAATAGGCATAAAGGAATTTGGGCGGTAATGGAACTGTTCTACATCTTGATTATGGTAGTGGTTACGTGACTGTGTGTTTGTTAAAACTCACAGCACAGTACACTGAAGAGGGTGCATTTTACCCATGCAAATTATCTTTTAATTTTTATTGTTTTGAGACAGAGTCTCACTTTGTCACTCAGGCTGGAACGCAGTGGCACAATCTTGACTCACTGCTACCTCTGCCTCCGGGGTTCAAGCAATTCTCCTGCCTCAGCCTTTTGAGTAGCTGGGATTACAGACATGCACCACCATGCCCAGCTAATTTTTGTATTTTTAGTAGAGACGAGGTTTTGCCATGTTGGCCAGGCTGGTCTTGAACTCCTGGCCTCAAGTGATCCTCCTGCCTCGGCCTCCTAAAGTGTTGGGATTACAGGCATGAGCCACTGTGCCCGGCCTAATTATCCCTTTATCTTTAAAATTTAAAAATCAAACAATGCTTTTAAGTTTAGTATTAAAGCAGAATGAAGGATGAATAAAAATAAAGCTTTCAGAACCTAGCAAAATCCAAGGGGAAAATTAGTTTATAACACTTCTTGATAGAATTCATTTCTCCATCCTCTGTCTTAAATAAAAGGACTTAGAAATACTTAATGATTTCAGCTTAGTGATGGCTGGATCTTTTTAACTAAAACAATGGTTTGCTTTAAAACCCTTTGTCAATTAGATATTATTGCCCACCTCTGATATCCTGCCTGGCTCACTGCTTCTTCTCCCTGTGGTAGGAGTTATTTAGCCCTCTATTCATTGACATTCCTTTGTTTAGCTTTCTCTGCCAGTGTCTGGGTCAGGTCTGTCTGGTAGCTCTGGGTTTATAGCCTGGCTCCAGGTAACTTGAGGTTACCTTATGATCCAGTCCAAAGAGGTGGGACCCTTCCTTGCTCTTTGGAACCAAGTACCTGCTTTATTTCTCAGTTCTAGGAACCAGGTTCTTGTTTCATCATTGCCCGACCTCTGCTCTGGTGTCTTATCTGTTCATAGGATCTCCAAATTCAGCTTTAAACTGTATTTAATTGTCTGTTATACACTGAGGACTCTAAATCCTGAGGATATAATATTAATAGATGCATTAATAAATGCTTTACATATACAATTGTCCCTTGTTGTCCCTTGTATTCATAGGGGATTGGTTTCAGGACCTCCCGTGGATATCAAAATCTGAAGATGTTCAAGTCCCTTATATAAAACGGGTAATATTTGTATATAACCTGTGCATATTCTCCTGTATACTTTAAATCATCCGTAGATAACTTATAATAATGAATACAAAGTAGATGCTATGTAAATAATTGTCCCACTGTATTGTTTATGGAATAATGACAAGAAAAATTATACATGTCTAGTACAGATGCAATTTTTTCCAAATGTTTTCGATTCATGGTTGGTTGAATCCACGGATACAGAACCCACAAATACAGAGGGCGACTGTGTACTCCTTTAATCCTCATGATATCTCAATGAAGTAGGTACTAGGTTAAGCATCCCAAATCTGAACATTTGAAATCTGAAATGCTTTAAAATCTGAACATTTTTGAGCACTGACATGACACTCAAAGGTAATGATCATTACAGCATTTTGGATTTCAGATTTTCAGATTTGGGATGCTCCAATGGTAAGTATAATGCAAACATTCCAAAGTCTGAAAATATCCGAAATCTGAAACACTTCTGGTTCCAAGCATTTTGGATAAGGGATTCTCAACCTAGATTATTATGACCATTTTGCTGATAAGAAAACTGAGACCCAGAAGTGAACTAACTTTTTCAGACTCTCATAACCCAAAAGATAAAACAATAAACAAGAAAGAAATAGTCCCATTTTCAAGGAGTTCATAGATTAGTGGGACAGACTATTAAATCTATGTTTTTAGGAAAAGAATAATAATACATAATACACTAACTAAAATGATATACCAAAAATGAAATATAAATGAGCAATAAAATATGAAAATACACTCAACCAAACTAGTAATCAGGCAAATGCAACTTAGAACAAGATACCATTTTTCACTCATCAGGGTGGCAAAAATCATAAATTTGACGATATTGTGTGTTTAGCAGGGGTGAGAAAACAGTTCATCCACTACTCTAGAGGTCAATTTGATGCTACATATTTAAATTAAATTTATGTTTAAAAATGATCCTGCAGTTTCACTTGTAGGTATCTGAGAAAAATACTTCTACATGGGCACAGGAAGCATGTACCATGATATTCATTGCCATGGTATTTGTAATAATGACATATTGAAAGCCAAAATGTTTCTCAATAGGGACATGAACAAATAAACTGAGATATAGCTACACTAAGGAATACTGTGCAAGAATTTCAAAGAATGAATTATATGTACGAACAAGGAAAGTTGTGGAACATTACGCATAATATTATTTCATTTGAATTATTTTTGGAAATACAAAACAATACTTTTTGTATATATTTCCATGTTTTTAAATGCCTAGGAAAGGTCTGTAGAATTCACACCAAACAATAGTAGTTTCCTCTGGGGAGTGAGAAGGGGATGCAGATTGGGAGTGATGGTCAAAAGGGACTGTAGTCTTATCTGTGATCTTTTCTTTTCGTAAGGAGCTTGTGTGTATATGTAATATGTATAATTAAAAATTAATTTTAAAAATTTTATACAATTAAAATATTATAGTAAATTCTGTGCATGGAAATCCTGCCTCTCTAGTACTGGAGTCCGTTTCTGGACTCGAGCCCTTTGGACTGTCTCTCCCTTTACTCAAAGTCTTTGAAGTGTTCTGTGGTCACCAGCCTCGGCCCAGGAGCTCTCTCCAGCCTCTGAGTCCTGGGCATCCCCCTCTGGCATCACCTGCTCATAGGCCCCTGTACTGACATCCCTCCTTTTAAAATATTTTATCCTTTTTATGATGAAAAAACAAAAGTTGGCCAGACATCCAAGAAAGCCCTCACTGATATCTTCTTTATATAATGAGGCAATAGGAACATCAAGTTGCGCAAGCTTGCCATTTAGGATGGTATCCTGAATCTTGCAGATCTACCTCTATGTAAAGTGTACTTGTTGCTTCTGTTAGTATGAGAGTTTGTTACAATTGGTTGCAAGAGCTTTCACACTATTCCAGACTATATCCTGTGACTATGCTACAGGTGGATTGCTAGGTCAGCTTTGATTTTCACGCTCTGCTCCATTCTCAACACAAGAGGTGTGTCTACCCGGAGCTAGTTCATGCCTCCAGAGTTACCTAAGCAGTCTATTAGCATAGAAACTAGACTCTCCTGGTTTCAATTAACTCTCCTGCTTAAAGCGGCTCAGTGAATCTCATTGTCTTCACAATAAGGTCCCAATTATTTGACACAAAGCGCTCCATAATGTCTCTTGCTACGGTGTCGCTTGTCACCACTCCTTAACTCCCAGTATTGGACACGCTGTGCACATGCATTTGTTTCTTTGTAAATACCGCACCCTCTGCCTGGAACTTCCCAAGCCTCTCCCTTTTCTCTGCCAACTCCCAAGATGGATTCTCTAAGATTCAGCTAAGTAACTCCCTTCTGGAGAAGGCTTCTCGTCTCTTAACCAAACTGTGCTCTCTTATTCTAGCACTGTTACTATGTCTTAGCTTGTGTGCCCTCCCTACTAGTTGGTGGATTCCCGAGTACAGGGACTGCTTCTTTTTATCTTTAGTGTAAGGGTCGCAAAGAGAAATTCCCACAGAGGCCAAACAGGTAAAGCAAATGAGAGATTTGAGCTGCATAGAGGGCAAGACCATGTCTAGGGTAAAGGGGCCACCACTGCTCAGCGCTAGCTGACTGTTGCTATACGGCGCCACAGACCAGGGTTGACAAACCTCCTGAGTTTTTTTGATTTTTGTTTTTTGAGACAGAGTCTTGCTCTGTCGCCCAGGCTGGAGTGCAATGGCGCGATCTCAGCTCACAGCAACTTCTGCCTCCCGGGTTCAAGCGATCCTCCTGCCTCAGCCTCCTGAGTAGCTGGGAATACAGGCACGCGCCACCATGCCCAGCTAATTTTTTTGTACTTTTCATAAAGATGGGATTTCACCATGTTGGCCAGGCTGGTCTTGAACTCCTGACCTCAGGTGATCGGCACCCAGCCAAACCTCCTGAGTTTTAAAGACAAGTTAGAAGTTGTGCCTTCTGAGGTGCAACCTCCTAAAAATCTTAACAGAGTCCTCTTAAAAATGCTTTGTGGGCCAAATAAAACACCCCTGCCAGGCCAGTAATGTGCCACCTCTACCATGCACTACGCCCAGAGTGTGGCAAAGCCTGAAAACATGCTTGTTGGATGAGTCTTGCACAGAGTCAGGCACAGTTTGGGGCACTCTGTGCCGGATGCTCCATGAAGTGTTAGGCACCTCAGGGTCTCAGGAAAATGTACTTTGTTTTATTCTTTTGTGTGAAGGTCCTCTGTGTGAAACTGCCAATTCTTACTTGGATAGCTTTGGCCTTACTTTACACCCTGCCCAGATGGTTCTATTAGCATCTGGCCAAAGGGCTTCAGATCAGGGCAGACTCTTCGCACTGTGCCTTGAAGTTTTCTTTGGAAAGCTATGTGTACCTTTTTTTTTTTTTTTTTTTAATTCTTGGAGCATAGTCAGGGTCTGTATTAACTTGCTTCCTGAAGAATTCCACCAGAGGGTGGACAGCCTGGGAATGCATTATTTGACAATTTGGAAAGCAAAGGCTCTGCTCCCTGCAAAAGTCTCCTCTAGTGAAGAATGTTCTCTCTAAAGAAACAAGGTCGGGCGTGGTGGCTCACGCCTGTAATCCTAGCACTTTGGGATGCCAAGGCGGGTGGAGTGCCTGAGCTCGGGAATTTGAGACCAGCCTGGGCAACACGATGAAACCCCATCTCTACTAAAATTAAAAAAAAAAAAAAATTAGCTGGGCATGACGGCGTGCGCCTGTAATCCCAGTTACTTGGGAGGCTGAGGCAGGAGAATTGCTTGAACCCGGAAGGCGGAGGTTGCAGTGAGCCGAGATGGCGCCATTGCACTCAAGCCTAGGTGACACAGTGAGACTCTGTCTCAAAAAAAAAAAAAAGAAAAAAGAAACAAGATTAGATTATAGAACTTATCATCCAGATTTGGAAATGACTGTGTGTCATTTTATGCCCTTTCTCACTAATGCGACAGACACCTATAGTGAGAGCCGGTTAAAGAATGGTGCTGTCTCCCACGTCACTTCCACTGTGGCATTTCCTTAAACAGGCTGATGGAACTATTCCCAATTGACCTGTCAAACTGTTGCTATGTTTTTCTTTTTCTAAAGTAGGAGGGGAACTTTCAGCATAGGAAAGCCTTAGAAACACATCTGCTAAAGTAAGACAGATCCAGGTTTGAATCCTGCCCTGGACCCTTATTAGCTCTGCCCTTGGGCAGGTTACTTAACTTTCTGACCCCTTTGTTTTCTCATTTGCAAAATGGGTCACTGGGGGGATTAAAGATGTATAATAAGCATTTGATAAATACTTTTTGAATTAATGAAAAGGGCTCAACATAGTGTTTGGCTCATGGTATATTTCCAATAGGAAATATCTATTATCATTATTTGTAGGTACCTAGGTATTGCTTATGGTATGATAATAATAATAGGTAACATTTACTGAGCATTTACTATTGCCATGCACTGTGCTAATGCATTACACACTTTATCCCATTGAATCCTTATAACAACCTTATGAGATAGGTACTATTACTATTCTGATTTTAATTGATGATGGAAAATAAAGCCCAGTTCAAGACTGCACAGCTGGTGTATGAAAAAACAATAGGCACTAGGATAATAAACAGAGTTGGAATCTCAGGGCTGCCTCTTAGCAGCTATTTGACTCCTGGCTACTTAACCTCTCTGTCTTTAATTTCTTTATCCCTAAAGTGGGTTAATAATGCCTGTCTCCAGGAGTCATTGTGCAATCAAATGAGATAATAATGTGAAATACTTGGCCCAAACTAGGGTCTCATTAAAATGTTTGCTCTTATTTCCACCATTTCTTCCTGACCGAAACTCCCCAGGGCAGAATCTTGTTCTTGTGGGCAGACATACCACTCTCCACAGAGCAGAGATTCTCAGACTTCCATGTACTTCTGAGTCACTGAAGAGTTTGTTAAAATGCAGCTTCCTGGGCTTAAGATTCTGAGTCAGTAGATCTGAAGTAGGGCCCAGGAATCCACATTTTAAACATGTTCTCCCAGTTACTTCTGCCAATACAGGCAGGCACCACACCTGGAGAAATAAGACTGAAGTAAAATAGCCTGTAATCCTGGCACTTTGGGAGGCCAAGGCAGGTAGATCACCTGAGGTCAGGAGTTTGAGACCAGCCTGGCCAACATGGTGAAACCCTGTCTCTACTAAAAATACAAAAATTAGCTGGGCATGGTGGTGTGTGCCTGTAATCCCAGCTACTAGGGAGGTTGAAGCACAAGATTCACTTGAACCCGGGAGGCGGAGGCTGCAGTGAGCCGAGATTGCACCACTTCACTCCAGCCTGGGTGACCATGGAGTGAAACCCTGTCTCAAAATAAATAAATAAAGTAAAATATATCAGTCCAATTTTCTGGAATCTTGCTAACTCATTATAAACATATTTATAGTCATGAAATCTGAAAACTTCTCAGTGTTAGAAACTCACCTTTATAGCTTCAGCTTCAGTGTAAAGCTCAGAAAGTGTTTCAATGAATGTAGTGTTTCCAAAGATACTGACATGGTTTCTTTTTTTGCGGGGGCGGGGTGTGGACAGAGTTTCACTCTTGTTGCCCAGGCTGGAGTGCAATGGTGCGATCTCAGCTCACTGCAACCTCTATCTCCCGGGTTCAAGCAATTTTCCTACCTCAGCCTCCCGAGTAGCTGGGATTACAGATGCCTGCCACCATACCCGGCTAATTTTTGTATTTTTAGTAGAGACAGGGTTTCTCCATGTTGGTCAGGCTGGTCTTGAACTCCCGACCTCAGGTGATTCACCCGCCTCAGCCTCCCAAAGTGCTGGGATTACAGGCGTGAGCCACCGCGCCCGGCCAACATGGCTTCTTTAAATACTGTCTTTCTCAGAGAGGACTGAATCTGGAATTGAACTCCAAATAACCAGACGACAGCCGAGCGGCACATTACATTTGAGTCATCTCAGTCTCTTGGCTCTTGGGTGTTTGAAAAGTAGTATTTTAGATGTCTTGAATATCTGGCATTGGTAATGGTAAGTGGTAAAGCCAAAATTTTTGTAAGGTGGCAAACATGTAGATTCTATTTCAAGCAACAGCATTAGTTATAGGATTTGAAGATAGCATATAGGACATTTGATTTTTTTGAGAAGAGGAAATTAAATGGTCAGCCATGCATTATCTGCAGGTGAATTTGCTGTTGTTACAGAGTTAATCTGTTTGTTTGCAAGTATTTGTTGAAGCTTACTTAGGTTCTTTGGGGATAGAAAGTTTGGCTGACCCTAGGATGTTTTTTTAATTAGTTAAATTAGTTAAAACTTTGTTTTATTATCTGCTCAATTACAGGGAAGTTGTGATCTGGTATCCTTTTAAGTCCATTCCTAAAAACAGGATGTTATGTATGCCTCTAATAAAGTGGGAAATAAGGGAAAATTAAATTTCTTCAAAAACAGAGTTTCTCAGTGAGGCTTTACTAATTTAGAATTACTTGCCAGAACATTAGCGAATCCCATTTAGATTGGAGGGGGATAAACATCCTAAGTTCAGATCCCCGTGGAGCCACATGCTAACATGGAAGAATGTAAAGTAGAGAGAGTTCTGCGGAGGCACTGCCAAGAGAGGAAGCTCATAGGAAGTCATGACCCTCTGATTACCCTCTTTCTTTCTTTCTTTTTCTTTTCTTTTTTTTTTTTTTTTTTTTTTTTTGGAGACAGAGTCTTGCTCTGTCACTCAGACTGGAGTGCTGTGGTGTGATCTCGGCTCACTGCAACCTCTGCCTCCCGGGTTCAAGAGATTCTCCTGCCTCAGCCTCCTGAGTAGCTGGGATTACAGGTGTGTGCCAGCACGTCTGGCTAATTTTTGTATTTTTAGTAGAGACAGGGTTTCGCCATGTTGGCTAGGCTGGTTTCAAACTCCTGACCTCAGGTGATCCGCCCACCTCGGCCTCCCAAAGTGCTGGGATTATAAGCGTGAGCCACCGTGCCCGGCCAAGGGTAGGTTTCTTACATGCATATATTGAGTAGTGGTGAAGTCTGGGCTTTTGGTGTACCTGATACCCAAAGAGTGAACATCGTACCCAATAGCTATCTTTTTTAACCCTCACCCTCATCCAGTGTCTTCTATCCATGCTTATGTCTTCGTCATTGAATTGTTTCACAGGTTTATTTCAAAAACAAGCTGAAGTTGGCACTAATTGGCCAGAGCCTCTTTGGACAAGAAGTCTATAGCCACCTCCGCAAAGAGGGCCACCGAGTAGTAGGGGTGTTCACAGTTCCAGACAAGGATGGAAAAGCTGACCCTCTGGGTGAGTGCATCTTGGGATGACTGGGTCAAGAATTCTCAGGTCCTTACCAATGCTGGACTTCCATCTCATGGTCCAAGGTAGCTGCCTCAGCCCCTACTATCACAGCGCCATTCCAGCAAGCAGGAAGGAAAAGAGTGGGAATCAGGGAAAAGCTTTTTATTAAGGGCATAATCCATATTACTCCCACTTGTATCCCATTGGCCAGAACTTAGTCACAGGCCAAATCTATTTGCAAGAGTGACTGAGAAATATAGATTTGATTTGGGGTGGCTATGCATTCAGCTAAACTAGGGAATCCATTGCTAAAGGATGAAGGGGGACAACTAGCAGTCTCTGCCATATACGTGGACTTCAGAAGGATTGCAAGCATATGACTTTTAGACCTCCTTTCAGAATGAATCCTGGGAAATGAACTCTTCCTTAGTGCCTGGTCCCAGGGTCAGGACCCCCTTTCCATTTGTCATGGCCATTTGGGCTCATGGCATAACTCAGAAAAAGAAAAACTACCAACCTCACTTATAGAGTAACTATATGAGGAAGTGGGTACAGCATGTGGGTAACAGCGTGTGTTCTGGAATCAAGGAGTGAATTCTGATTCTGCCACTTACTAGCTGTATGACCTTGGGCAAGTTACTTAATCTTACTAAGCCTCAGTTCAGCGGTAGCTACCTCACGTGGCTGCTATGAGGATTAAATTAGATTAATGTACACAAAGTGCTCACACTATGCCTGGTTCATAATAAGGAAGCATTGACAGTAGTTGAGTATTCTTGTTAGAATATTCAATGAGGACAGTCAAAGATAGCTCTGGGGCAGCCAAAAACTGAAACGGAAGCTCAACACCTGGATGTCTCAGCCTGTCTCAGCAGAGTACTTTTTTCTTTTTTGAGACAGAGTCTAACTCTGTTGCCCAGGCTGGAGTGCAGTGGCACGACCTCGGCTCACTGCAACCTCCACCTCCCAGGTTCAAGCAATTCTCCTGCCTCAGCCTCCCGAGTAGCTGGGATTACAGGCACCCACCATCATACCCGGCTAATTTTTGTATTTTTAGTAGAGACATGGTTTCACCATGTTGGCCAGGCTGGTCTTGAACTCCTGCTCTCAGGTGATCCGCCCACCTTGGCCTCCCAAAGTGCTGGGATTACAGGCATGAGCCACCACGCCCTGCCTGGAGTACATTTTTTTACAATGAAGACTTCTAAGTTTCCTCCACCCCATTTTTCTTTGCCATATGATCTTTCACAATTTTCTCTCATGATCACATTTTTTTTAACCACCGTTTATCCACTTTCCTGTCATCTGACATATGAGTTAAGTTTTTTGAACATCTTATGAACACTCACATTTTGTGAACACTATTGTGCTGGTCTCTCAGATTCTTCCAAACGGATTGATCAGGGGCTAATCGTGATGGCTGGGGTCCTTCAGGACTTCCTCAGGCTTCAGAATTTAGGTTTCATGGTGGAGGCATCATCTCATCCTAAGTCAATGAATTTTGTTGTTCAGATCTAGGAAAAAGGAAAGGGACACAAAAATGCAGATAGAAAGCTTTAGTTAAGACTTCTGGAAATTGCCTAAAATTAACATATATGCTATTATATATTAAATATATATACTATTATATTATACAAGTAATATATAATAATATATTATAAAATGTATATATCATATAGGATATTAATAGATATCATAATTTCTATAATTTATTAATATATACAATTATATATTAATAATAGTATGTATATATATTTTATACACTTAAACACATTTTTTTAGAGAAAGGGTCTCACTTCGTTGCCCAGGCTGGAGCGTAGTGGCACGATAATAGCTTACTGCAACCTGGAACACCTGGGCTCAAGTGATCCTCCTAAGTAGCTAGGATTATAGGTATGTGCCACCACATCCAGCTAATTTAAAAATAATTTTTGTTTTTTTGGTAGAGATGGAGGTCTCATTATGTTGTCCACGCTGGTCTCAAACTCCTGAGTTTAAGCAGTCCTCCTGCCTTGGTCTCTCAAAGTGCTGGGATTACAGGTGTGAGCCACTGTGCCTGACCGATTTTTTAAATATATACTACTCGGGAGGCTGAGGCTGGAGAATGGCATGAACCCGGGAGGCGGGGCTTGCAGTGAGCTGAGATAGCACCACTGCAGTCCGGCCTGGGCGAAAGAGCGAGACTCCGTCTCACAAAAAAAAAAAAAAAAAAAAAAAAAAAAAATATATATATATATATATATATATATATACTACTTATATATAAAACTGTGTACTTAAATATATATATAAATACTTAAGATATAAGGCACACAGTAAAAATGACATTTCATTATGAAAAAAATAGGCGTGTGCTGTTTGCACTTTGGTGGGCCATTCCATTTTCATATGGCATTAGGATGGAGCCATTTGTTTGGGAGGGGACAGCGCTCTTCTCAGGAAGGAGACCCTGGTCTGCTTAGTGAGGCCAAACCCCTTAGCAGGAGCTGAGCATGTATTCTCCTTGGCCTCTCACCTTTGTTAATTTATTTGTTTGGTGAATTTGGGAGAAGGAAGTAGAAAAGCTCAGCTCAGCACTTACGCTCTTCATCTTTTGGGATCTGCCTGTTTGGCAGGGAGAATGTGTTCTGGTCTACGATGTGTTCAGTATAGGGAGGGAAGAGTTTCATGGCTTTCTAGCTGTGCCAGAGGTGAGTATGTTAAATTGGTGGGTGAAGTATT
This sequence comes from Homo sapiens, assembly GCF_000001405.40. NCBI lineage: Eukaryota > Metazoa > Chordata > Mammalia > Primates > Hominidae > Homo > Homo sapiens. Next base: position 105,071,145 of record NC_000012.12, on the reverse strand, counting down.
GGCACATGCCTCCAAATCTAAAGCTATGTTCTTAAAATGTTGTATCAGTAATAAAGGTACCATTTTTGATCTAAAAAAGAAAAAGCTTTCATTAAAATCTTAAAATATCATCTAGCCAAAAACTTTTCAGTTCTAATTTATTATGCCTTAAGTATATAGATATGTATCACCTTAGTGTGATCCAATTACAACAGGTGAAATTCTAGTCACAATCTAAATTGTTCTTCACCATGTTTTATTTGTAAATATTTCATGAAACTGTAAAATTACAACATATGAATTCATAGTGATGTAAAATTATGGCTAACTTCTAAAAAAAAAATCTTCTTTTTTATGCTCAGCTTTGGCTGCAGAGAAAGATGGGACCCCTGTGTTCAAGCTTCCTAAATGGAGGGTCAAGGGCAAGACCATCAAAGAAGTGGCAGAAGCCTACAGATCCGTGGGTGCAGAGCTAAATGTGCTCCCTTTCTGCACTCAGTTCATTCCCATGGATATAATTGATAGTCCAAAGCACGGCTCTATCATTTATCACCCATCCATCCTGCCCAGGCACAGAGGAGCCTCTGCTATCAATTGGTGAGATTTTTTCTTTTTACTTTTTTTTTTTGAGATGGGGTCTTGCTATGTTGCCCAGTCTGGGTTCAAACTCCTGGGCTCAAATGATCCTTCTGCCTCAGCCTCCCAAGTAGCTGAGATTTCAGGATTGTGCCAGAACACCCAGTGAGACTTTTTTAATTACACAGAGGGTGAGTGTATTTCAATTGCCTATATTCTTTCTGTTTTTTACCTAGGTGATCAAGACAAGAAACTAGGCATGCTTGAACAGTTGTGAGGTCCTGATTGGTTACTACTGTTGCATGAACTCCCCTGAGATCTAGACATACAGCGTGAACCAGGACAGCATTTACCAAGAATAGCCTATGGAGTACTAGCTCCATTGACTGTTACTAGGTATTGAGCAAACAAAGGTTTTATGGTCAGTAAGTTTGGTTTATGCCGGATTTTTAATTGCAGGATTCATTTGAGCTATTAATACGGGCTTTAATGTCAGTATCATAATCCCCTAGAGGGAGTCTGAATACACAATGTTCCCAAACTTATTTGACCACAGAACTTTTTTTTTGCATAGAGCATCTCAAGTACATTTCAGGAAATGCTGAATTACTTGAAATAATCATCAAGTAATTACTTGAAATGATGAAATGATCATCTTCACTGTCCATCTTCCCCATTCAACTCTAAGCTTCTTAAGGAAAGGGACTTTGCACAACATTTGTATTGCTATTTTCCAGTGTCAGAAACAGTGGCTGGTACATTGTAGGTACCTAATACCATAGGGACACAATACTGTGGGTTGAGGTGGGCCTTCCTACCCTTTCTGCCTTCTCTCCTTTACCTGCACATTTTCCTAATATTCCTCAGTGTCAAGTCATTGGAATAAGCTGGAAGCCTACACTTGGTTTAAATGTGATGAAAAATATTAATTGTATTTAAACTTTGATGACATGGATTGATTTCTTTTTGGCTCTTATAAATAACACACTATTATTTAGTAGACATATTTGCACTTAGACTTGTACTTTTTCTCAATTTACACTGTTTCCACATGCAGAATCATTGGATCAAAGCACATGAATATTTTCAAGGATCTTGATAGCAATGCCAGTCAATTTCTTAGTATTTCTGAAGAGTTAGTGATTGATGGATTGATTTAGGTCTTGATTTGTAGCTCAAAAGTAAAAAATATTTACATTATTACATGGCTGACCTACCATCATACTCCCTCTGTATTAGCTTGAATTAATAATCAGCTCTGTCCTTCACATTAGTTTCACATTCTGTCCTTCACAGAGTATCCTATTTTATCTTCTGTTCTTATTCCGCCTAATACAGGGTCAAATACGATGTAGGAATTGGACCCAGGTGGGCAAATTACTTGATCTTGAAGTAGAAAACTGATCCCTGGGAGTCAATGAGTGGTAGTAACGATAGACTCTAATGCCTTTTTAAATTCACTGCAAGTCATTACTGTACATTAACAAGAAAGACAAGATATGAGGATGTATTATATAAAATAGCAGTACCATTAGGCACTGCTTTTTATGAGCCCTGACGTCTCCCAGTTCTACTGTTAATTTCTCATGGTAGCTTCATTCATTGTCTACTTTTCCATTATAACTATCTTATACTTTAATATCACTAATTCATCACTTTATGATACAGTTAACCAACATTTTAAATTGAAATTCTTCTTTTCACAGGACTCTAATTATGGGAGATAAGAAAGCTGGGTTTTCTGTTTTCTGGGCTGATGATGGCTTGGATACAGGACCCATCCTTCTTCAGAGATCATGTGATGTTGAACCCAATGATACAGTGGATGCACTTTATAATCGGTTTCTTTTTCCTGAAGGAATCAAGGCCATGGTTAGTATATTTTGCCACCCAGAATTTAGTAAACCTTTAAAGTTTTGAAAATATTTTTTCTTTTATGAAGAAATTATCCATATGAATTTTCACCAAAAATATAAAGTTTAAAAACAAAATTAGATTTTTTTTAACTAATGGGATGGTATATTTAGGATGGAAATCTGAATTTTTCAATTTCTTAGTCTATGAAACTGACTTATTTTTCTGAGAGCAGTGATCCAATGGATGCAGTAGCATTTAAACTGCTCCATTCTTTTGCCAAATGCTTGAATCTTCAACCCTGCCTATAATGATTAATTGTAAAGAAGTAGATTGAATCTTAAGAAATTTTGCTACGTAATTTGTTATGGAAATTTAAAAGTACTTTAAATTAGCCTCTGTAACAGGGTGAAATTTGGTGTTGCTGTATTTATCCAGACGTATTCTGGGGTAAAAAAAAAAAAATCCCAAAACATGTATACCATCAAATAAAAATATTGCAATATTAGCCTACACAAATAGTGAAAGCTCCAGCTGATAATTTTGATGTCATTTAATTTTTTTTCAGAGCTAGTATGAAAGAAGTAGCAAGATTATATACAGTAGTAGCCATTGATTTAGGAGAGAGGAAAGCAGTGCTTTGCTTGTATCATTCAATGATTAAGAGAGTAGGGCTTCGATGTCAGAAAGACCTAAGCTCAAGTTTCCATTCTACCTCTTCTTTGTTGCATGACCACAGGCAAGTCGCTTAGCCTCTGTAGCTTTGGTTTCTTCATCTATACAGCATGGATAATACCACCTGACTTGTAGGGTGGTTGTGGAAATTAAGTGACACTATTTGTGCAAAGCATCTGGCCCATGGTAGGTGCTCATAAAATGATCATTACAATCAACATAGCATTTTGTGTGTTCAGTGATATTTGCTGAAGCCCAGATTCTAGACCTAGTTATAGCCTAGATGGAGGTGGGTGGAATGAGCTGTAAACTTGGCTCTGTTCCCCTGTGGCTCCCTCCGTGTGCTCTTGGGTGGGTTGGTCAGCAGCTGTGAGTCCTTAGAGAGAAATCTGAGAACTTGAACTCACGTGGGCCTCGCAGTGAAAATGGGAGGCTCTCGACTCAAGGCAAACGTAAATATAACAGAGAAGAAAATGCAGGACACCTCCCAAAGGCAATCAAGCTCATGGATAGATTTTAACTTTTTTTATTCCAGGTCTCCTAAACTAGAAAGCAAGTTGAATTCATTAAATACAGTAAGGTATCATTTTTTAGAATCATCATGATGAGTAAAATAACTCATAAAGACTTATTTTATCATTATATTCCTATCATTTCCAGTGAATCACTAAGGGAGGTGGCAGTTTGTTTAAACAAGGGAGTCATTTTTGAGAGTGCAGACTTCGATTGGCAATAGATAGACCTGGATACAAATCCTGTTTCTGACACCTACAAGCTCTCTCTGTGATCTTCAGCCAATTGCTTAGCTCTTTTTCTTTTTCTTTTCTTTTTTTTTTTTTTTTTTTTGAGACAGAGTCTCGCTCTGTCGCCCAGGCTGGAGTGCAGTGGTGTGATCTCGGCTCACTGCAAGCTCTGCCTCCCGGGTTCACGCCATTCTCCTGCCTCAGCCTCCTGAGTAGCTGGGACTACAGGCGCCCACCACCACGCCCGGCTGATTTTTTGTATTTTTAGTAGAGACGGGGTTTCACCGTGGCCTCGATCTCCTGACTTCGTGATCCGCCTGCCTTGGCCTCCCAAAGTGCTGGGATTACAGGCGTGAGCCACTGCGCCCGGCCTTGCTTAGCTCTTTTTCTGTCAGTTTCCTCAGGTGTAAAACAGGAATAACAATATACACCTTGCAGGATTTGTGTTATGTTTTCAAGGGATATTTTACATAAAGTAGCTACCACACTGCTTGTCAGGATGGACCTGAAGAAATGGTAGTTATCATCATACTCTTGACTCTCTGAACAGGTTTATAGGTAGTAATTCTGTTATGCAGAAACTTTAGTCAAATAGACCATGCCATTGTTGATCATTGGGCTGTAACACAGGTGATGTCTTTGGCCTTAGGTAGAAGCTGTCCAACTCATAGCTGATGGAAAAGCTCCTCGTATACCCCAGCCAGAAGAAGGGGCAACATATGAAGGTATCCAGAAAAAGGAAAATGCTGAGGTATTTATATATCAACTCAATAACACGTCTCAGAGTTCATGGCCCTCTACCCTTCAGTAGTTCCCCACATACTATGATCTTGCCAAAAGGTAAGCCAGCTTGCCCTAGCCCTACCTGTTAGAGTAGACAGGTAGCCAGACATACGCAGGAGAGGGGAGTCCCCTAAAGAAAATAAAGTCTAGGAAGACTCGTGTCTGGAAGACCACTCAAAATTTGCATATTAATAGTATCTCTAATGCTGGAGTGGGTGGGCACTTAGTCAAATGTGCATAGAAAGGAGAGGAGATACTATGCAAACAAACAAACAAACAAGCAAATAAAAAATGCCCAGAAACGCCTCTTCAGTCTGCCCAACAATCCTTCGCTCTGCAGTTAAAATGTCAAAATATCACTAGCTACATGCTAATGAAAAGGGCAAAGGGGATATTCCTTAAAAAATCTGGCATGCTAGGTGCGCTGGGCACAGTGGCTCATGCCTGTAATCCCAGCACTTTGGGAGGCTGAGGGAGGAGGATCACTTGAGACCAGGCATTCGAGACCAGCCTGGCCAACACAGTGAGACCCCTGTCTCAAAAAACAAAAAACAAAAACCTGGAGCCATAAGTTCAGCTTAGGGCAGAGAAGGAAATTCCAAAAAAACACACAGATGCAGTAGGTATAGATTTGGCCACTATACAACCTCCCTGCAGTGACAATAGTAAACAACACAGGCATCAGGTAATATTCATATCCAACACCAATCCACACATACACACCAACTAATAATATGGAGGGTCCCATAAACCTGAGACAAAATCTAGGTGCGGACAAAGCAGAGAGCTAAGACAGACACAAACAAACTAGACAAAAAAAAAAAGAGGCAGAGACTTAACAGAGGTGGGAACTTCAAAAAAAAGTTCAACCTAATAAAAACCCAACATAAAACTCTCCAACAGCTACTGGCCTACTCCCCTCAACAGCCCGCTCTACTTCATCTTTACAAAGCATACTGTCCCTTTAAATAACCCTCTGCTTTTTATTTTCCTTTAATAAAGTCTCTTGTTTACTAAATCAGCCACCTGACAAAATACTTACTCCAAATAAAACTAAGAAGCAAAAATTCCTTTATTTCCCAATAACAAGTGTTTCTGCCTCTGATGACGAGAAGCGTTTTTATTGCCTTTGAGGTTCACAGCCATAGGAGGCTCAGCCTGTATTTTGTGCCTTCCTAGATTTCTTGGGACCAGTCTGCCGAAGTTTTACATAACTGGATTCGAGGTCATGATAAAGTCCCTGGAGCTTGGACAGAGATAAATGGACAGGTATGTTTTAGGGACCACTCCCCCCACCCCCCTCCCCGATTATTACCTTTGTAAGAGATATTACAGATAAATCTGGGCTTCCCATGGTTCTTCCTTGGTCATGAGGCAGGTCTGTGATTCACTCTCCCCTTTACTCAGCATGTATTAAGCATTTATTGTGCAGCAGACACTAAATCCAGCGCCTGATCTAAGGAGCCTGCAGTTTTATGGGGAGTGCAGAGAAGTGAATAAACATTCTCAGTGCAGTAAGATAAACGCTATCATGGAGGCTGAGACTCAGGCATGTTAGGAAAGGCTTCCTAGAAAAGCTCACTGCTTTGCTCGAGAAGAGTTAACCAGGTTGAGAGCAAGACAAGTAGGTGAAGCCCCAGAGATAAGAGACTCCAGCACCTGGTCAAGGACTTGCAAAAGGAGTTCAGTGAAGCCAGGGTCTGAACTGTGAGGACAGGCATGGGGAGAGCTGAGGCGGGAGAGGCGGGCAGGGCCTGAAGGGTCTTCTATCCATGGGTAATTGACTCAGCCCAGGCTCTCAGGTTTCACCTCTTCGGGGAGGTTTCCTGATCTCACATGCCCAGACTGGCAGGGTCTGATGGCCCATCTCTGGGTTCCAGCAACACTCTGCCTACCTCTGGCATCGCACATCATATATTGTGAGGGTCTCTTTATTCCCCCCAACACTAGACTGTGAACTCCTTAGGGGCAAGGGCTTCATGTGATTGTCTTGATAATCTCAGCAGTTAAGCAGGAGTCTGGGTACATACTAAGTGCCAATAAAAATCCATGGGCTCGATGGGTGACCAAGGGAGGGAGTTTAGTGTAATGGTTAAGAGTGCAGGATCTGAAGCCAGAATGCTTCTATGAAAATTTACTGTGTAACCTCGGGCAGGTTTCTTAACCACTGGGTGCCTTGGTTTCCTCAATGTAAAATGGGACTAATAATACTGCCTCCCTTAGGTTATGGGTAATTGTGAAGATTAAATGAGTTGGCCAGCCATGGTGGCTCACACCTGTAATCCCAGCACTTTGGGAGGCCGAGGTGGGAGGATTACCCAGGTCAGGAGTTCGAGATCAGCCTGGCCAACATGGCAAAACCCTGTCTCTACTAAAAATACAAAAAAAAAAAAAAAAAAAAAAAAAAAAAAAAAAAAAAAAGCTCGGTGTGGTGGCATGTGCCTGTAATCCCAGCTACTTGGGAGGCTAAGGCAGGAGAATCATTTGAACCCGGGAGGCAGAGGTTGCAGCGAGATTGCACCAGCCTGGGTGACAGAGCAAGACTCTGTCTCAAAAAAAAAAAAAAAAGAATTAATACATGTTAACTCATTTAAGTACTTAGCCCTGGGCCTAGAGTAAGTATTCAACAAACCATTATAGCATAATCATAATAGTGCTCCATAAATGATAGCTGATCATCCTAGAAGTGCAATAATAATGCAGTCAGCGTCAGTGTCTCTTGGTTACTCTCTGGATCCAATCCTTTTTCCATGAACTGACTCACAAAGCACCCTGTGCTTCTCATCACTTACCACCCTGCACTGTAATAGTCTGGTGACCACTGTGCATTGCCCATCATTGACGCCCACCCCCAACACCTCCCCACCCACCCAAACCCTACCTTCAGGCTATAAAGGCTGAGAGCTTTTTATCTCATTCACCTTTGTATCAATGCAAATATGTGATAAATGCATACTCATGTCACCTGGATGTGGGGCATTTTGGACTCTCCAGTGACATATTCACAGACTATTTCTTGCCTTGTGTCATTTCTTTCTTTCTTTCTTTTTTTTTTTCTTTGAGACAGAGTCTGGCTCTGTCGCCCAGGCTGGAGTGCAATGGCACAATCTCGGCTCACTGCAAGCTCCGCCTCCCGGGTTCACGCCATTCTCCTGCCTCAGCCTCCCGAGTAGCTGGGACTACAGGTGCCCGCCACTATGCCCAGCTAATTTTTTGTATTTTTAGTAGAGACGGGGTTTCACCGTGTTAGCCAAGATGGTCTCGATCTCCTGACCTCGTGATCTGCCTGCCTCTGCCTCCCAAAGTGCTGGGATTACAGGCGTGAGCCACTGTGCCCGGCCACCTTGTGTCATTTCTATGGATGTTTGAGACAGTTTCTCCCATTGTGGTGTCTCAATTTTATTACAGATGATAATATGAACTTCAGCGTTTTTGCAGAGAATGATGCTTATACATACCGCTATGAACAGCTTTTCTCCTGATTTTACAATCTGTGTTTGATCTCTTTACTAGATGGTCACTTTCTATGGCTCGACATTACTGAATAGCTCTGTGCCTCCTGGAGAACCACTGGAAATTAAAGGTGCCAAGAAGCCTGGTCTCGTTACCAAAAATGGACTTGTTCTTTTTGGTAACGATGGAAAAGCAGTGAGTGTTAAATATGGCTGCCTATGAAATAACCTTTTGATTTTCTTCTATAACCCAAGCTATTAAGGGAATAGCTTTCACTCCATTGCTGGCTGGGGAGGAGCTGGCTCTGAGTGCCCTGATGGAGATGAGGTGTCTCAAGATGGGCCCCACAGATCTGCATAGGCTGCCTTGTGTAAAGTGGAAAGAGGCTGGAATTCAGTGGGGAGATAAGGATGTGAATCCCTGCTTCCCACTCGCTGGTCTTGGGCAGGATGATTCTTCCCTTTGAGTCTGTTTTGCCATCTTTATAACAGAGAGGAGAATCTTGTCTGTCTGCCTTCCCAATGCCAGATTCTGGGAGGATCAAGTGAAATAGATGTGGCCCTCCTCAGATGCCCCTTGCCACTGATCCACCAGACAGGCACCACCTAAACTGCCTATGCTCAGGAGGGTTGGCCCTGGGCCTCAGTGTGCCCTTGCGAAGCTTCCCAATGAAGCGTGCAAAGGGAATTTGTAGCTTACAGATATTTTCCAGTTGCTGCAGGATAAATCGTTAAGACTGTAGGCCGCTAGTTCCAGGTTCTACTCCCAGCTCTTTTACTTACTGTCTGTGTGGCACTGAGCAAATTACTGAACCTCATTGAGCCTCCCTTTCTGCATCAGTAAAATGGGAATAATAATGGCATCCGCCTCCACTGGCTTTTATGAAATTAGGTAAGATCCTTCAGCACATGCATGCATTCTTTTTTTTAGTATATGTGCTGCTGAAGCAAGCACTTATGCATGCATTCTTGAGCATGGTACAGGGCAAGTGCTCAGAGGCAGCAGCTGCAGAGTTGCAGCAGCACTGGTGGTGTCTGTTATTTTCATAATAGATTCTAATTCAAATACCTACGTCCAAGTGTCAAATTTTCCAGGACTTATTTTCCATTTTGAGATGTACCTATCCCTGGACCTCACTTTTTCCTTTCTGCTGCCATTATTCAAGTGCCATTTCAGCCCTTTTACACATAATGGTGAATGCTTTTAATCTGTATTTTTCCAAATAAACTTGCCCTTATATGCATATAATCTATAGGACTCCTCCCACCAGCCTCACTTTTGTATTGTCTCAATCCTCAATTTTTATGCTTGTTTTGTTGCTATTTTGTAGCTGACGGTGAGAAATCTGCAGTTTGAAGATGGAAAAATGATCCCTGCCTCTCAGTACTTTTCAACGGGTGAGACGTCAGTGGTAGAACTGACAGCTGAAGAGGTGAAAGTGGCAGAGACCATCAAGGTGAACACATGATGACTTAAATCTTACTGTTACCTTGGAAAACTGAAGCATGTTCGTAACTGGTACCATCAGTCCTCAAAGTAGTGGGATCAGAACTTTATTTCCTCTTTTTTTGTATTAGCTGCAAGAGGAAATCAACCTCCAAATTCATATGCTTAAACACAGTATATACAAACTGATTTTTCACATAAGTCATCCAAGGCAGTTCCAGGTTGGCACGGGGGTTAGGGGTGAAGTCATTCAGGAACCCAGTTTCTGTTATTTTCAAGGTCTCCCTGGGGGGCGTCTCTATTCCAGACAGCCAGAAGGGCAAAGGAGCATGTAGAATGGCGTGGAGGAGGTTTACATGGGCTAGGACTGGGGTGGTGCAGGTCACTTCCACTCCTGTTCATTGGTTGCATCTAACTTGGAGAGGCGCTGAGAAATGTGATCCAGCTGTATGTACAGCTGAGTGTACAAGATGAAGAGGGAATTGGTTTGGTGAAGAGCTAGCCCAGTCTCTGCCACATTGTTCTACGTGGCACTTCCCTCATAAGAGTTTCCTTTTTGTGTAGGTCATCTGGGCTGGAATTTTAAGCAATGTCCCCATTATTGAAGACTCAACAGACTTCTTTAAATCTGGAGCAAGCTCAATGGATGTTGCCAGGTAAAACCACGCCCTTATTGACTCACTAGGGATTCCCTCACTAGAGATTTTGACTTTGGCTTTGACAGTGAAATCCACACACATCCTTTGTTCTGGATGTGATTACCTTATCATACCTATCTATGACTCATCTTTTTTTTTTTTTTTTTTTTTCCTGAGATGGAGTTTCACTCTTGTTGCCCAGGCTGGAGTGCAATGGTGCGATCTCGGCTCACCGCAACCTCCGCCTCCCAGGTTCAAGTGATTCTCCTGCCTCGGCCTCCCGAGTAGCTGGGATTACAGGCATGCGCCACCACGCCCAGCTAATTTTGTATTTTTAGTAGAGATGGGGTTTCTCCATGTTGGTTAGGCTGGTCTCGAACTCCTGGCCTCAGCTGATCCGCTTGCCTCGGCCTCCCAAAGTGCTGGGATTATAGGTGTGAGCCACCACGCTCGGCCAACACATCTTTATTCTTCATCTTTTTTTGCTATTGTTTCCATGGTCAAGCAGATATATCCGTTTAGTTCTCTTTGTTGCTAACCAGAAGTTGTTTTCATATCTTCCGTATACCTAAAAAAGCAACCCTTAGAATTGTTTGCATCTTTTAAAAATTTGTCCTTCCAGTTTCTTAGCTAATTTTCCTCCAATATGACATCAGAATTGAGAAGCTCTGGGTGAGAATGCTAACAGTGAATTTCCTACGCAGCCTGATCCAGAATATTATCTGAATAATATCTGACACCTGATATTAATAATATTACCAGAATAATATCTGATACCTGATATTAATTATGCTTTCCCCCAAATCTTTTTTCTCCTACCCTCGCCCCCCCCATAAATTACCTAGTAAGACAGATCTAGAATGAGGGTTATCAGGCTACTTGCAAGGACAAGTGTAATCACCCAATATCAGAATTTCTCCACAGAGGTTTAGAGCAAGTTGAAAGGGCTGGAGTCCCAGAAAGCCTCTATCGCAAGGAAACTGGACCAGGATCCTACTGGTGCAGCATCTTTCAGAGGTGTTTTTCTTCGAGTAACTGGGATAACAAGACAGCTGGAGCTCACCAGGGACTGTGCAGTCCCTTGATGGTGGGTACAGAGAATAGAAGCTAAGAGGATTTGATCCTAGGCCACATTGTGGCCATACACTAATTAAACAAGGCAAAAATGTTCCTCCTCTTGATAAAATCCTTCATATTGACAAAGCAACGTTCCTGATGAATATTCTATCTACTCACTCATTTACTTAACAACACTGACTGAACACTTACTACATGTCAGGAACAGTTTTAGCACTGGGGATACAGTGTAAACTAGACAACGTCCCCTTTATTCATGGAGGTTTTATTCCAGAAATCAAAAACAATCATTTCAAGAGCACATAGTGTTTTCAAAAGTCAAGAGTTTCGGCTCCTCAAATTATAGATTTCTCAGCTGTGATTCATGAGTTCCCAGAAACTTCTAATTGGCTTAACTAAATATTTCAATACTACATTATGATGATTATTATTACAGATAGGGCCTCACTCTGTCGCCTAGGCTGGAGTGCAGTGGTGTGATCACAGCTCACTTGCACTAGCAGCCTTGCACTCCTGGGATAGCCATCCTTTCATCTCATCCTCCCTACTAGTTGGGATTACAGGCATGAGTCATCACACCTGGTACATCACACACAGTACTGTATTATTATTATTATTATTATTATTATTATTATTATTATTATTATTATTATTTTGAGACAGAGTCTCGCTCTGTCGCCAGGCTGGAGTGCAGTGGCGCAATCTTGGCTCACTGCAACCTCCGTCTCCCAGGTTCAAGCGATTCTCCTGCCTCAGCTTCCCAAGTAGCTGGGATTATAAGCAAATGCCACCACGCCCAGCTAATTTTTGTATTTTTAGGAGAGACGGGGTTTCACCATGTTGGCCAGGGTGGTCTCGATCTCCTGACCTCGTGATCCACCCGCCTCGGCCTCCCAAAGTGTTGGGATTACAGGTGTGAGCCACCGCACCCGGCCAGTACTGTATTATTAATACTTTTTTTTTTGCTAGCAAGATACTCCTGCAGGAATTACTCATTTTCTGTTTGAGTGTCTGGCTTACCATAATCATCTGATATTATTATCTTGATTACAAAGGTATCATCTCTTTTAGAGAATAAATGATTGAACCACAACCATGGTGGACTTTCTACACTGTACCTCGTACACCACTGCTATTCAAGAAATGTCAGATAACAGCTGTAATTTGACAAACTAACAGTGGAAATCAAAGGATTGGAAAGGACTTCAAAAGTTATACTGACCTACTGCATATGGTTCTAGCTAGTACCTATGTTAACTACGTAATACAAACAAATGTCCATCTTATACTTGTAATTTAGAGAAAATAGTCTACAATATGACATTCATCTCTCATAATCTTTACAGTTAGGAAAGTGTCTTTGTTTCTTATTCCCTGAGTATATATGAAAGGAAAGGAGTTGACTTTATATGATCCTTGCTACCTTGCTTATAAGTAATTAAAATATTTTTGCCTTGATTGCTTTTATTTTTAGTCATGGATAAAGTTTTAAAAAACTGCCACTGTCCTTCAAGATATATTTTTAATTTCTTGCCCCTAGTCTTATCAATTTCTCTGATGAGTATCACAGAAGATCTCATAGGATATAAATAGGCATGTGATGTAAGTCTTACCTCAAAACAACTTGACAAGTGCAAATAACACAATCTTCCTAACCCCTTTTAAAAATCTAAGTAACGCGAAGCTGGTTTTTACTTTAAGGCTGGTTGAAGAGATCAGACAGAAATGTGGTGGGCTTCAGTTGCAGAATGAAGATGTCTATATGGCCACCAAGTTTGAAGGCTTTATCCAAAAGGTCGTGAGGAAACTGAGAGGAGAAGATCAAGAGGTGGAGCTGGTTGTAGATTATGTAAGCTTTTCCTTGATGTTGCAACCCTAAATCAGTGAGATCCATACACTATAAAAGACTGCTGTGCCTGTTGCCCATTTGTTTTTATATTTATGACCTTTAAAAAACAACAGCTTTACTGAGATCTAATTCAGATGGCATAAAATTCCCCTTTAAAATGTGCATTTTGGGTAGTTTTTAATATATTCACAGGGTTGTGCAATTATTATGCCATCCAATTTTGGAACATTTTCATCATCCCAAAAAGAAGCCCTGTACCCATTGGCAGTCATTCTTTACTCTTCCAGGACTACCTCATACAAAAAATGTTCCAAAATTGGATAGCATGATAGTTCCTAGAAAATGCTAACCTCTTTTCTGTCTATGGATTTGCCTATTTTAGAGATTTCATATAAATAGAATCATACAACATGTGGCTTTTTGTTTCTGGCTTCTTTCTCTTAGCATAATGTGTCCAACGTTCATCCATGTTGTATCATCATTTCATCCCTTTTTTTGGCCAAGTAATATTCTATTGTATAAGTATACCACAGTTTGTTTACCCATTCATCAGTTGATGTACATTTGGGTTGTTTCTACCTTTTGGCTATTATGAATAATGCTATGAAAATTCATATATAAGTTTTTGCATGAACATATGTTTTCAAGTCTCTTGGGTATGTACCTAAGAGTGGAATTGATGAGTCATATGGTAACTCTATGTTTAACTTTTTTGAGTAACTGCCAAACTGTTTTCCGAAGTGGCTACACCATTATGTAATCCCACCAATGTATGAGGGTTTCAACTTCTCCATATCCTCGCCAATATTTGCTCTCATCTGTCTTTTCTCTTTTAGTTGTCCTAGTGGGTGTAAAGTGGGATCTCATTGTGGTTTTCATTTGTATTCCCTAATGACTACTGATGTTGAGCATCTTCTCATATACTTATTGGGCATTTGTATTTCTTCTTTGGAGAAATGTCTGTTCTTTCAAATCCTTAGCTCATTTTAAAACTGGCTTGTCTTTTTATTGCTGAGTCTTAAGCGTCCTTCGTATATTTTCGATACTAGATCCTTATCAGATGTAAGATTTGCAAATATTTTCTCTCATTCTGTAGATTTGCTGAAAACTTTGAGTGTCCTTTGACACACAACAGGTTTTAATTTTGATGAAGTCTAATTTATCTATGTTCTTTTGCCACTTGTGCTTTCTTGTGTCTTGTCTGACACCTTTTTATTCCTCAATTTCTCCCTCACTGCTTTCTTTTATGTTAAATATGTCTAGTATGCCTTTTTAATCCCTTATTTTTAATTTAACTGTATTTTTAAGCTATTTTCTTAGTGGTTGCCTTGAGGATTATAATTAACATTTTTGCTTAAAATGATCTAGTTCAGATGAACACCAACTTAATAGTATAGGAAAGCTTTGCTGTAACATAGTTGTTGCATACTCCCCTAATTTGTGCCATTATTGTCATATGAATTATGTCTTTATACATCATGAGCCCACCAACAGTTTTATAATTATTGCTTTATGAAGTTGTATTTTTAATGAGATAGAGTTAAAAAATATATTTATACCAATGTTTATATTTACCTGTGTAGTTACCTTTACCAGTACTCTTTATTTCTTCATGTGTTTTCAAGTTAATTGTCTGGTGTTCTTTCATTTCAACTTGAAGGATTCTTCTCAGTACTTTTTGTAGGCCAGGTATGCTAGCAATCAATTTTCTGTTTTTGTTCACTTGGGAATGTTTTAATTTCTCCTTCATTTCTGAAGGATATTTTTGTTGGGTATAGAATTTTTGGACGGTATTTTTCTTTTATCATTTTAAGTATTTCATCGTATTGCCTTCTGGCCTTCATGGTTTCTGATAAGTCAACTGGTAATTTTATTAAGGACTCTTTTGTATGATGAGTTCCTTCTCTCTTGCTGCTTTTGAGATTTTCTCTTTGTCTTTTGATAATTTGTTATGATGTGTCTAGGTGTGGAGCCTTTGAATTTTCCCATTAGAATTTGTTGAGCTTCTTGGATTGTGCATTCTTGAAATGTGCAAATTAATGTTTTTCATCAAATTTAGGAAATTTTCAGCTATTCTTTCTTCAAATATTTTTCCTTTCCCTTCTCATTCTCCTCTCCTTCTGGGATTCCTTTTATGCATATGTTGGTATAGTTGATGGTATCCCATAAGTCTCTGAGGCTCTGTTCATTTTTCTTTATTCTTATTCCTTCCTGTTGTTCAGGCTTTTTTCACCTTCTTGAATTTGCTATTGGGTCCCTCCAGTGATTTTTTAATTTCAGTTATTGCACTTTTCAACTTAAGCATTTTTATTTGGTTCTTTTTAAAATAATTTTTATCTCTTCATTGATATTCTCTGTTTGGCAAGACATTATTCTCTTTCCTTTAATTCTTTAGACATGGTTTCCTTTAGTTCATTGAACATATTTACAAAAGCTTATTGAAAATCTTTCTTTAGCAAATCCAATGTCTAGGCTTCTCTAGGGATGGTTTCTATTAGCTGCTTTTTTTTCACCTGTTTATAGGCCATACTTTCCTGTTTCTCTGCACGTCTTGTAATCTTTTGTTGAAAGGTGGTCATTTAAAATAATAGAATGTGGTAACTCCAGAAAGCAGACCTTCTCCCCATCTCCCTTCACAACATTTGTTGCTGTTGCTGCTGCTGCTTTTTGTTGTTGTTGTTCAATGACTTCCTTGACAATTCTGTAAAGTCTTTATTTTTTATTGTTTGCCACTACTGAAGTCTCTGTTCAGTTACTTTAATGGTCATCTAATGATTGGGCATAGATTTTCTTAGACACCTTGAGCCAATAAGTCTCCCAGCATTTGTGAGGGGGCTCTGTGTGTGTGCTGGGATATACCTTCAGTGCTCCAGCAGGCAGTTTACAATTCTGCCTTACCTTCACACTTCCTGCCTGCACAGAGCCTCAAAGTCATCCAGAGTTAAGAGATAAGGGCCTTCTGAGGTCTTTTCTGGGCACATGCACAAGCCCTGCTTGTATATTGGTCTTCTGGATTCCCAGGAATATGTCAGAGCTTTTCAATGCCTCTTATGGATATCTCATTCCCAGTTATTCCTCTTGTTTTTTGGTCAGCCATTTTTTAGTGGCTGTGGGCAGCTGCAATATTAAATAATTGCCACTGATTATTTTTGACAAATGTCCCAGGAATAGGGCTGTTTGTGCATAACAAGCTCTGAGTCAGATCTAGTAAAGACAAGCCCAAGCCAGGCATGGTAGCATGTGCCTGTAGTCCCAGCTACTCAGGAGGCTGAGGCAGGAGGATCACTTTGAGTCCAGGAGTTTGAGGCTGTGATGCACTTGATCAGACCTGTGAATAGCCACTACACTCCAGCCTGGATAACATAGTGAGACCCTGCCTCTAAAACCAGAAAATCTCTGAGAGTAGAGCTTTCCAGGGAGCTGCCAGGCAGGCCAAATAGTAACAGTTCTTTGGGATGAGGCTTGTGAAGAGCTCCAGACCCATTTCATCCCCACCAGAGGCTACTAGGCTGCTGGTTTTCACAGCTACCATACTTGCAATGAAGTTGGCTTTTCAAGGCTATTGCAGAGCTTTTGAGAAAGATGGGAATAAGGCAGTTAATACACCATAAAGCTCACTTTTCTTACTGTGATTCAGCTATTCTTCTTGAAATGGATTATTGCAAGCCTTTGGCTAATTTCCAGAGTTCTGAGAGAAGTGATTTTTTAACAATATTTTCTAGTGTTCTCATTGCTTTTATGAAGGAGTGGATTTTCAGAGGTCCTTACTTTCCTGTCCCAGAAGTACTTCTCACCCATTTGTTTTTAATAAGAATTAGGCAAATCTGAAAAGCAGTTTAGCATTATCTGGTTAAGAACATGAATTTTGGAGTCAGACCAACCTAAGTTTGAATCCAAGTAGCATGGCTTACTAGCTGTGTGACCTTGGGCGAGTTACTTAACTTCCCTAAGCCACAGTTTGCTCCTATTATTACCCTCCATTATTATTACCTCCATTATTATTATTTCCTCCATTATTTTTACCCTATTTATAGAGTATATAATTTGATTCTCCTAACAACTCTCTGTGGTGGATGTTATTATGTAATATTATTATTACCCTATAGATTGGGTAATTATTACCTGCAAAACATTCTAGTATGCACATAATATGAAATACGTCTTCTGTTACTTGACTCATATCACCCAATTTATAGGGTAATAATATTATATAATAATAATATATAATAATGATATCTACCTCAGAGAATTGTTAGGAAAATCAAATTAGGTGTTATACATTCAGCATATTCCAAGAATGATAATTTCAGAAAAGTGGACTGTTTGCAGACACTGAACACATCAATTCCCATGAAATTTCCTTCATTATAACCCACATAAACACAATGGAAATAGCTCATAGATCATGAGCACTCAGTGTGGGAAAAGGCAAGAGACCTTCTTGCTATTTTTTGTTTCTTTTTAAAGCACTGACAATTCCTCTCTGTGAAATAATTTTTTAAATAATTACATTTCCTTTTTAATACCTTGCATTGATATATTACCTCAGTTTTTCCTCACAGTAACTGCATGAAGGCAGTATCATTATCCCCATTGCATTGTTGAAAAAAACTGAGCCTCATCAAAGTTCATTGACTAACCTCAATTTGCTTGCCAGCCACTGGCAGAGAGTACAATTTACGCAACACATGTGTAACAGACAAAAAGTGAAAACAGAGAGGAACTTAAGGAAAGCAAACTTAAAATGGCACCAGTGTAAAAGGAAACCTATTGACAAAGGCATTTTCAATGATTTCAATGAAGGCAACAGCTGCGCTCCACCAATGCTGCCACTAGATGGTGGTGTTTCCATTATCTAGAGGTCTTGTGAGTTACCTTTTATCTGTTAAGAAAGAAAATCTGAAATCTGTATAAAGCCTGGCCTAGAGCACTTCTGTCTTCACAGCTTCTACCCTCCTGCCCCAGTGGCCAAGGCAAGCATCTTGAGGCCCAAATCTCACATATGCATGTCTTCTGTACAGTCGGAACTAGAATGTCATTGACTTCTCCCTCTGCATTCGTGAATATGCTTCTTTATTGCTGTTTGACATCAAATTGGTAAACACGGAAATCCATTGAATCTATTAATATACTTCTCTCAGATTTCAAAGGAGGTCAATGAAATCATGGTAAAAATGCCATACCAGTGTTTCATAAATGGACAGTTCACAGATGCAGACGATGGAAAGACTTACGACACTATCAACCCAACAGATGGATCTGTGAGTAATTCTTTAGTGTGAGTAGTGATCACTGGTCATGGATTTTTAGTTAATACACCATTGTAAAAGAGGCAGTCTTAAGAAGCCCTTTTATTCTCTCACTCTGCCTCTAAGTACTTCACACAAATGTACTTCATGCTTTTCTTTCAATGACTCAATTCTGGTACCAGCTGCTATTAACTGTAGTAACCTATTTTATAGAACATTTATGATAAATTTAGACAGGTAGCTTTACCTATACACACCAGAGGCACTCATCTGCATAGAGATATATGTGAAAAAACTTTCCAGACTTTGAAGACTCATGGCAAGAAATTCAGCTTTCCTAAAGCACTGGAAGAACTACAGTCTTCCAATCTTCCTAAATGTGTTCTTCCATAAAGTAGTATGATATGAGAAGTACTAAATTTCTGGTTCACAATTTTCATATTAAAATTGTTCTTTTTCTTTACTGTAGTACTAGATATACTCATTTCTTATCATAACTTTTTTTAAAATCAGTAATACTCTATTTTTTCTATTAATACAATATTAATTCCAAGAACCATATTTTCATATCTCTCATGGGGCCTATTTTTACTTACCTTGAAATAGACAATATGCAAAGTATCCTACGCTTCTTTGGCGGATGTTGATAAAGCAGTAGCAGCAGCAAAAGATGCTTTTGAAAACGGTGAATGGGGAAGAATGAATGCAAGAGAAAGAGGAAGATTGATGTATAGGTATTTCTATTTTTTATTTTTTTATTTTTTAGAAAAGTAACTCTGGTAGAGACAGGGGTTCACTACGTTGGCCAG
Source organism: Homo sapiens (assembly GCF_000001405.40). Taxonomy (NCBI): domain Eukaryota; kingdom Metazoa; phylum Chordata; class Mammalia; order Primates; family Hominidae; genus Homo; species Homo sapiens. The sequence goes on along the minus strand of NC_000012.12, from coordinate 105,052,014 downwards.
GCTGGTCTCAAATTCCTGACCTCAGGTGATTCACCTGCCTCAGCCTCCCAAAGTGCTGGGATTACAGGCGTGAGTGGTGGCACGTGCCTGTAGTCCCAGCAACTCAGGAAGCTGAGGCAGAAGAATTGCTTGAACCTAGGAGGTGGAGGGTGTAGTGAGCCGAGAGTGCACCACTGCACTCCAGCCTGTGCTAGAAAGCAAGACTCTGTCTCAAAAAAAAAAAGGAAAAAAAAGAAGCAAAACAAAGTGAGTCTACTACCTTTGGATATTGGCTAACATTGCCAAGATTTTAAAAATTCCTGCAAAACATTCTAGTATTCACCTAATATGAAATATGTCTTCTGTTACTTGACTCATATTAAATCCTATATATGTTGATTATGTTAGTATTGCTTGCATCAGGCAGGTCCCAGCTGGAAAAGAAGTTTAATAAAGAACTGTTCACAAAGACGTGGCCGAGGTCAAAGAAATCCAATAAAGGATACTGAAACATCCAGGCAGGGCTAGCAGCAGGGGGAAGCTGCTATGTCAAGGTCTGAAGGGACAGGGGAAGGAGCTGTTACTGGAATCTGGCAAGATCTGTAGCTATACGAGAAAACCACACTGCAGTGGAGGGACATGGCAGCTTCTGAACCACAGCCTATCAGCGAGGGAGCCAGGGAATCCAACTCCCCAGCCACTTTTTCCTTCAGTTCACCAATATTCTGCGGGTGCCTCCCAGTGGTCTCTCACTGGCCAAGCCCAATGGGAGAGCAAGGGAGCCAGGTGATGTAATCTATAAAGGTCATTCACCAGGGTCAAGGTCACAGAGCAGGGTGGAGAATGGATACAGAGAGCGGCAAGTGGAGAATATCCAGTACCCTGTTGTTTTAAAAAAACATTTTATATCCACTTGATGTGTAAGGAATAGGAACAAGGAAGAAAAATAATAAGGACTGGGAAGAATATTATAAATCAGTAATGAAGGATGCCAGGAGTGATTAGATTCAATCATAAATTCCATTTGCTGTTTACCTAAAATCCAATATCGGACCTAGATCAATAGATCTCCTAGAGCAATGATATGATTTGGCTGTGTCCCCACCCAAATCTCATCTTGAATTGTAGCTCCCATAATTCCCATGTGTCATGGGAGGGACCCAGTGGGAGGTCACTGAATCATGGGGGCAAGTCTTTCCTGTGCTGTTCTCATGAAAGTATATAAGTCTCATGAGATTTGATGGTTTTATAAAGGGCAGTTCCCCTGCACATGCTCTTGCCTCTTTCCTTTATAAATTACCCAGTCTCAGGTATGTCTTTATTAGCAGCATGAGAATGAACTAATACAAGCAAGATCTGGAACAAAGATTGTCGGAGGGGGATTTCAAGCTGGACTCTAGAGTGGCCCCAAAGGAACAGCTCAGAGAACCACTACAAATACAGAAGAAAAATAAATAGAGAAGTTGAACACAAAAGATGAGTCTTACCGTATCATAGTCATTATACAGTCCTGCACTTACCTTCCCATAAAACTTGTGAACACCAAACAGAAATCTGTTGCAGTGTTTGTAATTCATTGTGTACGTTGCTATCTTGTCTCTTCAGTTAGTTTTGGAAATATTTTTGTGCCAACTGGAAATCCTCAAATGTTCATGGGTTCTCAGAAGTGTGGGTTCTGGGAATGTGGTTCCAATGACTGGTACTGGCTCAGTCATTGTTCTACTTCTTACACATAGATGAGGCAAGTTATATATGCTTCCAATACCCTCTGCTTCTCCTTTGTAATTCTTGAAACAAATGATTTATGAAAATATTTGTTTAATGTCTTTCTTGCCTACTGGACCATGATCTCTATAAGGGCAGAGATCTGATCCATATGTGTTTACCTCTGAATTCTCCGTCCTTAGGATACTGCATTATATGTGACAGGAGCTCAATCAATACTTGTTGAATTTATTTCTTTCACTGACCACACAGACTTGCAGACCTACTGGAAGAGAACCAAGAAGAGCTGGCAACTATTGAAGCCCTTGATTCAGGGGCTGTCTATACCTTGGCCCTGAAGACACACATTGGAATGTCTGTGCAAACATTCAGATATTTTGCTGGCTGGTGCGACAAAATTCAGGTAAGCACAAATATTATTTGTTCTGAAAGAAAAAGGGACTAACATTGATTAGTTTGTACCAGGCACTGTGTCAGATCCTCTTTTTATGTAGATTTTTTTACACCAACATAACAGGGTTGTCTCAATCCATTTTATGCTGCTGTAACAGAATACCTGAGACTAGGTAATTTATAAAGAACAGAAATTTATTCTCTTACAGTTCTGGAGGCCGGGAAGTCTAAGATAAAGGTGTCAGCAGGTTTGGCCTCTAGTTTTAAGATGGTGCCTTGTAGTGCATCCTCTGGAGCAGAGGAACGGTGTGTCCTCACCTGGCAGAAGAGTAGAAGAGAGTGAATCCACTCCTGCAAGCCCTTTTTATAGCGGCATTGATCCATTCATTAAGGTGGAGCCCTCACGACCTAAACACCTCCTATTAGGCCCTACCCCCCAACACCGTGGCATTAGGGGTTAAGTTTCCAGCACATGCATTTTAGGAGACACTTTCAGACCCTCGCAATGGTTATAACAACTACGGGAAGTAAATGGATAGCTCTTATCCCCTTATTACATGTGAGCAAACAAAGGCTTGAGGACATGGATGCCTTTCCTATAATTTGTAGCAAGTAACCCATACGACCAGATTTGAAGTCAAGATTTTCCGAATCTAAAGTCTAATGATCTTCTTTGCATTTTACTATAATATCTCCTGAGGGTGTTGAATAGTTTTCTAGACACTTTGGAGAAGCCTAGTATCATGTAGGGTTTACAAATTCAAATACCTACAGAGGCCAGAGAGCTACCGTAGATGGTGGAAGCAGACTGAGTATAAGAAAAACTTTGTCTTTGAATATGTGTCCTAGGAGAAATAAATTAAAAAAAAATTTTTTTTTCTTTCTTTTGAGATGGAGTCTTGCTCTGTCGCCCAGGCTGGAGTGCAGTGGCGCCATCTCAGCTCACTACAACCTCGCCTCCTGGGTTCAAGCAATTCTCCTGCCTCAGCCTCCCTAGTAGCTGGGATTACAGGTGTGCACCACCACGCCTGGCTAATTTTTGTATTTTTAGCAGAGACGGGGTTTCACCATGTTGGCCAGGCTGGTCTCGAACTCCTGACCTCAAGTAATTCACCTGCCTTGGCCTCCCAAAGTGCTGGGATTACAGGCATGAGCCACTGCGCCTGGCCAAAAAAAAATTTTTTTAAAGAAAAACTTTGATAAAGATACAGGAATAATAAATAAATATTTCATTTTACTGTATGATAATAAATAGCAAACACAGGGTGATCAACGGCAACAACACTAGCTCCAGCACTGGGGATACAAAAGGGAGATGTAGGGCTTGTAGCAAACTGCAGTATGCATGTTCCTCATAGACTCATAATAACCACTGCAGTACCAGTCATTGCAACCACATTCCCAGCAGCAAAAAGAAGGAAGTGAGAAAGGGGGAGTGGTAAGAGGAATTTAACAAAGCATTCTTACCTTCCCAGTACCTTTTGCTCATATCCCTCCTTGGCCATCTCTATCTGCTAAGGAGACTGGGAAACATCATATTTCATCTGCATACATTGCTGCCACCAATGTTAATGTACAGTCAGACAGACCTGAGTCAAGTCTCAGCTCTGGCCCTTATCAGCCGATGTTGTTAAAGTTATTTTCTCTCTCAGAACCTTACTTTCCTCCTCTATAAAATGGTCACAGTAATACATACTTTGCAAGTTATGTTTTGAGGATTGGAAACGAGTATTTGTACACTACAGGATTAGACAAGTCTGCAACATAGCAGGTTTGCACAAAAATGAAATTTTTATTGTGGTTCAGCCACAAAGTCATGCATATATTGATATTTACTAATGGTAGTTCAGGTCCATCTGTTATCCCCAATTATGAAACCCAAATAGTTCTGAAACCTGAAAATTGTTTGATTGGTTCAAACTCGTTTGATGCCAAACCCTGACCTAAATGAACATAATCTATTAATAATATTTATTTACATCACTTAGAGTGAATATTCAAATGTTTCAGTGAATAAATACTAGCATGTTTGATTATGGGAGGCTTACCCAAATCCTGCTGGGGTAGTAGATAATATAAGGTATATGCACTATATTACACTTCTAAAGTCCAAAAAATTCTGAATTCCAAAACATAACTGGCTACAAGTGTTTTAAGAAATTGTACACCCTATTAGTAGTAGCAATAATATTTTATGTGGCAAAGCAAATGAATAGCTTTCATTAAAGGCTACTATTGTGATTCCGTTAGGATTAAGTTGGCTGCATATAACAGCCAACTTATTCCTGTTTTTTTAATCCTATTATTTTTCTCTCACTTTCAAGGAGTCCAGAGACAGGCAGTTAGGACTAGTATGTGAGATGCAAACTCTTTTTCTGTCTTTGCCAGGCCATGTGACCTCCACCCTGAAGGTTGACTCATGGTCTCAAGAAAACCACTGCAGTGCCAGCCATTTCAGCAACAGTCTAAACAGGAAGAAGGAGGAAGCAGACATGGAGGGAAGAATAAAAGAGTAGAGTTAGCCTAGTTTAAGTAGCATTCCCCTTCCAATGCCTTGTGCTTGTATCTTCCACTGACCATCCCTAATCTGGAGAATGGGAACCATAGTATTTGATCTGGGCATATTCCTGTCCCCATTATTAATATAGGGATTCTGTTACTAAGGACAGAGGGGAGAGTGGATAATAGGCAGGCAGTTCACATTCTCTGCCAGGCCAAGCAATTAGGAATGGACTAAATTAGAATTATGTTTATTCTTCTGTGTTTCATGGTTCTCTTGAGAAACAAATAGCTGTTCCTTCTTTGGCATGAATATAGTTCTTATCAACAAACGCTCTTTTCATATCAGCTAACAAAAAGTAAGAGAGGAAGACAGAAAATGGATCCTTTGAGATGAAATTTACTTATTTAAATTAGTAAAATAAGTATCAACTTTTCTCATTCTTTAGGGTTCTACTATTCCAATCAACCAGGCCCGTCCAAATCGCAATCTGACCTTCACCAAGAAAGAGCCACTCGGGTAAGATAAGGAGAGTGCCTCTGAGTGAATCATGAGTTGTGTTATTTGAAACAACTAAGCATGTCGAATTTCTTCCCCTGCAGTGTCTGTGCCATTATTATTCCCTGGAACTACCCGCTGATGATGCTGGCATGGAAGAGTGCTGCGTGTTTGGCAGCAGGCAATACCTTAGTGCTCAAGCCAGCACAGGTAAGGCCACAAAGGGCCAGGTGCAGAATTGCCTCCTCTCTTATATCCAGTACTTCAAAAAAGTGAAATATATTTATAAATAGCAAACAAAAATGAGATGGTATGGCATTTTTCTCATATATCATGGACAACTTTTCATGTCAGTAAATATTCATTTTTAATAGCTACCTAATACATTGTATGGAGATTCCACAATTTAAAATTTTCATAATAATAGAAGCAAGCATGGTGCACATCAGTGAAGTCCAATGACTTTCTACGAACCAATTCAATTCTTGCAAAATGCCAAGTGCCCAACAATTAGGGAATTATTTAGAGTAATTATCAGACATCAAAAAAAGTATTATGCAGGTATTCAAACTTAATTGTCAAAAATATTGTAAAGGCGGAGGTTGCAATGAGCCGAGATCGTGCCACTGCATTCCAGCCTGGGCAACAAAGCAAAGACTCTGTCTCACAAAAAAAAAAAAAAAAAAAAAAAAAAAAAATATATATATATATATATATATATATATAGAGAGAGAGAGAGAGAGAGAGAGAGAGAGAGAGAGAGAGAGAGAAGATGTAGAAGATGAGGGAAAAGCATGTAAAAGAATGTCTGTAATTATAAAAATATATCCAGATGGATAACAAGAAAATACTTTTAAGAAATAGTTCAGGTAGTTTTCAAAAAAATCTCTTAATGCTACAATAGCTTTTTAAGAAAAAAATATGGCAGCCAAGTTAACACTGGCTGAGCTTTTACTATATAAAGTGCACTATGTAAAATTAGAAGAAAAATAAACTTCTTACTTGGGTTTCTGTTATCTGCAGGTAACTTTACTAGGTAGTAGGCATTCTGAGGTGCATAAGTCGTGGAGTAAACTTGGTCTTTATTCTAGAAGTTTATAATTTGTTACCTCTCAACTCTTATTTCTTCTTTCAGAGTTTAAAAAAATACAGTTTCATTTGGCATAGCTACATGGTCATGTGGCCACGGCCATTTTGTTTTAATCATTAAAAACGATTTTATTTGAAAAAGTAGGTATACGTTCAAAGTTTTCAAAATTCAAAAGATACAAAGAGGTAGATAGTGAAATGTCTCCCTTCTATCATTATTCCCCAGCCAAGCAGTTTACCTCCCAGAGACAACCAATGTGATTGTTATCTATTAGTGGCTTAGATATCCCAGAGATAGTCTCTACATATATATGTGTATATTTATGAATATGTAGTTTCATTATGTATATGTAGAGAGATATATATTATTATATGTAGATATATATAGTATTATATATGTGTATATGTATATATTGCTAATTAATGGGCATAAAGTTTCAATTACTGGCCAGGCAAGGTGGCTCACACCTATAATCCCAGCACTTTGGGAGGCCAAGGCGGGTGGATCACTTGAGGTCAGGAGTTCAAGACCAGCCTGGCCAACATGGTGAAACCCCATCTCTACTAAAAATACAAAAAATTAGCTGGGCATGGTGGCGGATGCCTGTAATCCCAGCTACTCCAGAGGCTGAGGCAGGAGAATCGTTTGAACCCAGGAGGCAGAGGTTGCAGTGAGCGGAGGTTGCACCATTGCACTCCAGCCTGGGCAACAAGAGTGAAACTCTGTCTCAAAAAACAAACAAACAAACAAACTTCAATCATGTAAGATGAATAAGTTCTAGAGGTCCTCTGTGCAGTATTGTACCTATAGTTAATTAATACTATATTTTATACTTCAAAATTTGTTAAGAGAGTAGAGCTCACGTTAAATGTTCTTACCACAATAAAATTTTTAAAAACACACACAAAAAGTAGCATTCTATATACTTAGCAAAAAAAAAAATTCTAACTTTTTTTAGCAGTTTCCATTGTATAGATAAAACATATTTTACTTAATCAATCCATAATTATGGATATTCAGATTTTTTCTCCTTTTGCTGTATAAACCATGCTACAGTTAATAACCTTATAAACCTTGTAAGTATAATGCACATGTGCAAGTATATTTATAGTATATGTTTCTAATAGCAGAATCCCTCAGTTAAAAGATACATGTATTTGTGTGATAGATATTGACAAATCCATCCATGGGGGTCATATTAGCTCACCAGCATTATACAAGAGTACTGTCTCCCACTCTTGTTTAATAGGTGCACAACCCATTAAACAGCAAGAAGCTAGTTGAGTGAAGTGAGGAGACAGGTAATCTAGCCCAGTAGAGCTCCACACTGGCTGTACATTAGAATCACCTAAAGTTCTCCTTTTAAAATGCTGATATTGGGCCCCACTGGCAGAGATGGGGCCCCATATCAGCATTGTAAAAGGAGGGATCTGATTTAATTGGTCTGAGTTGGAGACCACGCATTGGTATTGCTTAAAAGCGTCACGTTTTTCCAAGGCACAGCCAGGATAGAGAACCACTAAATGAAATCCAATGAGTGCTAATCACTGAGGAATGGCAATGAGTATATATAATGTCCAAAAATTACAAACATTCTTTGAGTGCATACCAGTTGCCAGATAGGTAGTAGTGATGAAGATACACAAAGTTTCTGTCTCCATGGAAATTACAGGCTGGCTCTATCTGCAGTTTAAAACTGGCAGTTTTATAGTTGAAGATAATTTAAATCCTGAGAATGAAAGACCCAAAGGTGCCATTGTTATGCTGGACTTTTTAATTTTATTGGATAATATTATGCAGTGATGCATTTATAATATTAGGGCTCTGTGTGAAAGTCAAGAGGACTGAATTGAGATGACTCCTCTTAAACCTGTTGTCTGCTTTGTTATATGTGTGAAAGATTCTCTCCTGGCTTCATACAAAAGAAAGCACAGATTTTCATGGCCTAGTGTGGTCTGGTCCAGGTGTGACAAGTTCTGACTTTATTAACCTCATTTTTAGCAATGACCTACACTTGCCCAGAACCATACTAGAGGCTTTCCCATGTATTATGCAAACCTATAATCCTGCAGGGACACTGGATAGCCAAATGGAAGAAAACCAATAAAAATGAAAAGAGTTGTGATGGAGATGAAACCATTTATTTTATTTATAAATCACATTTTAAAACCTTTATATTCTTACTTTAAAAGAATTATAATTAATTCAGGATAGTTAGTTTTTAAACATCTTTCTAATTATGATGGTTTCATACCAAGGCATAATCAGATATACTTGGGCTAGGATCATCTTCAACTACACTAGATGTAAATCCACTATTTCAACAGTGTTGATAACTTCAAATATTTTGGGCCAACTTCTCATCGAGTTAAGTCTACATTGACGATTTACAAACCTCACAATGTGACTGTCGTGGATCTGTTACTAGAAGGAGGAAAAGTGGTGGCCCTGCCTCTTTCTTGTTTGTTTGCTACCATTATTATTTATTGTGCAGTTTCTATGCACATTTTTTGGCCACTTGTACATTTTACAAAGACAAGCTTAATTAAAATAACAACATAGCCTGTGAACCCATGTAATCAGGCCTGTAAACTTCATCAGAGGGCAATCTTCTGAAGGCAAATGAGCAAGGGAAGGAACCACTGCCACCCTCTTGGTCTTGTGAGCTCCTATTCTTTCCTGGGACACTGCCTGTACCTTTGTGACCCATGACCATATGACCTTCATTCAGACTGTGTGAGAGCAGCGTTATCCAGCCATACAATAAATGTTAGTTATGGTTCATTTATTTCATATCTTTGTCAGCTAAAATATATAAATAAAAGTTCCACTATTTTCTTTTCCCACCTCAATGGATCCTCTTGCACACCCCATTTTTAGAGTCCAAGCTAACCAAATACTGACTTAAGACTGAATGGACGTTGGTTTTTAAGAGTGTGAAGGTATTGCTTTCATTTTGCTTTGGAGATTTGCATTGCTATAATAGATGTTTAAGGTGAGATCCATATTATGCCACTTTTTATGTGAGAAAGAAGGGAAAATAAGAAAATATGTATTTGCTGATTTGAATAAAAGGAAACAGGAAAGATAAACTAGAGACTAATGAAATTATCTATAGAACATGGGATGAATGGGGTGGAAAGGAGGGTGGGAGAACAACATTCTCTGAATGGATGTTTTGAATAGTCCTGACTTTTGGAAGCATAGTCCCCATATTTAATGACAGCAAAGAAAAGAAATATAATCAACAAAGATGGGGCCAAAACCCTAAAATTAAATATAAACAAAACAAATTAAGCCATATTTCAAATGAATAACATGACCCCATTGAAGAGAATGAGGAAGCATGAACCCAAGTCACTTTTGACTAACTTTGGACTATATGTCCTCAGGATAAAGGCAACGCAAAACAACAACAACAAAAAAACCCAAATACATATTAAACTCTAATTAATAGGCTTCTTTTTCATAGGGACATGGCTTAACAATTCTCAAATTACTTTCTCTATGTTTTAGGATTAAGCAAATAAGTAAATGTATTGTGGATAATGGGAGCCATGTCTCTCTTTCTTGGAGAAGAGAATGACAAATGTAAAAAGGGCAGAAGGATAGAATCGACCCTAAGATATCGGATAAAGGTATCAGTGTAAACTCATGGGTTTTAATGTATTTAGATAGCTAAATAAAGAAATGGATATAGGTATATGAGGGATAGATACACACATACATGTAGACGTGTGTGTGTGTGTTGTGTATACATACATCTCTTTCCCAGCTCTGTCTGCTAAGAGGGCCTAGAAGCGATGACCCCTCAATAATGTCCAGATATCTTGGTTTCTAAAATACCATTCTTCACTCAAAGAAACTTGGGCTCCTTGGAGAAGTAGCTGGAGTAGGGAAGAATCAAGATGAATCTGAAATATCTTGTTGGGCCTGAAAGCAATGTAATGCTCAAAGTAATAGGGGCACGTCAGAATGATAAGGGGCCGTACTGAAGGGACTGCCTCAGCCAAATCTAGAACAATTGAACATCAAAATCAGTAACAATAGTAAACGATGATAACCTGCTGATTACAGTAAGAATCTTTGTGTTCACACTGATATTAATTAATTGAACAGAATGGAAAACACTTAGAGTAGAGAGCCAACTACTACACGTAAAAGGAATGAGGGAATTGGAAAATCACCATTTGGCAACCATCATGATACTTTAGGATTATTATCCAGAAATTATCCATGGACACTAAAACTAGTGGATAAAAATTTGAGGAGTATCTCCCCACAAAATATTTGTTAACTACAATGTATAAAATAGTAATTTACAGTGATGAAAGTTGGCAGACCACATTTGCCAAATAATCAAAACTAACTTTCCAGTATTGGAACTATTCTACAGCACGTGCCTCCTGATGTCCTGAGAAAAGCTCAGCATCGCTCCGGTGGCATTGTTCCCAAAAGTGCATAACTTGAATCTAACCATGCAAAAACATCAGACAAATCCAGACAAAGAGACATTGTATGAAATAACTGGCCTGTACTCTTCAAAAATGTCAGTGTAATGAAATAGAAAAGAGAACTGAGAAATTCTCCTAGATTACTGGAGACTACAGATAGAACTAAATGTAATGCAGATGTTGGATTTTCTTTTGCTGTAAGACATTATTGGGATAATTGGTGAAATCTGAATATGGTCTGCAAATCATGTATTCTATCAATTGTTAATCTCCTGATTTTGATGATTGTACTATGGTTATGTAAAAGAATTTCTTGTTTTATAGAAAATGCACACAGAAGTATTTAGAAGTATGGGGTATGTCTTTACCGTATTCTTAAACAGTTCAGAAACAGATATTCCTTAAATTTATCTTTAAAAAATAGTTTAGAAAAATATATACAGAAAGATAAAGCAAATGCAGTAAAATGTTAACATTTGAGGAATCTGAATGGAAATGTATATAAGGAATACTTGTACTATTTTTGCATCTTTTTGTAAGTCTGAAATTATGGCAAAAAAATAAGACAATGTACAATAAAAATAAAATGAGATCTAGTGCAGCTATCAAGGGAAAACTGGGTTCTGGGCTAAAGGTCAGGTTAGGGCCTGAAGAAGGTAATTGCTGTTTGCTTCTCCTCAGGTCACGCCCTTGACTGCTTTGAAGTTTGCAGAACTGTCTGTGAAAGCAGGCTTTCCAAAGGGGGTCATCAACATCATTCCAGGCTCAGGTAAGCCACTAAATGACCGACTGTGCTATAACTAATGAATGGTACTGGGGTAGCTGAGTGGCTCTTTTACCTCTAGAGACTTGTCCTGAATTATAACTGTATTAAAACTAAATACAATTCACCAAACAGTTAAGGATGAATATACTTACCATGTGCTAAAATCTTAAAATGGAAATACAGTGGTGGGTGAGTGGCAGTGGGGAGGGGGGTTGTACAGTCATGTAAAATTACCCTAAGATGTTCCATTTTGATTTTCAAAAACTACTCTGGAAGATAAAAATCAAGGCTTACCCATCATTATTTTGGGAGTCTGATAATTTCATAAAGGGTATTATTTCAGACTTTTATCAGTTTGTAATTAATACAGAAAATGTAAAACTAAGGTGTCAAGGAGAGCTTAGAAATCTACTTCAATGAATTTAAAGCCATCTTCACTATAAGAATTTGAGTAAGGTTTTTTTTTTTTTTTTTTTTTTTTTTTGAGACGGAGTCTCACTCTGTTGCCCCGGCTGGAGTGCAAAGGCGCGATCTTGGCCCACTGCAACCTCCGCCTCCTGGGTTCAAGTGATTCTCTCTCAGCCTCCTGAGTAGCTGGGATTACAGGCGTGTGCCACCATGCCTGGCTAATTTTTATATTTTTAGTAGTGACAGGGTTTCACCATGGTGGTCAGGCGGGTCTCGATCTCCTGACCTTGTGATCTGCTTGCCTCAGCCTCCCAAAGTGCGGGGATTACAGGCGTAAGCCACCGCGCCCGGCCTTGAGTATGTTTTAATTCCCGTTTTATTCCCTAATTCTACAGGTGGCATAGCAGGACAACGTCTGTCTGAACATCCTGACATCCGCAAACTTGGTTTCACTGGATCCACTCCTATTGGCAAACAGATCATGAAGAGGTATTGGTTTTAAAATGTTGATTCACTGCAGATCCTGTTAAACTAGGTTTCAATTTTTGTTTAAACAGGGTACTTTTTGAGTGAGAAAAACTACATCAACTTTGGAAGGGAAATCTACTTATCACTGCTGAGTATTGAAATATTTGAATACAATAAAATACTTTCCAAAGCATTAAAGCCCAGAGTCAATAAAACCAAAGCTATGTTGAAATTCTGTGCCCTACTGGTAGTTTTAACAATTCAGCACAAAAGACTTCCTGTATTAAAGCTGTGGCCCAAATTGTTCTCAGAGTATGGGTAAAAAACCAAAAAGATACATAAATGTGAAATTTATATATTTTATATGACAAACCTGGATTATTTATAAATGGAGTCCGCCAAAGCAATTTTTTTTTAAGCTGTAAGCAATCTAAATGTCCAAAATAAAGCAGTTGTTAAAATATGTCAATGTAATGGAACACTGTGCAGTCATGTTCATAGAGAATTTTAATAACATTGAAAAGTGTTGTTAAAATAATAAATGGAAATAAAAATAAAGTATAACATTGTATACACTGGATGATCTCAACTATGTTAAACAACGCAAAAGCTATGGTAGGACAGATCACAAATAGGTAGTATATCAAAATGGTAAAAACAATGGTCACTGAGGCATGGAATGGAATTTTGTGATTTTTTTCTTCTGTTTGCATTTTGGGGTAGGTATTTTCAAAATGCTTTAAATAAAAATACTTTTGTAAGAAAGGAAAAATAAGCAGCGTACTTTTAAAAATTGATATTTTTTCTCCCAATGCTTCGGTAGTCTGGTTAGAGGTTTAATTCTTTTGCCAGGCTTTTATGTAACCAAAATTTCTAAAGAATTTGAATTAACTTTTGACCACAACATTTTTGAAATTTTTTTATTATGGAAAATGTCTAATACATAGAAAGCAGAAAAGCAAAATGAATTTTATGTACTCATCACTCAGCTTCAATGGTAATCACCATTCTACCATCTGTTTTATCTATGAATAACTTTTTCCTTTTTCTTTCTTTTTTTCTTTTTTAAGAGACACGGTCTAACACTGTCACCCAGGCTGGAGTGCAGTGGTGATCACAGCTCACTGCAGCTTTGAATTCCTGGGCTCAAACGATCCTCCTGCCTCAGCCTCCCAAGTAGCTGACACTACAGTCACACACCACCATACCTACCTAATTTTCTTATTTTTTATAGAGATGAGGTCTTGCCATGTTGCTCAGGCTGGTCTCACACTTCCGGCCTTAAAGGATCCCTTCTACCTTGGTCTCCCAGACAGTTGTGAGTCACTGTGCCTGGCCTTGAATAAGTTTCTTAATATTACTGAGGCTCAATATGTTTTCCATGCCAGGTGGTAACTTATAGCTTAAAAAGTGTGTGTGTGTGTGTGTGTGTGTGTGTGTGTGTGTGTGTGTGTTTGTGTGTGTGTGTGTGTGAGAGAGAGAGAGAGAGAGATGTTAACTAAATGCTCATTTCTCATTTGTTTTCCTCTAGCTGTGCTGTTAGCAACTTGAAGAAAGTTTCCCTTGAGCTTGGTGGCAAGTCTCCACTTATAATATTTAATGACTGTGAACTTGACAAGGCTGTGCGAATGGTAAGAGAGGGTCAAATTTAAGTAAATAGGTGCCTGGGCCAGGTGAGGTGGCTCACGCCTGTAATCCTAGCACTTTGGGAGGCCAAGACGGGTGGATCACTTGAGATCAGGAGTTCAAGACGAGCCTGACCAACATGGTGAAACCCCGTCTCTAGTAAAAATGCAAAAACATTAGCCGTGCGTGGTGGTGGGCACCTGTAGTCCCAGCTACCCGGGAGGCTGAGGCAGGAGAATCTCTTGAACCCAGGAGGCGGAGGTTGCAGTGAGCTGAGATCACGCCACTGCACTCCAGCCTGGGCGACAGAGTGAGACTCCGTCTCAAAAAAAAAAAAGAAAAAAAAATAGGTGCTTGCTTCTAAAACACATTTCACCTCCTTTTTTATCAGAGATCTTAAATGAGATTTGGGTTTTGTCTAGTCATAAATTAAAACCATTGTTTTTATGCTTAGATTTGGGAATACTCAGAGCACTTAGTTTTTAAAAATAATGTCTTTATAATTCCTCTACTAAGGTGTTTTTAAAACAGGATATGAGTCATAGCAGGCATGTAAAAAAGTTCAAAAGATATTCTATTAGGGCTTCTAGCTTCTCCCTCCTTTCCCTACAACATCTCATCCCATCAACCTGAACAGTCCTACTTTTACCTGTTTTGCACATTGAGCTTCTGGTAAGCGTTTTAGACACAACAAAGGGTTTCATATTTAACAAGTAATTAGCAACATCAATTTCCTGGTTTTAACAATGTACTATGGTTTTATAAGATGTTATCATGGGGGAAGTTAGGTAAAGGGCACAAAGGAACTCTCACATTATTTTTGCAACACCTTGTGAGCCTTAAACTATTTCAAAGTATAAAGGCTTATTTTAAATAAAATGTAAAGGTTAAAAAAAATTGGCCTAGTTCTCATTCTTCACATCTGAGATATAGGCATAAAATGAGTCAATGCTCGGCAGGGGTTGTGCTAAGCTTTCTTGTAATTGTGGGGGAAACTTATGGTCTTCTCAGTTCTGTACAACTGTCCAGCCTATGCACTAAGCAGACTCTGTTCACCATTGGCCCTAAATGTAATTATAATGAACACTCACAGCCAAACTTCATCATGTAAGCATCCCAAAGAGAATGGAGTGGTCTGGGAGTGAAGAAGAACCAAGTACCCCTGCGGCCAGGGCCTTTGAATGGACCATCTGGAGGTTTCAGTGACAGACAATGGCTGGGGGTACTCAAACTGATATCAGGGGTCAGGACTCCCCTGGATGTCTGGGTTAGGAATATATAACCTTAAAGAGTCTGTTTTAACCATTTAAGAACCCCAAACCCAAGACAGTCAACATATTTTTGTAATGTTTAAAGATAAAATGTATGCACAGGAAAAGCATGGTATTTCAAAGCATTCATTATACTTTGTTTTCGAGATGGGATCTCACTATGTTGCCCAGGCAGGTCTTAAACTCCTGGGCTAAAGTGATCCTCCTGCCTTGGCCTCCTAAATGGGTGGAATAACAGGTGTGAGCCACTGCACCCAGCCACATCCATTTTATATATATATATATATATATATATATATATATATATATATATATATATATAAAATATATATATACATATATAAATATACGTATATATGTGTGTGTATATACACACACACATATATATGGATATATATAATATATACACATATATAAATATACGTATATATATAATATATATACACATATATAAATATACGTATATATATAATATATATACACATATATAAATATACGTATATATAATATATATACACATATATAAATATACGTATATATATAATATATACACATATATAAATATACGTGTATATATTATATACACATATATAAATATACGTGTATATATTATATACACATATATAAATATACGTGTATATATTATATACACATATATAAATATACGTGTATATATTATATACACATATATAAATATACGTATATATATAATATATATACACATATATAAATATACGTATATATAATATATACACATATATAAATATACGTATATATATAATATATATACACATATATAAATATACGTATATATATAATATATATACACATATATAAATATACGTATATATATAATATATATACACATATAAATATACGTATATATATAATATATATACACATATAAATATATGTATATATATAATATATATACACATATAAATATACGTA